>NC_000016.10:30377729-30692936 GCF_000001405.40 Homo sapiens
GCAGCAAAGGGGCTGGGGCCGGGGAGACTAAGGGCCTGTGCGAGACGCCCCTACGTCTTTCCCCAGATCAAGAACATGTGGGCGGCCTTCCCCCCCGACGTGGGCGGCAACGTCGACTACAAAAACATCTGCTACGTCATCACGCACGGCGACGCCAAGGACCAGGAGTAGGGGCACCCGCGGGCCTCCGCTGCCCGACGCTTCTGTTCGGCCCGACCTCCACCCCGGCTCCCAATAAAATTTAACTGATCTTTGTTTCTTATGGGCGGCGCCTTCAGAGTGTCTGCGCGAGGGCCTCAGGTGGGAGCGCCCCACAAATGAATGGATGCGGCCTGGAGGCCTGCGGGGGTCGGCCCCACAATCTACGCCCGCCGCCTTTTTCCGCAAGGAAGGAGAAGGCTCGCGTGGCCGCGGGAAGCTCAGTTTTTATTGAAGACAGAGTCTGGGAGAAGAAGGGGGACTCCGGAAGACAGTGATGCGGTCGGAGATTGTGCAGGCCCCGGGCCGGGAAGTGGGCGGTGTCTGGGTGGGCGGGACCAGCGCCGGGGCGGGGCTACGGACTCAGGCTGGGAGAACCTCCCCCTAGCCCGCGCGAGGGCGGCACCCGCGGAGGTCCCGGGGGGCGCTGGGCAGTGTGGGGCGCGGGGATTGGACAAGAGGCCGACTGAAGGCGGAGCCGAGGTAAGGCCGGGCGGGGCGTGGCCTCAGAGGGCGTCTGACTGCTCGCCCTGGGCCTGGCTCTGCTGCATTTGGGCCTGCATCTTCTCCAGCATCTCTTGCATGCGGCGCAGCTGTGCAGGGCGAGATTGCAGGCGGTGACCTGGCGAAGCCAGAGGGGGACCTGGGGCATCGGTCGGGGGGAAGCGAGGTGCGTGCTCACCTCTTCGTCTTTCTCGCGGATCAGCTTCTCGGTGTCCGCCAGAGGCAGCATGGGCAGCGGGATCTCTGTGGCGCTCTGGCGGGAAAGCTTACTGCGGGACAGTGGGAAGGGGACAGGAATCAGGAGCGGGACCTGAGGTTGTGGGTGAGGCCCAGGAGGCAGGGCCTGGGGCGAGGTTGGGGTCTAGGAGGCGGAGCCAGTTCCTTGAGGTTAGGGCCGGAGGCAAAGCGGGTGGGGAGAGAGGGGGAGAGAGGGAGAGACGGAGAGAGGGAGGGAGGGAGGGAGGGAGGGAGAGAGAAGTCTGAGTGGTGAAGGCGGAGTCACGGGTGGTGGGGACGAGTCCTCAGGGCGGGGTCATGGGTGAGGCGGGACCTTGGAGGCTCTGATACTGTCCGCCCCGGGTCTCACCTGCGGCTGGCTCGATCGCGAGCCCCAGGCCGGGCCAGGCTCTGTAGGCAGCGGGCCCGGTAGCCCTCGTAGAGCAGATCGTGCGTCACCTCTTTCAGGTCCTGCAGGTGTGTCTGCACCAGCATCCGTCGCAGGTTCAGGAAATCGCAGTGATGTGGGTTCTCCACTGGAGGGGGGGCGGCGCGGACCAGCGAACGTCAGGGAGTTTCGGGTCCAACCCACCCGTAAGGGTCGGGTCTACAGGAAAGTCCTGCTGCCACTCTAGCGGAGGGTCCGCGGTCTGCAGCCCAGCGACCCCCCTTTCCTCCTAGGATCCCCTGGGACCAAAGCCCACCCCAACTTCACATGTTGAGTGCGCCTGACCCAGAGGCCCCGGGCTCCCTGCTGGCCTTAGGACCCCTGCCTGGCCTCACTCACCCTCCACGGTCCCCCAGGAGTAGCGGCGTCCCCTCACCGGCCGGTTCCCGCCATCCCTCACCACCTCGCATGATCCCACGACTGCAAAAGGGATGCTTTCCTGGAGGGCAGGGGGCAGGGGTTCACCATTGGCTCACACGGCAGAAACTTTCTCTTTCCCAGCTTCAATCTCCACACCCGCCTCCTCTGCTTCCTGCCCCTTCCTCTTTTTTTTTTTTTTTTTTTTTTTTTTGAGACAGGGTCTCACTCCATTGCCCAGGCTGGAGTGTTCAAGTGATTCTCCTGCCTCAGCCTCCCGAGTAGCTGGAATTACAGGCGCCCACCATCACACCTGGCAAATTTGTGTATTTTTAGTAGAGGTGGGGTCTCGCCATGTTGCCCAGGCTGGTCTGGAACTCCTGACCTCAGGGGATCCTCCCGTCTCAGCCTCCCAAAGTGCTGGGATTACAGACGTGAGCCACCGTGCCCGGCCTGCCTTCCTTCTTTGTTTCCCACACCTTCATCTCTGCATCCTGCCTCTTGAAGTCTTCATCTTCATCAGAGTCACATTCGGGGAACTGGTAGATGTGGATCTCCTCTTCCTTCAACTGATCCCGGATCTCAGGGGAAACAGATATAGAGACAGTGTGAAACGGGCCACAATGACAGACATTTCATGACCAGAGACAGTGAGACACAGAGATACTGGGTGGTCAGAGACAGAGAGAAAGACATGAAAGACAGAGATGGGGAGAGATGGACATACAGGAAGACAAAAACAAAATCTCAGAGACATAGATGGTGAGAAACACAAGATTCTAAGATGGGGCAGACATTAAGAGACCAGGAGAAGCCTGGGCAATATAGCTAGATCCCATCTCTACAACAAATATACACATATATTTTGAAACAAGGTTTCACTCTATCACCCAGGCTGGAGTCCAGTGGCTCCATCTTGGTTCACTGCAGCCTCAACCTCTCAGGCTCAGGTGATCCTCCCATCTCAGCCTCCTGAGTAACTGGGACTACAAGTGCACACCACCACACCTGGCTGGTTTTTGTACTTTTTGTAGAGATGGGGTTTTACCATGTTGCCGTGGCTTGTCTTAAACTCTTCAGCTCAAGCAGTCCACTGACCTCAGCCTCCCAAAGTGCTGGGATTAACAGGTGTCTGCCACCAAGCCCAGCCAAAAAAATATTTTTTAAGTTAGCCAGGCATGGTGGTGTTCATCTATAGTCCCTGCTACTCAAGAGGCTGAGGCAGGAGGATCACTTGCGCCTACAAGTTCGAGGCTGCAGTGAGCTCTGATCTTGCCACTGTACTGCAGCCTGGGCCACAGAGTGAGACTCTATCTAAAAAAAAAAAGAGAGAGAAAGAGAGGCCGAGAGAGATATAAGCAGAAACAGTGGGAAAGGGCTCTGAAGACACGGGGTGGGGGCCAGAGGGAAGTCACTATGTTCTCATGTCTATGCTCCTGCCCTCAAATAGGCCTCAGCCAGGCATCTAGCCCGGGGGCTGCATATGTAGCCTATTTTGAGCCTTCAGAGACATGGCTATGCTGGCGGCTTACCACCCGCCTTCCTCAGAAGCTTCTCCTACAATCTAGCCTGATGCACCATGCTCCAGAAAGGCCACTTCAAGATCAAAGAAGTCTAAGCTGAAATCAGGTTTGGCTTCACATGGGGTCAAAGGTCAGAGGTCATCACTCACACCTTCTGCTTGAGGGCCTGGGTTTCCTGGGGCATCAGAGCATCCGCTTTGCCAATGACTGGGATGATGTTGACTTTCTCGTGTACTGCCCGGAGGAAGGCCACATCTAGGGGCCGGAGCCTGCACCCAGGGATTGGTCATTGCCCAGCCTCAGGGGGCAGAGACCCCCCAGCCCTCCCTAAATGCGCCAGCCCCCAGGATCCCCCCACCAGACCCCCGGCCGAAGGGTGAGATGAAGTAGAGGCAGCAGTGGACTCGGGAGTCCTGGATGTTCTTCCGGTTCAGGCCACTCTCATCCCTAAGGTACTGCTCAAATTGCTCCTCGATGAATTTCACCACCGGAAGCCAGCTGGGTGTGGGGAGAGGATGTGAGGTCAGAGATCAAAGGCCAGAGGGCAGGGGGCAAGGCTAGCCAGGACTGTGGGAGTAGAATGTCATTTCTTTGGCTCCCTCCAAAGACATTAAGGGGAACTGGTGGGGGCCTAGGTGAGTCATCAAGAAGCACAGGGACCCAGTGGCCCTCTGAAACAGACACCACCTTTTGAGATAGGGAGCCAGCACAAACCAGTCCTGTAACTCTCCAGGGAGTCGCCACTGTGAAAGGCTGAGCCTCTGTCCCCTTTCCTCTTCCTCACCAGTCAGAGCAGTCCACTGAGTCCCCAAAGCCAGGTGTGTCCACAAGGGTCAGCTTCACTTTCACACCCCCTTCCTCAATCTCTACGCCCCGGCGCTCAATGGCCAGGGTCTGTGTCAAGCGAGCTGTGGGATGGGGGAGAGGTCAGGGATCCGGGGAGGCTCTGAGGCAGAATTAATTTCCTTTGTCAATATCACAGTTGCCTGCACCCATTTCCCAGGGGAGGAAAGTCTCAGAAAAAAAGCAGTCAACTACCTGAGTCCCCAGATGGAAAAGACTAGGGTGTAACCTGGGGACAGGGGCTACTGCCTCAAGAGGGTGGGGAGGGTCTTACCACTGGCCTCTGGCACCTGGCGATCCTCATAGAGGTTGGTGAGGAAGAGGCTGTTGATGAGGGTGGATTTCCCTAGGCCTGACTCCCCTGTGGACAGAACAGGCCCAACTGGTCAGGGGAGGGGACAGCCAGGGCCTCCTAAGGACATCCCCTCCGCAGTTCCCTCTCCAAAACCCCCAGACCTGCCACCATTAGCGTGAAGTCAAACCCCTTCTTGACAGACTTGCGGTGCAGCTGGTTGGGGAGGGCAGCAAAACCCACGTACTCCTTGTCCTATGGATGGGGGTGGACAATATGAGGCTGCTGGCAATGGCAGGCAGGGTCCCCAGGATCACTTGAGTTCCTGGGCTAGGAAGAGTCAGTGGGGTCTGGGGACCCCAGGCATGGGGGCTGGGGGCCGAGATGCCCAGGTTTCTGGGTGTAAGGACTCACCATGACTCCGCCAGCCATCACTGCACCTGCCGTCTCTCCCCACTTCCTCTGGTGGGGCAGGAAGCTGAGTGCGGCTAACAAGGGGGCGGGCAGAAGAGGCAGCTGAGATGCTCAAACTGGCCCAGTCCCAGAGAGGTGGGGAAGGCCAAGGCCAAGAACACTTGGGGTTGCCACCTCCTGGACCCCTTTGCCCATCACCTGTCTACGTACCTTCAACCCTCCATCCTTCACACATCTGGATTCCAAGTCCCACTGTAGCTCCATCATCGTGGTGAGACATGGGGTATGTGCAGAGAGGAAGGAAGTGGCTCCCTTTGTTAGCAGGGGAGATGAAGGTTTTGATGAGCTGATTAGAAAACAGTTCCCAGGACGGGCAAGGTGGCTCTCGCCTGTAATCTCAGCACTTTGGGAGGCGGAGGAGGGAGGACAGCTTGAGCCAAGGAGTTCCAGACCAGCCTGGGCAACAGAGGGACGTGCCCCTCTACCATCTCTACAAAACATTAAAAAATTAGCCAGGCATGTTGGTACAATCCTGTAGTCCCAGCTACTGGGGAGGCTGAGGTGGGAGGATTGCATGAGCCCAGAAGATCAAGACTGCAGTGAGCTGTGATCACACCACTACACTCCAGCCTGAGCAACACAGCAAAACCCTGTTTCTTTTTCTTTCTTTCTTTCTTTTTTTGAGACGGAGTCTCGCTCTGTTGCCCAGGCTGGAGTGTAGTGGCGCCATCTCGGCTCACTGCAAGCTCCACCTCCCGGGTTCCCGCCATTCTCCTGCCTCAGCCTCCCGAGTAGCTGGGACTACAGGCACCTGCTACCGCGCCTGGCTAATTTTTTTGTGTTTTTAGTAGAGACGAGATTTCACCGTGTTAGCCAGGATGGTTTCGATCTCCTGACCTCGTGATCTGCCCGCCTCGGCCTCCCAAACTGCTGGGATTACGGGCGTGAGCCACCATGCCAGGCCAACGCTGTTTCAAAAAAAGAAAAAGAAAAAAGTGGACCAGAAGCCATGATGGGATTGGGAGTGGGTGAAGCCATACATTTTCCAGCTCAGACAATGGATTCATAAAAGGACTCCAGGTCTTTGGACACCACTGCCCGAGAGATTTTCCTTCAGAATCCTGGCCAAAGAACTCCACTGCTCAAAATCCTTCAGGAACTCCCCAGTAACTCAGAGTCAAGTCTGAATTCTGGCCTGACTGCCAAAGCCTCCCTCAGCTGGCCTCATCACCCCATCTCTCACTCTTCCAAACGTCCTTGGCTCTCTACCCACATTGAGCTTTTCCTTTTTCTGAATCAGTTAAACTCTTCCTCATCCTTCAAGTGTTTCTTTCCAAGGGCTCTGCCTCTATGCAATCTCTCCACCTACCCTAGGCAGGGTCATTGTCCCTCCTTCAGATTCCCAGCACCTGGCTGGCGTGGTGGCTCACACCTGTAATCCCAGCACTTTGGGAGGCCGAGGCGGGTGGATCACTTGAGGCCAGGAGTTCAAGACCAGCCTGGCCAACATGGCGAGACCCTGTCTAGCAAAAATACAAAAATTAGCCAGGCATGGTGGTGCGTACCTATAATTCCAGCTACTTGGGAATCTGAGGCAAGAGAATTGCTTGAGCCCAGGAGGTGGAGGTTGCAGTGAGCCGAGATTGCACCGCTACACTCCATCCTGGGCAACAGAGCAAGACCCTATCTCAAACAAACAAACAAACAAACAAATCTACCTCAGGACCGCTGCGGTGGCTCACACCTGTAATCCCAGCACTTTGGGAGGCTGAGTCGGGCAGATCACGAGGTCAAGAGATTGAGACCATCCTGGCCAACATGGTGAAACCCCATCTCTACTAAAAATACAAAAAATTAGCTGGGCATGGTGGCATTGCCTGTAGTCCCAGCTACTCAGGAGGCTAAAGCAGAATTGCTTGAACCCAGGAGGTGGAGGTTGCAGCGAGCCAAGATCGTGCCACTGCACTCCAGCCTGGTGACAGAGCAAGACTCCGTCTCAAAAAACAAAAAACAAACAAACAAAAATGCTACTTAATACCATCTAGGGACTGTTAAGAATCTGGAAAGGGGGGCTGGGTGCGGTGGCTCATGCCTGTAATTCCAGCATTTTGGGAGGACAGGGCAGTCGGATCACTTGAGGCCAGGAGTTCGAGACCAGCCTGGCCAACATGGTGAAACCCCCGTCTCTACTAAGAATACAAAAATTAGCCAGGCATGGTGGTGCACGCCTGTAATCACAGCTACTAGGGAGGCTGAGGCAGGAGAATTGCTAGAACCTGAGAGGCGTAGGTTGCAGTGAGCCAAGATCCTGCCACTGCACTCCAGCCTGGGCGACAGGGCAAGACTCCGTCTCAAAAAAATAAATAAGTAGGCCAGGCGCGGTGGCTCATGCCTGTAATCCCAGCACTTTGGGAGGCTGAGTCAGGCAGATCACCTGTGGTCAGGAGTTCGAGACCAGCCTGAGCAACATGGAGAAACCCTGACTCTACTAAAAATACAAAATTAGCAGGGCGTGATGGCGCATGCCTGTAATCCCAGCTACACGGGAGCTGAAGCAGGAGAATCACTTGAACCTGGGAGGTGAAGTTTGCGGTGAGCTGAGATTGTGCCATTGCACTCCAATCTGGGCAACAAGAGCAAAACTCTTTCTCAAATAATAATAATAATAATAATAATAATAATAATAATAATAATAATATAAATAAATAAATAAGCAAAGGGCAGGGATCATGTTACCTCTCAGCACTCCACCACCGGCCTTCCTCCTGCATCTCTCACCAGGTTGAGCATCTCTATGGTCTTAGTTAAAATTCTGAAATCAGCCGGGTGTGGTGGTTCACGCCTGTAATCCCAGGACTTGGGGAGGCCAAGGCAGGCAGATCAGAAGGTCAGGAGATCGAGACCATCCTGGCCAACATGGTGAAACCCCGTCTCTACTAAAAATACAAAAATTAGTTGGATGTGGTGGCGCGTGCCTGTAATCCCAGCTACTTGGGAGGCTGAGGCACAAGAATCACTTGAACCCAGGAGGCGCAGGTTGCAGTGAGCCAAGATCACACCACTGCACTCCAGCCTGGCGACAGAGCAAGACTCTGTCTCAAAAAAAAGGAAAAAAAACTTTCTGAACTCCTCCCACTCTCACTCCCCACAAGTGTTTCCAGTGAGTTTCCAATTCCCACCTATCCTTCAGAAAAATTGGTCCCCTTTTCTTCACACTCTCCATGCCATTAACCTGCTTTGGGTTCAGACCCTGATCAACTCTTCTCTGAGTTATTCAACAGCCTTTGACAGAATAACATGTTTAAAGGAAAAAAAAAAATGTTGGGCGTGGTGGTTCACGCCTGTAATCCCAGTGCTTTGGGAGGCTGAGGTGGGAGGATTGCTTGAGGCTAGGAGTTCAAGACCAGTCTGGTCAACATAGCAAGACCCGATCTGTATTAAAAAAATAAATAAAAAAGAGGATAACATGTAGGCCAGGCAGTGGCTCATGTCTGTAATCTCAGCACTTTGGGAGGCCGAGGTGGGAGGATCACTTGAGGCCAGGAGTTTGAGACCAGCCTGAGCAACACAGTGAGATCCTGTCTTTACAAATTAAAAAAAAAAAATTAGCTGGGCATCGTGGTGCACAATTGTTGCCCCAGCTAGTTGGGAGGTTGAGGCAGGAGGATCACTTGAGCCCAGGAATTTGAGGCTGCAATGAGTCATTGTGGTGTCACTACACTTTAGCATGGGTGACAGAGCGAGACCCTGTCTCAAAAAAAATACAAAATTTAGGATGATATATATTTATCTGTTTATTGTACAACCAACACATGTTTTCATAGAAAAATTATAAAATGCAATTGAAATATAAACATTTAAATGTGGGCCGGGAGTGGTGGCTCATGCCTGTAATCCCAGCACTTTGGGAGGCTGAGGCAGGAGGATGGCTTAAGCTCAGGAATTCGAGACCAGCCTGGGGAACATGGTGAAACCCCATGTCTACAAAAAATACAAAAATTAGCTGGGCATGGTGGCATGCACCTGTGGTCCCAGCTACTCAGAAGGCTGAGGTGGGAGGATCGTCCAGTCTGTGTGACAGAGCCAGACCCTACCTCGAAAAAAATATATTTTTTAATGTGATATCACCATTTTTTTTTTCTTGAGATGGAGTTTCGCCCTTGTAGTTTCGCTCTTGTTGTCCAAGCTGGAGTGCAATGGTGTGATCTCGGCTCACTGCAACCTCTGCCTCCCGGGTTCAAGTGATTTTCCTGCCTCAGCCTCCCGAGTAGCTAGGATTACAGGCATGTGCCACCACGCCCAGGTAATTTTGTATTTTTAGTAGAGATGGGGTTTCACCATGTTGGTCAGGCTGGTCTTGAACTTCCGGCATCCCAAAGTGCTGGGATTACAGGTATGAGCCACTGCACCTGGCCTTTTTTTTTTTTTTTTTTTTTGAGACAGAGTCTTGCTCTGTCACTCAGGCCGGAGTGCAGTGGCACGATCTTGGCTCACTGCAAGCTCTGCCTCCAGGGTTCACGCCATTCTCCTGCCTCAGCCTCCCGAATAGCTGGGACTACAGGTGCCCACCACCATGCCTGGCTAATTTTTTTGTATTTTTAGTAGAGACAGGGTTTCACCGTGTTAGCCAGGATGGTCTCGATCTCCTGACCTTGTGATCCGCCCGCCTTGGCCTCCCAAAGTGCTGGGATTACAGGCGTGAGCCACCGCGCCCGGCCTTTTTTTTTTTTTTTTAAAGACAGTGTTTCGGCGGGGCGCCATGGCTCACTCCTGTAATCCCAGCACTTTGGGAGGCCTAGGTGGGCGGTTCACCTGATGTCGGGAGTTCAAGGCCAGCCTGGCCAACATGTTGAAATCCTGTCTCTACTAAAAATACAAAAATTAGCCAGGCATGGTGGCGCATGCCTGTAATCCCAGATATTCGGGAGGCTGAGGCAGGAGAATCACTTGAACCCGGGAGGCAGAGGTTGCAGTGAGTGGAGATCGCACCATCGCACTCCAGCCTGGGGGACAAGAGTGAGACTTCCTCTCCAAAACAAAACAAAACCAAAAAAAGACAGAGTTTTCCTCGTCACCCAGGCTGGAGTACAATGGCGCGATCTCGGCTCACTGCAACCTCTGCCTCCTGGGTTCAAGTGATTCTCCTGCCTCAGCCTCCCGACTAGCTGTGATTACAGATGCCTGCCATCATACCTGACTAATTTTTGTATTTTTAGTAGAGACAGGGTTTCACCATGTTGTCCAGGCTGATCTTGAACTTCTGACCTCAGGTGCTCTGCCCACCTTGGCCTCCCAATCACTATCTTTCTATAACCCAATTTTAGTATTTATCCTTCTCGTACGCCTATATATATGTATACACACTGTTTATATTTATAAAAATAGGGTCACATTATAACTTTGGAAACATGCTTTTGTTGCTTCATGTGTTCTCTACATCTTTTTTTTTTTCTTTTTTGGAGAGGGAGTTTTTCTCTTGTTGCCCAGGCTAGAGTGCAATGGCGCGATCTCGGCTCACCACAACCTCCGCCTCCTGAGTTCAAGCGATTCTCCTACCTCAGCCTCCCAAGTAGCTGGGATTGATTACAGGCATGCACCACCACGCTTGGCTAATTTTTTTTGTATTTTTAGTAGAGATGGGGTTTCTCAGTGTTGGTCAGGCTGGTCTCGAATTCCCAATCTCAGGTGATCCACCCACCTCAGCCTCCCAAAGTGCTAGGATTACAGGTGTGAGCCACCACGCCAGGCCTGTTCTCTACATCTTTCTATGATACATGCACATGTACATTATCTGTTTTTGTTTTAGTTTTTGTGTTTGTTTTAGCTGGGACTACAGGTGTTCACCACCATACCCAGTTAAGCTTTTTGATTTTTAGTAAAGACAAGATCTTGCTATGTTGCCCTGGCTGGTCTTGAACTCCTGAACTCACACAATCCTCCCTTCTTGGTCTCCCAAAGTCCTGGGATTACAGCCACTGCACCCGGCCCAGGAAGTTATATATTTTAAGCATTTGTACATATTAATGCCAGGCCAGGTGCAGTGGCAATAGGGCGAGACCTTGTCTCAAAAAAAACAACCACAGTCCAGGCGCGGTGGCTCACGCCTGTAATCCCAGCACTTTGGGAGATCAACGTGGGTGGATCACCTAAGGTCAGGAGTTCAAGACCAGCCTGGCCAACATGGCGACACCCCATCTCTACTAAAAAAAAAATACAAAAATTAGCCGGGCGTGGTGCCGCACACCAGTAATCTCAGCTACTCAGGAGGCTGAGGCAGGAGAATTGCTTGAACTCAGGATGCAGAGGTTGCAGTGAGCCGAGACTGCGCCACTGCACTCCAGCCTGGGCGACGGAGTAAGACTCTATCTCAAAAGAAAATTAAAAATAAAAATAAATAAAAATAAAAACAAAAACAACAACAAAAAGAAAACAACCCTGCAAAAAAGGCTCTTGTGGCCGGGTGTGGTGGCTCACGCCTGTAATCCCAGCACTTTGGGAAGCTGAGGCAGGCGGATCATGAGATCAGGAGTTCGAGACTAGCCTGGCCAACAAAGTGAAACTCTGTCTCTACTAAAAATACAAAAATTGGCTGGGCACAGTGGCTCATGCCTGTAATTCCAGCACTTTGGGAGGCTGAGGCGGGCGGATCACGAGGTCAGGAGATCGAGATCATCCTGGCTGACACGGTGAAACCCCTCTCTACTAAGAATACAAAAAATTAGCTGGGCGTGGTAGTGGGCCCTGTAGTCCCAGCTACTCGGGAGGCTGAGGCAGGAGAATGGCGTGAACCCGGGAGGTGTAGCTTGCAGTGAGCCGAGATTGTGCTACTGCACTCCAGCCTAGGCAACAGAGCGAGACTCCATCTCAAAAAAAAAAAAAAAATAATAATAATACAAAAATTAGCTGGGCATGGTGGTGCGCGCCTGTAATCCCAGCTACTTGGGAGGCTGAGGCAGAAGAATTGCTTGAACCTGGGAGGCAGAGGTTGTGGTGAGCCGAGATCGTGCCACTGCACTCCAGCCTGGGCAACAGAGTGAGACTCTGTCTCAAAAAAAAAAAAAAAAAGGCTCTTGCTTGGTCATTGTGTTAAATGTAGAGTTTATATGAATTAACAGTGACACCATAGTCCATTTCCATGCTTATTAATTCCAACTAATTATGGCGAATCATTCATATGATATTTGGGGCTTGTTTGCTTTGACAAAGGAAGGCAGTACCTTGAGTTTCATATAGGGCAGTGTGTGGTGGACAGCTCTCTTCCCATTTAGTAATTATTTAGTCATTTGGATTAGTTTTTTTTTTTTTTTTTTTTTTTTTTTTTTTTTTTTTAGAAACAGGGTCTTGTTCTGTTGCCCAGGCTGGAATGTAGTAGTGCGATCATAGGTTATTGCAGTCTTGAACACCTGGGCTCACTTCTGCCTCCCAAGTAGCTGGGACTATAGCTTTGCAACACCATCCCTGGCTAATTCTTTTTTCTTTTTAGAGATGGGGTCACTATGTTGGCCAGGCTGGTCCCAAACTCCTGACCTCAAATGATTCTCCTGCCTTGGCCTCCCAAAGCACTAGGATTCCAGGTGTAAGCCACTATGCCCAGCCCGTATTAGTTCTTCTTCATCTTGCCATCATGTCTTCACAGTTACCTCTTCCCCACCCCTTGCATCCCTTGAGGGACTTCTATATCTTTAGACATTAATTCAAGTTCAGATCTAATAACTATAGGATTTGTCCTCTCAAAGTCAGAGTTAGGCAGCTCTGCAAATGAATATGGCAGGCATGCTGACCATTTATACCCTCTTCTATTTCCCAGCACAAATGCCCAGTACCTGATGGATACCCAGGAAATGTTTGTGGAACAAATGAATAAACTTACATTCTTTTTTATTTTTATTTATTTATTTTTTTTGAGTCGGAGTCTCGCTCTGTCGCCCAGGATGGAGTGCAGTGGTGCGATCTGGGCTCACTGCAACATCCCCTCCCGGGTTCACGTGATTCTCCTGCCTCAGCCTCCCGAGTAGCTGGGGCTACAGGCACCTGCCACCACGCCCAGCTAATTTTTTGTATTTTTAGTAGAGACGGGTTTTTTTTTTTTTTTTTTTTTTTTTTTTTTTTTTTTTTGAGATGGAGTTTTCTCTGTCGCCCAGGCTGGAGTGCAGTGGTGTGATCTCGGCTCACTGCAAGCTCCGCCTCCTGGGTTCATGCCATTATCCTGCCTCAGCCTCCTGAGTAGCTGGGACTACAGGCGCCCGCCATCACGCCTGGCTAATTTTTTTTTTATATTTTTAGTAGAGACGGGGTTTCACCGTGTTAGCCAGGATGCTCTCGATCTCCTGACCTCGTGATCTGCCCACCTCAGCCTCCCAAAGTGCTGGGATTACAGGCGTGAGCCACCGCGCCTGGCCAGAGACAGGGTTTCAATGTGTTAGCCAGGATGGTCTCGATCTCCTGACCTCGTGATCTGCCCACCTTGACCTCCCAAAGTGCTGGGATTAGAGGCGTGAGCCACTGCGCCCGGCCGAATAAACTTACATTCTATCTTCATCTTTCACTGCTTTCCTAATATGTAAACTCACGGCACATTAAAACGGAACTATTCTCTATTTTCCTCTCTGAAGATAGGTCGTAATCCATAGTCATCTTTGGATCTCAAGCTTCTAGCACACATTAGGTTTTCTTTTATTTTTATTTTTTGAGACGGAGTCTCACTCTGTCGCCCAGGCTGGAGTGCAGTGATCTCTGCTCACTGAAACCTCTGCCTCCCGGGTTCAAATGATTCTCCTGCCTCAGCCTCCTGAGTAGCTGGGATTACAGGTGAGCACCACCACCTCCAGCTAATTTTTTTATTTTTAGTAGAGACAGGTTTTCACCATGTTGGTCAGGCTGGTCTCCAACCCCTGACCTCATGATCCGCCCGCCTCAGCCTACCAAAGTGCTGGGATTACAGGCGTGAGCCACTGCTCCTGGCAGTCTTTTTCTTTTCTTTTTTTTTTTTTAAACAGAGTTTTGTTCTGTTGCCCAGAACGGAATGCAGTGGTGTGATCTCAGCTCACTGCAACCTCCGGCTCGCGAGTTCAAGCGATTCTCCTGCCTCCGCCTCCCGAGTAGCTGGGATTACAGGCGCGTACCACCACATCTGGCTAATTTTTGTATTTTTTAGTAGAGATGGGGTTTCACCATGTTGGCCAAACTGGTCTCGAACTCCTGACCTCAGGTGATTCACCTGCCTCAGCCTCCCAAAGTGTGGGGATTATAGGCGTGAGCCACTGATTCCAGCCTAAGGTTTTCTTTCTCTTTCCTTTTCTTTCTCCTTTTTTTTTGGCGGGGGGGTGGGGGTGGGATAGGGTCTTGCTCTGTCACCCAGGCTGGAGTGCAGTGGCATGATCTCAGCTCCCTGCAACTTTCACCTCCCGCGCCCAAGAGATCCTCTCACCTCAGCCTCCCAAGTAGCTGGGACTACAGGTGTGCACCACCACTCCCAGCTAACTTTTTTGTATCTTTTTATTTATTTTATTTTTTCCTGAGGCGGCGTATCGCTCTGTCGCCCAGGCTGGAGCGCAGTGGCGCGATCTCGGCTAACTGGAAGCTCCGCCTCCCAGGTTCACGCCATTCTCCTGCTTCAGCCTCCTGAGTATCTGGGACTACAGGCGCCTGCCACCACGCCCATCTAATTTTTTTGTATTTTTAGTAGAGACGGGGTTTCACTGTGTTAGCCAGGATGGTCTCAATCTTCTGACCTCGTGATCCACCCACATCGGCATCCCAAAGTGCTGGGATTACAGGAGTGAGCCACCGCCCCCGGCCCTGTATCTTTTTAGAGATGGGTTTTCACCATGTTGGCCAGGCTGGTCTCAAACTGCTGGACTCAAGAGACCTGCCCACCTCAGCCTCCCGAGGTGTTGGGATTACAGGCGTGAGCCACCATGCCTGGCCCATATTAGGTTTTCAATTAGTATGTGGCCCACTGTTTATTCAGCCCCCACTGCCTGGAGTTGTTCATTCAGCCCCCACTCCAGGCAGAGTCTGGACTTTGCCGAAATCAAACCAATTAGAGTAATAGCTGATACTTTTGCTAAGTGCTTTACACATATTCATCCTCAACCATCAAAGTTAGCTGTTATCATCCCTATTTTACAGTTTGGGAAACAGAAGCTTAAGTAACTTCCCTAAAGTCAAGTAGCAATTAAGTGACAAAGGCCAAGAACCACACTCTGCATAAATGGCTTTAAAGACAGTATCTGCACCCACTGAACACTACAGAAGGTATCTCTGTGCGCTACACTCCTATAAAATTTTGTCCATACAGTCAATATAGAACCTGTCACACCATCTGACAACTCCATATCCTATTGGGCCAAGAGCTCCCTGAAGAGTTTCTTTATTTCCAGGGCCTAGGACAGTGTTTAGGTATTAGCTAGTGATCAATAGGTATGTGTTGATTTCTGGTCCCTGTTTCTGTCAGTGCTAACATCCATGCATGCCAGGCACACAGAGATTCATTACTACAAACTAGAACCCTTCCTGTTCTCCCACACTATCGTGAATTGGTCCATATAACTCTTTTTTTTTTTTCTTGAGATGAAGTCTCGCTCTTGTCCCCCAGGCTGGAGTGCAATGGCGCGATCTCAGCTCACTGCAACCTCCGCCTCTGGGGTTCAAGTGATTCTCCTGCCTCAGCCTCCCAAGTAGCTGGGATTACAGGCGCCTGCCACCACGCCCTGCTAATTTTTTTATTTTTAGTAGAGATGGGGTTTCACCATGTTGGCCAGGCTGGTCTGGAACTCCTGACCTCAAGTGAGCTCCTGCCTCTGGCTCCCAAAGGGCTGGGATTACAGGTGTGAGGCACCACACCCGGCCTTTTAAATTTTATTTATTTATTTTTTTGAGACGCAGTCTGACTCTGTCACCCAGGCTGGAATGCAGTGGCGTGATCTCGGCTCTTTCCAACCTCCGCCTCTCAGGTTCAAGTGATACTCCTGCCTCAGCCTCCTGAGTAGCTGGGATTACAGGCCCGTGCCACCACGCCCTGCTAAGTTTTGTATTTTTAGTAGAGACAGGGTTTCACCATGTTGGCCAGATTGGTCTCAAACTCCTGACCTCATGTAATTCACCTGCCTCGGCCTCCCAAAGTGTTGGGATTACAGGTGTGAGCCACTGCACCTGGCCGGGTCCATATAACTACCTTAACAGTCTCTCTTTCTTTCTCTTTTTTTTTTAGATGGGGTCTCGCTCTATTACCCAGGCTGAAGGGCAGTGTCACAAATATGGTTTACTGCAGCCTCAACCTCCTGGGCTCAGGTGATCCTCCTGCCTCAGTCTCCAGTGTAGCCAGGACCACAGATATGTGCTACCATGCGCTGCTAAATTTTTGTTTTTTTTTTGTAGAGACAAGGTCCACTTTTTTGCCTAGGCTGGTTTCGAACTAGTGGCCTCAAGTGATCCTCCCACCTTGGCCTCCCAAAGTGCTGGGATTACAGGCATGAGCCACTGGGCCCAGCCCATTCTCTCTCTCTTTTTTTTTTTTTTTAAAGAGACAGGGTCTCGCTCTGTTGCCCAGCATGGAGTACAGTGGCACGATCCACGATCATGGCTCACTGCATCCTTGAATGCCCAGGTTCAGGGAATCCTCTCAGCTGGGATTACAGGGGCAGGCCACCAGGCCCAGCTAAATTCTCTAATTTCAGTGATTTGTGTACTTGCTCCTTTAGACTGGTAGCTCTCCAAGGACAAATCTTGCAGGTGTTTCAACTTTTTATCCCCAACTCTTGGCTTAGCACTAAGATGCTAATAAATGTGAATTAATGCATAAACCACAGTTACCCCCACCATCATTGGCAGAGGGGCTGAAGACACCTCCAGACACTCTCTCCACCCCAAAACCAAGCCCGCCCAGAGAGCGGATACTGGGATCTTGCTCCTAGGGCCTGGGAACCTGGAAACACAGCTCCAGCCAGGGGCCCACCAGGATGGGAAACAGGGCTTGTTCTTCAGCCTCTCCCTGAGCCTGGCCTCTATAGGGCTGCCGACCTGTCCGGAGTCTTTCTGGCCGCCTCTTTCTTTGTGTCTCTTTCTCTTTGTCTCTGCCCGTTTCGCTCACTATCGTCTTTTGTTCCTCTGCTTCTGGGCCTGTTACTCTCCAGGCTCCCAGCCTCTTACTGCTCCTCGGACTCTGCGTCAATGACTTTATCTCTTATCCGTTTCTACGTCTCTGTCTCTAGCGGCTAATCTTTGGCTCCCCTTATTTTTGGTCAGCCGCTGTCCCTCGGTCTCTCTCTGCCTTTGCGTCCTCTGTGACTCAGGGCTCTGATGTGAGTCTCTGGCTCAGGGTCTCTGTTCCGGGCCCCAGGTCTGATTCCATCTCTCCAGCAGCATTTACCCGGTGTCTGCCTCTAGCCTCTGCTCCTGCCTCGGTCTCCCCAGCCCAGCCCCCATTCCATACCCACCCCCACCCCGGGCCCTCGGCCTCTCGGACCAGCCCCGCTTTGTTTCCCACGTCTCGGCGCCCCGCCCCGCCCCGTCTGGGGTCTCCGCCGCCCTTTGTCTGCCTTGGTCTCTCCCCCACCCCTTTCCCCGGGTCCGTCTTTGGATCCCTCTTTCTTTGTCTCTCCCAGGTCGGAGTGGCTGGCGCTGTCGGCCGGCCGGGGAGGTCGGCGCGGGTGGCTGGAGACACACAGCCACAATTACGAAGAGCCTCGGGCCTCACCACCCAGCTGCAGCCCAGGAGGCACACGGTTAATACCACCGAGTTCGGGCCGCCGGCCTCGGCTTAGAGTAGCCCCTGGGCCGCACGCTGCCGCCCGCCGGCCACAGAGCTACCGCCGACGCGGGCGACCCCCACAGGCCCGCAGCTCCTCCAAGGTCCTAGAGCGGCTCCGTGCGGCCCCGCGCTTCCGCTTCCCGTCCCCGCCCCCGGTGGCCGCCCCCGGGACGCCTGGGTCCGAGCCCGCTCCCGGCTTGGCGCGGAGCCTGCATCCCGGAGCCGCTGGCGGCTCGGGCGCCTGCACCCCGCTGAGGAGCTCCGGAGGGCGCCGGGGTGGCGGAGCCGGAGGCGGCCGGCAAGGTGAGAGCGGCGGCTGCGCGCTGGGAGGAGCAGCAGGTGCAGGGGCGGCCGGCGGCGCGGGCAGGGGGCACCGGGAGCCGCGCCCGTACCTGGGACCCGACGCCGCCCGGTGCCCGCGCTGGCCGGCAGAGGGCAGCGGCAGGGCGCCGCGGGCCACACATGGCTGCGTGACCGCGGGATGCTGTCTGTCCCCTTGCTCAGGGCGGCGTGCCGGCGATGGAGCGCGCGGTAGAGCCTTGGGGCCCAGATCTCCACCGCCCGGAGGAGAGGGAGCCACAGAGAGGCGCCCGCACAGGTGAGGGCCTCGGCCGTGCGCCGCCACGGACAGGTAACGGCCGGTGGGGACTGCGATGCTTGGCTGTGGCCGGCCGAGATCCTGGAAGATCGGACGTGAGCTGTGCCTCTGGGGAGATAGGGGGAGGGGAGCTTTCGGAGCACCAACTGTGCGCCAGGCCGGGAGGGGCTCTTCACGGCCTCTGTCCCCTCCCTCACGGCCTTCCTCATCCTTACTGCCTCTGCCCTACTTCAGGCTTCATTCTGTTTTATCCTGGCAATTGCAGTAGCCTCCTCTCTGCCCCTTTCTCTCCACTGATGCATTCTCTCGCCAGCTTGATCTAAGTCCAGATATAATCCTGTGTCTCTTCTGGAAAACCTTCCCTAGCGTCCCCCAGTCTCCTAATTAAAAGCCTTAGCTAGTGTCCAATCCAAACCGTGCGTGCTCAGGTTAGTCCCAACATCCTTTGACACCTTATCTTCCATTCCACTCCATTATTTTCTCTTCGCTCTGCCGTAATGCCGGTTCCTATTTCCTTATCTCCTATCTCTCTTGTGACAACATAGTTATTCTAGTTATTCTGCACCCACAATTATAACCATTGATACTTTAATCTTATCTCTCCTACCACCCTAAGCTTCTTGAGGAAGGGATGTGTGCCTGGGTCCTCTCAGGTACACACAGGATAACTGATGTAATAAATTACCGAATGGGCTAATATAATAAGATACAATAATAATAGCAAATACCAAGTTTTCCAAATAGACAATATAATGTAGGGATTAACACGGGCTTGAGTGTCAGAGAGACCTTAGTTAGACATCACGCTTTGCTACTTTTTTTTTTTTTTTTTTTTTTTGGCGACAGGGTCTCACTGTGTCACCCAGGCTAGAGTGGCACAATCACAGCTCACTGCAGCCTCCACCTCCTGGGCTCAAGTGATCCTCCTACCTCAGCCTCCCAGTAGCTGGGACTACAGGTGTGCACCACCATGCCCAGCTAATTTTTGTATTTTTTTTTGTAGAGTTAGGGTCTCACCATGTTGCCCAGGCTGGTTTCTAACTCCTGGGCTTAAGTGATCCACCCACCTCGGCCTCCCAAAGTGCTAGGATTACAGGTGTGAGCCACCCTGCTGGCCTGGCTTTGCTACTTTCTAACCTTTATAACCTCCAGCAAAAGGACTTAAATTCTCTGAGTCTTTCCATGCCTGTAATATGGGGATAGTCATAGTGTTATAGTATTGTTTGCAAGCGTTTAATACTAATGCTGAGTTTGGTGAATGACATACATTAAGGGCACAGTAAAAAGAAGTTTTTATTGAGAGGCACAGATAGTAAGTGCACCAGAGGTTGAGAGGACAGAGAGATTGGGGTTCCTGTGACCACAGATTGTCAAGGGAGTCTTCCTGGAGAGGTTGCTGTCAAAGATAAGTACCGAGCCAAAGGGGAGGGTCTACAACTTCCTTTTCTTTCCTCAGGTCTAGGGAGTGAGAACGTGATTTCTCAGCCGAATGAGTTTGAACATACCCCACAGGAAGATGACTTGGGGTTCAAGGAAGAAGATTTGGCTCCAGATCATGAAGTAGGAAATGCCTCTCTCAAACCTGAAGGCATCCAGAACTGGGATGACTTATGGGTCCAGAGAGAGGGTCTAGGAAAGCCTCAGCCTCGGGACAGAGGCCCCCGGCTCCTGGGTGAACCACGCTGGGGCCAGGCTAGTAGTGATCGGGCCGCTGTGTGTGGTGAGTGTGGCAAAAGCTTCAGGCAGATGTCAGATCTGGTGAAACACCAGCGGACCCACACAGGGGAGAAACCCTACAAGTGTGGGGTCTGTGGCAAGGGCTTTGGGGATAGCTCTGCCCGGATCAAACACCAGCGGACTCATAGTGGGGAGAAGCCCTATAGAGCCCGGCCACCAGCCCAGGGTCCCCCAAAGATTCCTCGGTCCCGGATCCCTGCTGGTGAGCGCCCCACTATCTGTGGTGAATGTGGCAAGAGCTTCCGGCAGAGTTCTGACCTGGTGAAACACCAGCGGACACACACTGGTGAGAAGCCCTACAAGTGTGGCATATGTGGCAAGGGCTTTGGCGACAGTTCCGCCCGCATCAAGCACCAGCGGACACACCGGGGGGAGCAGCCCCCCCGACCAGTGGTGCCCCGACGGCAGCCATCTCGGGCAGCCACGGCAGCTACCCAGGGACCGAAGGCCCAGGACAAGCCATATATCTGCACTGATTGCGGCAAGAGGTTTGTGCTCAGCTGCAGCCTCCTGAGTCACCAGCGTAGTCACTTGGGGCCCAAGCCCTTTGGCTGTGATGTGTGTGGAAAGGAGTTTGCCCGGGGATCCGACCTGGTGAAGCACCTGCGGGTGCACACGGGTGAGAAGCCCTACCTCTGCCCAGAGTGCGGCAAAGGTTTCGCGGACAGCTCCGCCCGAGTCAAACACCTCCGCACCCACAGTGGCGAGAGGCCCCATGCCTGCCCGGAATGCGACCGTACCTTCAGCCTCAGCTCCACCCTTCTTCGCCACCGCCTCACTCACATGGAGCCCCAGGACTTCAGCTTCCCAGGCTATCCCCTACCCGCTCTGATCCCCAGCCCACCCCCACCTCCTCTGGGCACCAGCCCCCCGCTGACACCTCGAAGTCCCTCACACTCGGGTGAGCCTTTTGGCCTGCCTGGCTTGGAGCCAGAGCCTGGGGGCCCACAGGCTGGGGAGCCACCCCCACCACTGGCGGGCGACAAGCCCCACAAGTGCCCTGAGTGTGGCAAGGGCTTCCGCCGAAGCTCTGACCTGGTGAAACACCATCGTGTGCACACAGGGGAGAAACCCTACCTCTGTCCTGAATGCGGCAAGGGTTTTGCTGACAGCTCAGCCCGAGTCAAGCACCTCCGCACCCACCGTGGTGAACGGGCCCGGCCACCACCACCATCCACTCTGCTGCGGCCACATAACCCACCTGGCCCAGTACCCATGGCCCCTCGACCCCGAGTTCGGGCCCAGCCTTCTGGACCCAGCCAGCCCCACGTGTGTGGCTTCTGTGGGAAGGAGTTCCCCCGGAGCTCAGATCTGGTCAAACACAGGCGTACACACACGGGGGAGAAGCCATACAAGTGTGCAGAGTGTGGCAAGGGTTTTGGTGACAGTTCTGCCCGCATCAAGCACCAGCGTGGGCACCTGGTCCTGACGCCCTTTGGGATAGGGGATGGTAGGGCAAGGCCCCTCAAGCAGGAGGCAGCAACAGGACTGGAATGACGCGGTCCAGGGAGGGCGGAGGCCCAGGAGACCAAAGGGAGGGGCTCTGCCGCTTAGCAGAGAAGAAAGGGCCTGGGAGGTGGTGGGAGGGAGAAGGAAGGGAAGAAAGGGGAGGAAGAATAGATAGAAATAGGGATTGGAGACAGTAACCTTGAAGCTCAGGAAACTGTCCTGGCTGGGCTGAGTCAGGACCTTGCCAGGACGGGCTGTACCCCTGGCTTCTAGAAGACTGCCTAGCACACAGTAGGCATTCAATACTTGTTGAATAAATAAACTGGCTTTCACCTAAGGACTCAACCCTAAATTCCTGCTGCCTCATCTGTTAAGAACTGACACTTTCCCCTTGCTGGGCAGGTAGTACACACCTGTAATCCCAGCAGTTTGGGAGGCTGAGGTGGGAGAATCACTTGAGCCCAAAAGTTTGAGGCTGCAGTGAGCTGATTGCACCACTGATGCCTCCCAACCTTGCTCTGGGAGACCAATGCCTGAACCAGGGTTTGTTTACCTTCTGAGCTGCAGAGATGGGGCTTCTGGAATTTAAGGTAACAGGATGAGGCAGGGGTATCTTGATCATCCGGATGGGGCAAATACTGCTGTGTGGCATGGTGGTACCCACCCCTATGGAGGGGCACTCTTGGACAGAGCCCAGACCTTTGTGCCCTGGAGGGAGCCAACCCACCCTGACACGGAGACACTGGCAGAATAGACCAGAGACAGAAGGTGCTCTCATGGTATCCAGCCTGGATGCCAAGCCCAAGTCCTGGTGGATAGCAGAGGCCAGCTGTTTGGGAAAAGGGCAGGATGCTCTGAGGCCTGGCAGCCACATTTCCATGTGTCTTTTTACCAATAAACGGCTTCTCTTCTGAGGCTTGGACAGTGTGTGTGTACACACAGGCATGAAAAAGGTGGAGAGGGGTCTCTGCGCGCAAAACTCAGACTGTAAATTTTGTGTGCTTCCCTTGCTCTCTGAGCCCATTAAATAAAGAGGTTGTCTTGGCGTAGTCAGCGGCTTTCTAGCTCCGACGTCTGGTTCAAAAACGGCCGCCAGCTCCATCAGCCGATGCCCCAGGCCTGAGGTCTGGCTGCCCGCAGGCACCACCTACGCCACAGCATCCAGCGCGACCCTTAAAAGGAAAACCGCGCGGCGCTGCAGAGACAAGGCAGCAAGGAGGAGGAAGAGGGGGCGTGTGGGGGGCGTTGTTGCTATGGCGACGGCTGTCGGCGGGAGGCAGCCCACAGGTCTGGAACCGGCGTGGAAAGCCCGGACGCCGGCGCGCCGCCCACCGGGACCTGGGAAACCCGACACCCGAGACCCTTTTTATGCGTCGGGAAATGAGTCATTCGGCTGCACAGCCCAAAGGGAGGGCAAACGGTGCTCCTTCACCCCCAGAAAAGCCCGCCGGATTTCCCGGCGCCCCGCGGGGCCTGGGAAGCAGGTCTGCAATCCCTAGCGTTTTCACAACCACTGGCCTGATCGGCCAGGGATTAAAGAAAAAAGAAGTCCAGGGCGGTTCTCCCCGCTAAACAATGAAGGCAACGAAGTACAGGGTCGCAAGTTCCCGCCCCCGGCTCTCCCCGATCTCCGTGCGGAAAGAATCCCTGGACGGGTTCTCGCGAGATCGTAAGCACTGGCCTGGCTTCCCTAGAAACCGACCAGGGCTGGCTGCAGTGCGGCTCCTCCCGCTCCGCCCGCCCTTTCCAAATTGATGCGCTCTCAAAACCCTAGAACCCTGCGTTCAGGGCTGGGGCTCTTGATGGCCTGAGCGGAGCCCTTTGGGGCTTCTGGAAGTTCCTTCTTGCTGGTTTTCCTAGCTCCCTTCCCTACCAGTGTGCCCTCCAAGACGACCTGCAGTGAACTTTCTTTTCTTTTTTTTTGAGACGGAGTCTCGCTCTGTCGCCCAGGCTGGAGTGCAGTGGCGCGATCTTGGCTCACTGCAACCTCCGCCTCCCGGGTTCAAGCGATTCTCCTGCCTCAGCCTCCTGAGTAGCTGGGATTACAGGCGCGCTACCAAGCCCGGCTAATTTTTGTATTTTTAGTAGAGACGGAGTTTCACCATGTTTGTCAGGCTGGTCTCGAACTCCGGACTTCGTGATCCGCCCGCCTCAGCCTTCCAAAGTGCTGGGATTACAGGCGTGAGCCACCGCGCCTGGCCACTTTCTTTTCTTGATTTCTTTCTTTTTCTTTTTTCTTTTTTTCTCAAGACAGGGTCTCACTCACTCTGTCGCCCAGGCTGGAGTGCAGTGGCAGGATCTTCGGCTCACTGCAGCCTCCGCTCGGGTTCAAGCGATTCTCCTGCCTCAGCCTCCCTAGTAGCTGGGATTACAGGCGTCCGCCACCGCGCCTGGCTAATTTTTTTATTTTTAGTAGAGACGGGGTTTCACCATGTTGGCCAGGCTGGTCTCAAACTCCTGACCTTAGGTGATCTGCCCGCCTCGGCCTCCCAAAGTGCTAGGATTTATAGGCATGAGCCACCGTGCCTGGCCTGCTTTCTAAAATTACATCTGGCCATGTCACTCCCCCATTGAAACCCCAGTGGATCTCCACATGCTGTCCCCAAAGCCTAACTTTCATTGGCACTCAAGCCCTTCCATTTGTGTAGTTTCAGCCCTGGGCTCCTTAAATGTCGTTTCTTTTACTTGGAATGCTCCTCCACCACTACCCACCCCTTGTTAATCTCCTCTGTCAAAACACCTCAAGCACTACTTCCTCCAAGAAGCCTACTCTGACCCTCGTCTGGGTTAGTTACAATCCCCTTCTCTGAGCAACCCGTCTCTGAGCACCTAACACATGAAGAGCTTCTTGAGGATAGTTACTCACTCAACAGCTGCACCTATTGTGTGCTGCATACTGGGATAGAAAGATAAACAAGACAAAGTCCCTGACCTGTTTTTATGCGGGAGATAGACATTGAACAAATAATTACAAGTGAGGTGAGAAATGTCCAGCAAACCTATGAGCTGGAAAGAATCCTCTGTGATCCAAAGGCCTTTCCAGGCCAGGTGTGGCTCAGGCCTGTCATCCCAGCATTTTGAGAGGTTGAGGCAGGAGGCCAGGAGGCCAGGAGTTCGAGACCAGCCTGGGCAACATAGTGAGACCTCTCTACAAAAAATACAAAAATTAGGTGGAATGCACCTGTAGTCCCAGCAACTCAGGAGGCTGAGGTGGGAGGATCGCTTGGCCCCAGGAAGTTGAGGCTGCAGTGAGCCATGATCATGCCACTGCACTCCATCCTGGGCAAAAGAGCAAGATCTTGTCTCCAAAAAACAAAAACGACCCCCGCCACCACCAGAAAATACTGTAATCCCAGCTACTCGGGAGGCTTGAGGCAGGAGGATCGCTTGTGCCTGGGAAGTCAAGGTTGCGGTGAGCTGTGACTGCACACTGCACTCCAGCCTGGGGGACGGAGTGAGACCCTGTCTCAAAATATATATATATATTTCCACAAACTACTGCCTCCTTGCCAATCTGGCAAAGTCCCACTCATCTTTAGTTTTTGTTTGCTTGTTTTTTTTACAGATGAGCTCTCACTATATTGCCCAGGCTGGAATACAGTAGCTATTCACAGGCACATAGTGCACTATAGCCTTGAACCCCTGGGCTCCAGCAGTCCTCCTGCCTCAGCCTCCTAAGTAGCTGGGACCATAGGTGTGCGTCACCACACCTGACACCCACTCATCTTTCAAGGTCCTTCACAGTTACCTTCTCAGTGAGACCAGCACGAAATACCTAATACCCCCGAAAGAGTGGTTCACTTACCCCACTCTTCTCCTGCTAGAACACCCTGTTATCCTTTTCTTATATCACTCATACTGTATATTTAGAGATCTATTTTAAATCAGAAGCTTCTTTTTTTTTTTTTTTTGAGACAGAGTCTCACTTTGTCACCCAGGCTGGAGTGCAGCATGCAATATCGGCT
The DNA here is from genome assembly GCF_000001405.40 of Homo sapiens. NCBI lineage: Eukaryota > Metazoa > Chordata > Mammalia > Primates > Hominidae > Homo > Homo sapiens. Next base: position 30,403,025 of record NC_000016.10, read on the forward strand.
CACTGCAGCCTCAACCTCCCAGGTTCAAGTGCTCCTCCTGCCTCAGCCGCACAAGTATCTGGGACTACAGGCACGTGCACTATTATGCTCAGCTAATTTTCTTTTTTTTGGTGATTTTTGTACAGACGGGGTTTCACCACGTTTCCCAGGCTTGTCTCCAACTCCTGAGCTCAAGCAATCCACCTGCCTCAACCTCCCAAGGTGCTAGGATTACAGGTGAGAGCCACCACGCCCAGCCCACAAGCTGCTGCTGCTGCTGCTTCTTCTTCTTCTTCTTCTTCTTCTTCTTCTTCTTCTTCTTCTTCTTCTCCTTTTCTTCTTCTTCCTCTTCCTATTCCTCTTCTTCTTCTTCTTCCTCCTTCTCCGTCTTCTTTTTTTTTTAAGACAGGGTCTTGCTCTGTTGCCCAGGCTGGAGTGCAGTGGCACGATCTCAGCTTACTGCAACCTCCACCTCCTGGGTTCAAGCGATTCTCATGCTTTAGCCTCCCAAATAGCTGGGATTACAGGCGTGTGCCACCATGCCCAGCTAATTTTTGTATTTTTAGTAAAGACAGGGTTTCGCCATGTTGGCCAGACTGGTCTTGAACTCCTGACCTCAAGCGACTACCCACTTTGGACTCCCAAAGTGTTGGTATTACAGGTATGGGCCATTGCTCCTGGCCCCAAAAACTTATTTTTTTTTTTTTTTGAGACAGAGTTTAAGCAATTCTCCTGCCTCAGCCTCCCAAGTAGCTGGGACTATAGACATGCGCTACCACACTAGGCTAATTTTTGTATTTTTAGTAGAGATGGGGTGTTGGCCAGGCTGGTCTCGAACTCCTGACCTCAGGTGATCCACCTGCCTCAGCCTCCCAAAGTGCTGCGATTATAGGTGTGACCACCGCGCATGGCCCAAAAACTTCTTTACTAGACTATGAGATCCTCAAGAACATGAACTAGATCGTATTGCAAGTAGATACCTGTACATGGTTGCAGGGCAAATCGATGGAGCCCTTTACCTTCTTTTTCCAAGTTCCTATTTAAAACAGCAGGAGGCTCCTTCCAGTAGGGACTTTCACTGCCAGAGACAGGCTCCTGGCTGAGTCTCCTCACTGATTCTCTCTTAATCAGAGCGAGATGCTTTGCTTTCGCTAGAGGTTGGGTTCTGGCCAAGTTTACCCTCTGCCTACCTCTCCTCCATCTCCCTTGCTACATTTCCCCTTGTTCACTCCCTTGGATGCTCAGATCCAGCAACACAAGTCTTCTTCCTATTCCTCAAACACACAAGCTTCTGCCTCAAGGCCTCTGCAGTTCAGTCTCAAACACTCTTCTTCCAGATTTTCAAATGGCTAACCCTTTCTCATCATTCAAGGTTCATCTCAAATATTGTATCCAGGCCGGGCGCGGTGGCTCACGCCTATAATCTCAGCAGTTTGGGAGGCCGAAGCAGGTGGATCACTTGAGGTCAGGAGTTCGAGACCAGCCTGGCTCACATAGTGAAACCCCCTTCTCTACTGAAAATACAAAAAATTAGCCAGGCATGGTGGCAGGCACCTGTAATCATAGCTACTCGGGAGGCTGAGGCAGGAGAATTGAACCCGGGAGGCAGAGGTTGCAGTGAGCCAAGATTGCGCCACTGTCCACCAGCCAGGGCGACAGCTGGAGACTCTGTCTCAAACAAACAAACAAAATATTGTATCCAGGCTGGGCATGGTGGCTCATTCCTGTAATCCCAGCACTTTGGGAGGCCAAGGCAGGCAGATCACTTGAGGTCAGGAGTTCAAGACCAGCCTGGCTAACACGGTGAAACCCTGTCTCTACTAAAAATACAAAAAAAATTAGCTGGGCGTGGTGGTGGGCGCCTATAGTCCCAGCTACTTGGGAGGCTGAGGCAGGAGAATGGTGTGAACCTGGGAGGCAGAGCTTGCGGTGAGCCGAGATCGCACCACTGCACTCCAGCCTGGGAGACGGAGCAAGACTCCGCCTCAAAAAAAAAAAAAAATTAGCTGAGTGTATGGCGCGCACCTGTAATCTCAGCTACTCGGGAGGCTGAGGCAGGAGAATCCCTTGAACCCGGGAGGTGGAGGTTGCAGTGAGCTGAGATCATGCCACTGCACTCCAGCCTGGGTGATAGAATGAGACTCCATCTCAAAAAAAAAAAAAAAATTGTATCCTGAGACACCTTCCCTGCCTGCATTAAAGAAGCCCCTGTTACCATAGCTGCTCCCTGTTGGATCATCTTGTCAGATTTGCCCCGTTGCACCTATCATTATCTGATATTATCTTCCTCTTTACATGTGTACATTTGTTTGCACCCTTAGTAGTGTCACAAGAGCCACTATTTTTATCTGTTTTGTTCACTACTACATCCCCCATACCTAGAAGGGTGACGGGTATATAGGACTCAATAAATACCCAGAGAGGCCAGGCGTGGTGGCTCAAGCCTGTAATTCCAGCACTTTGGGAGGCCAAGGTGGGTGGATCACGAGGTCAGGGGTTTGAGACCAGCCTGGCCAAGATGGTGAAACCCCGTCTCTACAAAAAATACAAAAATAGCCCGGTGTGGTGGTGTGTGCCTGTAATCCTAGCTACTTGGGAGGCTGAGGCAGGAGAATCACTTGAACCTGGGAAGCGGAGGTTGCAGTGAGCCTAGACTGTGCTATTGCACTCCAACCTGGGCGACAGAGCAAGACTCCATCTCAAAAAAAAAAAAAAAAAAAAAAAAAAACTCAGAGAATGAATGCAAAGTGGCTTTTGGGGATCCTGTGTGTGAGTATCCAGGCATTTGACCCCTTCTCCCAGCTCTGGGAAAGAGCCAGTTTTATAACTTCATTCCTGAGAGGTAATTTGGTGCAATAGAAGAGCACAAGCTTTGAATCTGCTGCTTGCCAGCTGTGTGACTTTGAGCAAATTACTTAACTTGTCTAAGCTTCCGTTTCTTCTTTTGTCCAATGGAGATATTATTGATCCCAACAGGGCTGTTGTAAAGAGACAACATAGAACTTGTAAGCACTTACTGAATGTTATTTCTGTTTTCCTTCATGATTTCTGAATCTTAGTTGCCCCATTCATAAAATGGGAAAATTAGATATCTGCTTTTTCAAGGGAAGTGGCTGTTTTTCAAAGGAAGTGGCATTTGTTTATTCCACTAAAAAAAAATCTATTTTTATATGAAATATCCCAATTTAATTTTTTTTTTCTTGAGACGGAGTTTCGCTCTTGTTGCCTAGGCTGGAGACCAATGGCATGATCTCGGCTCACTGCAACCACTGCCTCCCCAGTTCAAGCAATTCTCGTGCCTCAGCCTCTCGAGTAGCTGGGATTACAGGCATGCACCACCAAGCTTGGCTAATTTTTGTATTTTTAGTAGAGACGGGGTTTCACCATGTTGGTTAGGCTGGTCTCGAAATCCTGACCTCAAGTGATCCACCGGCCTCCGCCTCCCAAAGTGCTGGGATTACAGGCATGAGCCACCGCGCCCGGCTTTGAAACGATTTTTTTTTTTTTTTTTTTTTTTTTTTTTTGAGACGGAGTCTCGCTCTGTCGCCCAGGCTGGAGCGCAGTGGCGCGATCTCGGCTAACTGCAAGCTCGCCTCCCGGGTTCACGCCATTCTCCTGTCTCAGCCTCCCGAGTAGCTGGCACTACAGGTGCCCGCCACCACGCCCAGCTAATTTTTTGTATTTTGTTTAGTAGAGTCGGGGTTTCACCGTGTTAGCCAGGATGGTCTCTATCTCCTGACCTCGTGATCCGCCCGCCTCGGCCTCCTAAAGTGCTGGGATTACAGGCGTGAGCCGCCGTGCCCGTCCGAAAAGATTTTTTAAAAGTAAAAATACCCTAAGGGCCAAACAAGGTACCCCTGTGGACTGGATTTAGCTTTGGGCTGTTGTTCACCTAGGCTACTGATTGTCAGGGATGCTATGACATCCTTATCGTGTAACTTAGGCAAATCAGTTTACCTCCCTGAACTTCAGTGAGCTCATCTGTAAAATGGATCAGGACCCATCGTTATGCGGATCAAATGAGACCAGGTATGTAAGACGCTGAACAGCGCTGGCGCATGGTAAGCACCCCACGCATGACGCGACAGCGGTAGCTTGGGTGGATGTTGAATTGGTTAGGATGTATTCAAGGATATCCCAGAGGCCAGCGGAATAGGCGAAGCCGAGAAAGATGGAGAAAAGACGGCAGAGGAGATAAAGAGGGAATGGAAGAAGTGAGGAGGCAACAGGGTCCGCCCTCCAGGCGGGGCGCCAGGGAGAGGCCCAGGCCGGGGCGGGAGCGCACGTGGCCTATTTCGGGCGGAGCAGAGGCACTGGGCGCAGCGGAGACCTCCAAGCCGGCCCCAGGAGACGGGCCGCGAGGTTAGGTTGGAACTCGGCGGCAAGGACCTTGAACGCCGGGCTGGGGCGGCTCCAGGTGCTTGGGAGTCGGGGGACTGCGGAGGACGCCAAGTCTGAGCTCGCCGCCCTCTCCGAGCCGTTTGGGCCGGACGCCTGGGTCCTTCGGGCTCCGCCCCAGGGGGTGGGGCTATATGTTCGGACCAATGACCGGCCGTCCCTGCGGTCCCGCCCCCTCCCCGCCCCCGGAGCCGCGGCCTCGCTGAGTGCCCAGCCGCCCGGCGCCCAGGCCTGGGGCACCGCGAGTGCCGAACCTTCGGCTGGTGAGTGCGCACCCCCTCCCCGGGGTTTCCGCCCCGATCCCGCCTCCAGCCCGTGCCCCAGAGCTCCAGGTCGCCGACCCGGGCCCTGGGGAGTGACTCAGCGCAAGGATGGTGGCGACTTGCGGGGGCTGGAGATTCGAACTGTTCAAGGCCTTGAATGCTGGGATGAGTGGGGTGAACGCGAGCCCTCGGAGCTGGTCCCGGGGCTGTGCCAGAGCGTGGGGCCGGGCTGGGGTGGACGGGAGAGGACCAGATTCGGAGACCAGGGCAGGGCGGGAGAAGCCACGGCTGCACTGCCTTGCTGGGCCAGGGCCACGGTGGGCGGGGGGGGGGGTGGGGGGGGGCGGGTCCTGAGCTTCTGATCCAGCTCCCCGCCTCAGGACACCAAGATGCCTGGCGAACAGCAGGCAGAGGAAGAGGAGGAGGAAGAGATGCAGGAGGAGATGGTGCTGCTGGTGAAGGGTGAGGAGGATGAGGGTGAGGAGAAGTATGAGGTGGTGAAACTCAAGATCCCCATGGACAACAAGGAGGTATGTGTCACACACACCCTGGGGCACACTGTCCCCAAACCTGGTCCAGGCCCAGCCTCCCTCAGATAGAAGCCAGGGATCTTGCCCCTACTTTTCCCAGAATCTCGGATCTAAAACCTCAGGATTGGCCCATCCTTCTGCCCTACTGCCTGGGCTTCCATCATACAAAAGTCACGCCTACTGTCCCAGGCTTCCTGCTGGGTGCAGGAGATTAAACTCCGTCCTTGGATCCCCCATGGAGCTTGATGTTAGACTGAAGGGTAACCACACAGTTAGAATCCCGTGTGATGGCTGCAGGTACAGGGGGATGATGAAGCCTAGAAGTGGGAACTTAACTCAGATTTAGAGGTTGGGGAAAGGTCAGGTTAGTTCAACAGCAACAGTAACAATAGCTAACCCTTGCCTAGCATTTTCTATGTGCCAGGCACTGTTCTAAGCACCTCGATTCTATGATGTCGGTAGCATTTATTCCATTTTACAGATGAGGAGACTGAGGCCCAGGGCAGTTTGGTAACTGGCCACAGGTCTCAAAGTAAAAGGATGGCTTATGTGAGACTAGTAGGAGTCTGGGGTCAGAAGTGGGGTGATGGACCCAGTCAGAGGAAATGGCTCTTTTATTATTACTGTTGTTATTGTTTGAGACAGGGTCTCATTCAGTCACCCAAGCTGTAGTGCAGTACAGCTCACTGCAGCCTTGACTTCCCTGGGCTCAGGTGATCCTCCCACCTCAGCCTCCCAAGTAGCTGGGACTACAGGCATGCACCACTACACCTGGCTAATTTTTTTTTGTTTTGTTTTGAGACAGAGTTTCGCTCTGTTGCCCAGGCTGGAGTGCAGTGGCGTGATCTCGGCTCACTGCAGCCTCCACCTCCCGGGTTCAAGTGGTTCTCCTACCTCAGCCTCCCAAGAAGCTGGGATTACAGGCATGCACCACCACGCCCGGCTAATTTTTTGTATTTTCAGTAGAGTTGGGGTTTTGCCATGTTGGCCAGACTGGTCTCAAACTCCTGAGTTCAGGTGATCCTCCCACCTCAGCCTCCCAAAGTGCTGGGATTATAGGTGTGAGCCACCGTATCCAGCCAGAAATGGCCCTTATAGAGGCTCAGACGAGTGAGTAGTGCACTGCAGCAGTGAGGGTGGGTGGTTCGGTCATGCTGTAGTGTGGATGAGTGGGGGTGGTTGGCAGGCCACACAGGGAGTCTGGCTTTTATTCTGAGGGTATTTGAAGGTTTTGAGATCAGAATATGAGTTAAATTTCACCCCCTGGAGACCCTAACTGCCACCAGATACGTTTCCGCTTCTCAGAACCCCAGAGGATTCTGTCTGCCCCCAGCCTGAGCAGCCCTGAGTACCAGCAGAGGGCTTTGGCCCCAGGGACCCAGCTTGCAGGGGCCGGGACTCTGATTCTTCCTGCCCAGGAGCCAGTTCCCAGGGAAAGAATGCTCTGCTGCCCCCTAGTGGGCCTGCTGGGTGCTGGGGGAGGGGACTAGCTCCTTAGGCCTCTGGATAGTCTAATAACTATCTGGTTGTGTTTGTTGCGGGCCCCCTTCGCCCATTATCCAGCTCTGCCTGCCTCTTCTGGCCCTGCGATTGCCTGATCTCCACCTTTGGCCTCTAAGTTACAAACACAGGCTCCAGAGCTTAGGGTGGACTTCCAGCTCCATCATTTACCCGCTGTGTGACCTTGGCCAAGTTTCCTAACCGCTCCACGCCTCAGTTTCCTCATTTGTAAAAGGGAAATTATAACAGCACCTACATCTTGGAGTTGTGAGGAATGAATGAGTCAACACATGCACAGAGTTAGAACTGTGTCTGGCACAAAATAAACACGGAAATAGTTGCTGTTACATTTATTCTTCTCCCCAAAGCTCAGGACCTTGGGCAAGGTCATCCTTCTTGAGATTTTTCAACTTTTTTTTTTTTTTTTGAGACGGAGTCTCACTATGTCGCCCAGGCTGGAGTGCAGTGGCGCAATCTTGGTTCACCGCACCTCCACCTACCGGGTTCATGCCATTCTCCTGCCTCAGTCTCCTGAGTAGCTGGGATTATAGGTGCGCACTACCATGCCCAGCTAATTTTTGTATTTTTAGTAGAGGTGGGGTTTCACCATATTGGTCAGGCTGGTCTCGAACTCCTGACCTCATGATCCGCCCGCCTCGGCCTCCCAAAGTGTTGGGATTACAGGCGTGAGCCACCACGCCTGGCTCAACTCATTTTTATCAAAGGCCTGGGCTGAACCATGAGAACTGGGGTTGATCAGGGAAGTGAATGTGGGGGCACAGAGGATTGAAGACAAACGACTCAAGGCAGTGGGGAAGGCTTCCCAGAGGAGATGATTTTTGACTTGGGCCTTGAAGGCTTTGCAGGGGTTTGGCACATGGAGGAGGAGGAAGGGCATTCCAGGAGGAGGAAACAGCAAAAACAAAGACTCAGAGGAAATGAGACTGGAAAGGCAGTTGGGGGACAGAGGGGCCTTGCAAGCTAGGGCAGGACGTACTGTGTTAGGTTCTGTGGCACCATAAGAAGCCTTAAATCATGGGAAGAGCCAGGCGTGGTGGCTCACACCTGTAATCCTAGCACTTTGGAAAGCCAAGGTGGGAGGATCACTTGAGCCCAGGAGTTCGATTCCTCCCTGGGCAACATAGGGAGACCTCATCTCTACAAAAAAAAAAAAAAAAAAAAAAAAAAAGTTTAATTAGCTGGGCATGGTGGCATGCCTGTAGTCCTAGCTACTCTGGAGGCTGAATGATCCCAGGAGTTCAAGGCTGCAGTGAGCCATGACTGCACCACTGTACTCCAGCCTGGGCAACAGAGAGAGACCCTGTCTCAAAAAACAAAAACAGGCCAGGCGTGGTGGCTCATGCCTGTAATCCCAGCACTTTGGGAGGCTGAGGCGGGCGGATCACTTGAGGTCAGGAGTTCGAGACCAGCCTTGCCAACATGGTGAAACCCCATCTCTACTAAAAATACAAAAATTAGCCGGGTGTGGTGGCACCTGCTTGCAATCCCAGCTACTTGGGAGGCTGAGGCAGGAGAATCGCTTGAATCTGGGAGGCGGAGGTTGCAGTGAGCTGAGATTGCACCGCTGCACTCCAGCCTGGGCAACAGAGCAAGATTCCATCTCAAAAAAAAAAAAAAATCAGAGGAGGGACATGATTGGATTTTCTGTTTAGAAGAATTATTGGCTGCTACAGGGAGCCCAGGCCAGGTAGGGCCTGCTCTAAGGTAGTAACAGCAATGATGAGGAAAAGGGGCCATTTAGGAACCTGGCTAGAGCCAAGGGGTATGTGCGGTGAAGGTCTGACATGGCTAGTCATGAAAGGCACACAGGGCCAGATTGTGAATGGTATCATGTAGCGGTCGTAACTCCACCGTTTACCAGCTTTTCTTTGGCTTTCTCATCTGTAAAATGGGGTAATAGAGTAAGACCCCTGAATGCCAGTCTGAGAAGTGTCATCAAGGTGACTAGATTTGGAGGAGATGGGTGGAATTGAGGATTATGCACACATATCCCATGAACTGTTAGCATCGTGCCCAGAAGGGTGCTCGATCGTTAGCTTGCTGTGGGCCTTCCTGAGCCTCATTTCTCCATCTATGAAATGGTGACCTCGAAAACACCTTCCAGTGGTGACATTCAGTGAGTCCTAGCTATTGCCAGTCCTGTGGCCAGTCACTGTCCAGAAGGGCCTTAATTACGCTGCATGCAGGGGCTGGAGTATTCTCCCTCTGCCATCAAAACCCAATCTATCTTTTAGAAAGATTTTCTGAGGGCTCCATGCACATCCAAACCTATCTTTCCCTGGCTTGAACCCTTGAGTGGTTTTCTGTTTCCCTCAGGGTGAGGTCTCAGCTCCTAAACTTGGCATTCAAAGCTCTTTACCATCTGACCTCATGCCATTCTGGCTTCATCCCCTCGACACCTATCCCATCCCCCCTTGTGGTCTCAGCCCGCAAAGCCCTCTTCACCTTTGCTCCCTGCTTTCTCCAGGAGTAGCTCTTTTCTCATCTAGATCAGTTTCTTAATTTTTAACATGCATACAGATCACCCAGGGGTCTTGTTAAAATGAGGATTTTAATTCAGTAAAATCTGGAGTGGGATTTGAGATTCTGCATTTGTAAAAAGTTCCCAGTGATGTTGATGTTGCTGGTCTGTGGACCACACATCCTCCAGCAAGGAACTAGAAGACAGTGGTTGTGTTTAATAGTTTGTGCCAAAATGAAGGAAGACTGTGACCGCAAAAAGGGGCCAGGGGAGGGAGACAAGCTGTGTAAGTGGCCTCAAACTCTAGTCAGTGAGATTAGAATTGCATCATGGAGGCTGGGCGTGATGGCTCTTGCCTGTAATCCCAGCACTTTTGGAGGCTGAGGCAGGAGGATTGATTGAGCTCAGGAGTTCGAGACCAGCCTGGGCAACATGGCAAAACCCCATCTCTACTGAAATACAAAAATTAGCCGGGTGTGGTGGCACACCCCTGTAGCGCCAGCTATTTGGGGGGTTGAGTCAGGAGGATTGCTTTAGCCCGGGAAGTCAAGGCTGCAGTGAGCCGTGATCATGCCACTGCATCCAGCCTGGGTGACACAGTGAGACCTTTTCTCAAAAAAAAAAAAGAGAATAAAAAAAGAATTGCATCATGGTTAAGAGAATAGGTGTTCTGGAAAATGAGTAAATTCAGTTCAAACCCTGGCTCTGCCATTTATTAGCTGAATAGCCTTGCCTTGTGTAGTCACTTAACTTCTGAGTCTTATTTCCTTATATATAAAACAGGGCTAAGGTACCTAACGAAAGCCATGGCGAGAATTTAGAAAGACAGTACTGGTAAAAAGCACTTAGCACAGTTCCTGGCACATGGTGAGTGCCCAACAAGTGGGAGTTATTTTATTAATTAGAGAAGTAATGGCTAAGGAAGAAACTGGGATGTTTGCTCTGGTTAAAAAACATTTAAGCAGGAAAACAAAAATCACTAACTTCTAATACCTGGATTATTATATTATTACACTACATTGTATGTTCACAGTAGCCTCCTGTTATAGTGCAAATACCATTTATTCTAATTTTTAAATCTAATAGTTGTAGAATTTAAGACATGCTTGGGCCATTAATGATCACCTAGTCTGGTATTTGCCAAGTTTCAGTCACATGTGTATTGCTCATATGTTGTACTCACATTATTTATTAATGTTTTTCTTCAAATAGATTCACATTGTTTTGTTAAATAAATGTACCTTCATCTAAACAATAGTACTGATGAAATTGTGGGTTTCATGTGATATCTTGTTTTTTAAATATTCGTGAAAATAAATGTGTAACAATTATGAGACTTTTTTAAAGTTTGCCCACATACCACCTTATACCTCATGCTGGGAAATTTTGGGTTTTTTTTTCTTTTTTTAGAGACACGATCTCGCTTTGTCACCCAGGCTGGAGTGCAGTGGCACGTGATTGTAGCTCACTGCAGCCTTGAACTCTTGGGCTCAAGTGATCCTCCTTCCTCGGCCTACCAAGTTGTTGGGACTACAAGTGCACCCCACCACACCTGGCTAATTTTTCACTTTTTGTAGAGACGAGGTCTAACTGTGTTGCCCAGGCTGGTGTCCAACTCCTGGCCTCAAGTAATCCTCCTTCCTTGGCCTCCCGAAGTGCTAAGATTACAGGTGTGAGTCACTGCACCTGGCCTCATACTGGGAATTTGATCTCACTTAGCCTACCTGGCCTTTCTCGGGACACTGGGGCAGAGGAGGATCTTAATGAGCTGGATTCAGCTCCTCTTACCAAGATTTTTCCTCGGGCATCCAAGGCCCCTTCTCCTGGGCTGGAGACATCAACAGTGCTTGTATGGAGAATTTCTTTTTCAGAAGTCAGTGAACTCAGCATGAGGAAGCCCTCAGGCTGTCCAAAGTCACCTGAAAGAGGGTGCCAAGGAAAAACGGGCCAGAAAAATGTAGATCTGATGAGACAAGTTCTCTCCACAGTGGCTGATGTATTGAAATAAACCAATAGATTTCAAAACCAGGGCAAGACTGGAAAATGTGACCTTGAATTCAGATGGTACCAAACATACTGTGGGGAGTTTCTCCATTTAAAGTATCAAGTTGTATTTTAACCTTGAATCCCTCTTGGAGTGTGCCAGGGACGTGGAATCCAGCCTCTGTCACATCTTGGTCACGTGAGTTCAGAACAGTGTAGCCTGAATGACGGCATGGTCTCATGGGCACCCTGAGTCCATCCTGGCTCCCACTGGCCATGTGAATTTCATCGCCCTCAGCCTCAGCTTTCTCAGCTATCAAAAGAGAGAACACCCAGCTCAAGGCGGGTGACAGGAGGATTTAATACAATAACATACATAGTGTTGTCAAAGCTTAATACTTTGTTATTGATTGTTGCTATTGTTATCAGTATAGATACTATTTAAACCAGATTTCTCTTGGTCACTAATTTTCTAAATTGCCCTGTTTTCTAATTTTTTTTTTTCAACGGAGTCTCGCTCTGTTGCCCAGGCTGGAGTGCAGTGGCGCATCTCCGCTCACTGCAAGCTCCGCCTCCCGGGTTCATGTCATTCTCCTGCCTCAGCCTCCCGCGTAGCTGGGACTACAGGCACCTGCCACCACGCCTGGCTAATTTTTTGTATTTTTTTAGTAGAGATGGGGTTTCACCATGTTAGCCAGGATGGTCTCGATCTCCTGACCTTGTGATCTGCCCACCTCAGCCTCCCAAAGTGCTGGGATTACAGGCGTGAGCCACCGCGCCCGGCCTCTTTTTTTTTTTTTTTTTTTTTTTTTTTTTGAGATGGAATCTCACTCTGTTCCCCAGGCTGGAGTGCAGTGGCATGATCTCAGCTCACTGCAACCTCTGCCTCCCGGGTTCAAGTGATTCTCCTGCCTCAGCCTCCTGAGTAGGTGGGATTACAGGCATGAGCCACCACATCCAGCTGATTTTTGTATTTTTAGTAGAGACAGGGTTTCACCATGTTGGCCAGGCTGGTCTTGAACTCCTGACCTCAAGTGATCCGCCCACCTCGATCTCCCAAAGTACTGGGATTACAGGTGTGAACCACCACGCCTGGCTTATTTTCTAATTTCTGAGTTGGTTACCACAAAGCCACTACCTTTTGACAAACTATCTTGAAGGCCTTGAAGTTGCCCTCCTGCAGCTTCAGAAACAGAAGGCCCTACTATTTTCTGCTGTCACCCTTTTTTTTTTTTTTTTTTTTTTGAGACGGAGTCTTGCCGTCACCTAGGCTGGAGGCAGTGGTGCAATCTTGGCTCACTGCAACCTCCACCTCCCGGGTTCAAGCAGTTCCCTGCCTCAGCCTCCCGAGTAGCTGGGATTACAGGCGTCCGCCACCACGCCCAGCTAATTTTTGTATTTGTAGTAGAGACGGGGTTTCAACATCTTGGCTAGGCTGGGCTTGAACTCCTGACCTCGTGATCCACCTGCCTCGGCCTCCCAAAGTGCTGGTATTACAGGCGTGAGCCACTGCACCTGGCCTTGCTGTCCCTCTCTCTTCACCTGTCTCCCCATCTGTAAAATAGGGATGATGATAATTACCTCGTGGAGATCGAATATGGGAGAAGCTGACACTGTCTTGTCCTTAATATGCCCCAGGCACTTCATTTGGTCATGAATTAATTGCTTGGCCACAGTAGATACGCGACATCAGTTTTGCTGGGGTTTTGAGCGTTCTCTTTTCTAGGAAGGGAGCAATATGCCCTCAATACTCTTCACTGTTAGTCCAGAATGTTTTCCCTTCATGTGCCTCTTAGAAGGCATTTCTTTCCTTTTTCTGATTTTTATCTCTAAAAGGCCAGAGCTTGTGAAACTGGCTCATTTTCAGATTGTTTCATTTCAGACCTCAGAATAACATTTGGCTTTTACCCTTGCCTTTTTCTTCACTGCTTAAAAAATGATAGGTGTTTGCTATTCAAAGCTGATTAAGAGCCTGGACTTGGTCCTGGCCTGGCTTCCAGGATGCCCCTCTCCTGCTCTCCTCCCTCCCTGGCTTCTCCCCATCTTGCTGCCCTAGGTTCTGTCTGCCCATCCCCTGGATGATCTCATCCACTCATTCTCAAGGCTTTATAAACCATCTATAGGTTGACAGCTTCTCAATTAACATCTCCAGTCTAGGCCTCGCTTCTGAGCTCCAGATATGTCAAGAAGCCGTGACACCATCCAAAACAGATCTCCCCTCTCAACTTGCTCCTCCCACCGTCCTCATCTCTGTAAATGGCAACTCCACCTTTGCAGTTGCTAAGCTCAAAAACCTTGAAGTCATTTTGATCTCTTTTTCTTCACACCTCATATCTAATCTCTTATTAAATCTATTGTCTCACACTGCAAATAGATCCAGAAGCCAATCACTTCTCACCACCTCCACCATCCACCGTCCACTTCTGTCACCTGGGTATGAGCCACTATCTTCTCTTGCCAGGTGGCTGTAGTGGCCTCCTCACTGGGCTTCTGCTTCTGCTCTCTCCAACTCCTTCATTTGGTTTTCAACCCCAGTAGCCTGAGGGGAGCCTTTTTAAATGTGTAGGATATGGTCACTTCCCTGCTCAAAGCCCTCTGACATCTCCTCTTACAGGTCCCTGTCTCCTTTATAATAAAAGCCAGAGCCAGGCACAGTGGTATGTGCCTGTAACTCCAGCTACTCAGAAGGCTGAGTCAGGAGGGACTGCTTGAGCCAGGAGGTTCGGGACCAAGCCTGGGCCACGGCAAGACCCTGTCTCTTAAAAAAAAAAAAAAAAAAAAAAGCCAAATATAACAAATACAAGGCCCTATATGCCAAGAGATCTCCACCACTACATCCGTGACTCCCCCCATCATGCATTCTGCTTTAACCAATTTTTCTTGCCATTTCTGGAACAGCAGGCAACTCCCGCCTCTGCGCCCTGCCGTTCCCTCTGCAGTGCTCCTCAGAGGGCTATCCACGTAGCCTGCTCTGTCACCTCCTTTAAGTCTTTGCTCATGTTATCATATCGGTAAAGTGTCTTGACAACCCTGTTTAAATCTGTAGCATCCCCAATACCAGCATTCCTTATCCATTATTTCTGAAAGCAGGAATTTTTTAATGCTTTTTATTTAATGCGGAATCCCCGTGCCTAGAACAGTCTAGGACACTGCATGCCCTCAGTAAATATTGGTTGAATTAATAAAAATAGCTAGAACGCCACTGGGCTTTGTGATGTGTGCGTTACGCGCATTATCTCACTGGATGCGCACAGCCATCCTGGGAGGCAGCACCGTGGCCTTTCCTATTTCATAGATGGGGAACTGAGGCTCACAGAGGGAGCAGCCTGTGGAGACCCAGGTCTCTGGCTCCGGGGCCTGCCGCTAAGGGCTGACCTATCCCCCTCTCCCCGCAGGTCCCGGGCGAGGCGCCCGCGCCGTCCGCCGACCCGGCGCGTCCCCACGCGTGCCCCGACTGCGGCCGCGCCTTCGCGCGCCGCTCCACGCTGGCGAAGCACGCGCGCACGCACACGGGCGAACGGCCCTTCGGGTGCACCGAGTGCGGGCGGCGCTTCTCACAGAAGTCGGCGCTGACCAAACACGGCCGCACGCACACGGGCGAGCGGCCCTACGAGTGCCCCGAGTGCGACAAACGCTTCTCGGCCGCCTCGAACCTGCGGCAGCACCGGCGGCGGCACACGGGCGAGAAGCCGTACGCATGCGCGCACTGCGGCCGCCGCTTCGCGCAGAGCTCCAACTACGCACAGCACCTGCGCGTGCACACGGGCGAGAAGCCGTACGCGTGCCCGGACTGCGGACGCGCCTTTGGCGGCAGCTCGTGCCTGGCGCGCCACCGACGCACGCACACGGGCGAGCGGCCCTACGCTTGCGCCGACTGCGGCACGCGCTTCGCTCAGAGCTCGGCGCTGGCCAAGCACCGGCGCGTGCACACGGGCGAGAAGCCGCACCGCTGCGCTGTGTGTGGCCGTCGCTTCGGCCACCGCTCCAACCTGGCGGAGCACGCGCGCACGCACACAGGCGAGCGGCCCTACCCCTGCGCCGAGTGCGGCCGCCGCTTCCGCCTAAGCTCGCACTTCATTCGCCACCGACGCGCGCACATGCGGCGCCGCCTGTATATTTGCGCCGGCTGCGGCAGGGACTTCAAGCTGCCCCCTGGCGCCACGGCCGCCACTGCCACCGAGCGTTGCCCGGAGTGTGAGGGCAGCTGAGTCCCGCAGGGCTGCGGAGGGGCGCGCTGGGGCTTCGACCTGGCTGCACTAACCCAGGCTCCTCCTCGCCCCGGCCTCCGGGTCTGGGAAATTGAGGGGACGGCAGGCCCGGCTGCCCTGGAACTGGGAGACAGGGAGAATCCCCTGCCGGGGTCCCTGGAAACAGTGCCCACCCCACATCACTACATTCCCTCGGCCCGTGTTAGTGAATAAAGTATTATATCCTCACCCCACCCGTGCCTGTGAGTGAGGTGGGTGGGAGAGGAAGAAAGTTGGGGTTCTCCAGGCTCAGGTGCCAAGTGAGTTGTCAAGGAACCAAATGGGGATGTAAACCTAAAAGGGGTTCCCGGCACCTCGGTTTGTGTTGGTTGGAGGTGATCGCACACTTGGCCCTTGGTTACGTCCTCATAACCTTAGACCTGAAAGGGCCCATAAATATACTATGTTCACGATCAGACACGCACTGCATTCGGCAGAGCTCCAGTGAGCAAGGCACGACCCTCAGATCTCAGTCTAGTGAAGGAGAGAAAACTGTAATAACACTACGTTAAAGGTTTTAACTGCTTTGTTATGTAAGCTTACCCAGCCCGGCGCACAGTGACTCACGCCTGTAATCCCAGCACTTTGGGAGGGCGAGGCTAGCAGATCACTTGAGGTTAGGAGTTCGATACCAGCCTGGCCAACATGGTGAAACCCGGTCTCTACTAAAAATACAAAAATTAACTGGGTGTGGTGGCGGGCGCCTGTAATCCCAGCTACTGAGGGGGCTGAGGCATGAGAATCACTTGAACCTGGGAGACAGAGGTTGCAATGAACCGAGATAGTGCCATTGCACTCCGGCCTGGGCAACAGAGGAAGACTGCCTCAAACAAACAAAAAACAACAAACCAAACCAAACCAAACCAAAAAAATCTCAAAGCGATTGGACCTAGCAGCTCATGCCTGTAATCTCCAGCACTTTGGGAGGCGGAGGCAGGAGGATCTCTTGAAGTCAAGAGTTTGAGATCAGCCTGGAGAACAAAGTGAGACCCCCATCTATTAAAAAAAGAAAAAAAAAGGCTGGGCATGGTGAGGCACACTTGTAGTCACAGCAAATGAGGAGGCTGAGGTGGGAGGATCACTTGAGCACAGGAGGTTGAGGCTACAGTGAGCTAATATTGTGGCACTGCACTCCAGGCTGGGCGACAGAGTGAGGCTGTCTCAAAAATAAATAAAAATTTAAAATTCCAAAGTTATAAAAAATTTTTTCTTGTTTTCTACTGTGCAACCCACTTCAGTGCCAGCAGCCTACAGGCATAGAGGCCCGGCAATGGTTGGGGCTACAGTTTGCTCTGGCATGGGGTACTATGAGAGGCCTAGGGAATCCAGCCCATCATAAATCCAAACCCATGCGTTGTTTTAAATTTATTTTGGGCCGGGTAAGGTGGCTTACGCCTGTAATCCCAGCAGTTTGGGAGGCTGAGGCAGGCAGATCACCTGAGGTCAGGAGTTCGAGACCAGCCTGGCCAACATGGTGAAACCCTATCTCTACTAAAAATACAAAAATTAATTAGCCTGTAATCCCAGCTACTCAGAAGGCTGAGACAGAGTGAGACTCCATCTCAAAAAAACAAAAAACAAAAACATCAGCTGGGCGTGGTGGCAGACGCCTGTAATCCCAGCTACTTGGGAGGCTGAGGCAGGAGAATTGCTTGAACATGGGAGGTGGAGGTTGCAGTAAGCTGAGATCACACCATTGCACTCCAGCCTGGGTGACAAGAGTGAGACTCTGTCTCAAAAAAAAATAGTAATAAAAAATAAAAATAAATTTATTTATTTTGTAGAGACAGGGTCTCGCTATGGTGCCCAGGCTGGTCTCCATATCCTAGCCTCAAGCAATCCTTCCACCTCTGCCTCCCGAAGTGCTGAGATCAGGCATGAGCCACCATGCCTGGCTAGGTAAATCTTTTCTGTCCATTTTTGCTACAGCCAATGAATGGCAGAGACAAGTAAATAGGCACTTGCAGTCCAGTGTCAACTGGTGCTATGATGGAGGAAGATAGGCTCTTCTCAGAGGTGATGTTTAAGTTGGGTCTGGAAGGTGAAGCTGGGGTTCGGGAAGTGTGGAGAGAGCCCCTAAAGCTGCATTCCAGGGTCATTAGAGCTTGCAAATGTTCCCTGGGGTGGAATGGGGGGACAAAAAGCAAGAGGGTTTTGGAAGTGAGGTTAAAGTATCCAAGGTAGCAAAGCCTTGAGGGCTTAGAGGGGAAGGATGGATCTGACATCTGTAGGGAGCTGGAACTCATAGCAGTGGACCTGGGGTTGAGGGAAAGGAGATGGGACTGACTTCATTTCTTAGCTTGGGTGACTGCAGGACAGTGTCACTGAGATGGGGGTGCAGGATGAAGAGCAAGACAGGAGGTTAAGTGGGGCAACTGTTACACCCCAGTCTGGACATGCTGAATGTTAGGTCAGCATGAGGGAGGGGATTGGCAATAATAGCTTAGAGATATCAGGTCTGGAGTTCGTCTGGAGTCCATGACACCATGTCCAGAAGAAAGCACTCAAGAAGAGTCTTGAAAGTGGCCAGGCGCGGTGGCTCACGCCGGTAATCCCAGCACTTTGGGAGGCCGAGGGAGGAGGATCACTTGAGGCCAGGAGTTCAAGACCAACTTGGGCAATATGGTAAGACCCCGTCTCCACTAAAAATAAGGAAAAATAGCCAGAGGTAGGAAGAAAACCAGGTAAGCATCTTATCTGGGAAATCTAGAGGAAAGTGTTTCAGGGAGAGTGGAGGATCAGCTGCTGCTCTGGTGCCCGCTGCATTTGTCATGAAGGTGGGGATAGTGGTGAGAGTCGTTTCAGTGGAGGGGGGTGAAAACCAGCCAGGAGGCAAGGTTGTAAATGGGACAGTGGGGAAGCAGATTGGGGGAATTTAGCCAACCCTTTGAAGATACTGCTCGAGGTTTGATGGTTTCACTTTTGGCAACAGGGAAGGGATTCATATATGCTTTCTGCACGGGAAGAAAGGGCTAATGCAGAGAAGCTGATCATACAGAAGGGAAAGCAGACACCCAATTAAAGAGAGGAAGGAATCAGGGCTTCATAAGAATGCGGATCCCATTATCACTGGACAGCCAGAAGACAGGCGGGTTTGGGCACATAATCTGATGCACTGTTTTACCTGGGAAATAAGAATGGGGGTCAATGGATAAGAAATATAAGAGAGTGAGGCCAGGAAAGGAGAATGCCTCATTTTACTGAGATGCAGACTGCCTCAGAGAGGCAGCAAGTCAGTGACCATTGTAGATTCTTTTTTTTTTTTTTTTTTTTGAGACGGAGTCTCGCTCTGTCCCTCAGGCTGGAGTGCAGTGGCACGATCTCGGCTCACTGCAAGCTCCGCCTCCTGGGTTCACGTCATTCTGCCTAAGCCTCCCAAGTAGCTGGGACTACAGGTGCCTGTCACCACGCCCGGCTAATTTTTTGTATTTTTAGCAGAGACGGGGTTTCACTGTGTTAGCCAGGATGGTCTTGATCTCCTGACTTCATGATCCGCCCGCCTCAGCCTCCCAAAGTGCTGGGATTACAGGTGTAAGCCACTGCACCCGGCTGACCATTGAAGATTCTGAAAGCACAGATGTCCACTGGTATACGTGGGGGACTGTTTCCAGGACACACCCCCATCCCCACCGTGTACACAAATCCACGCATACTCAAGCCCCAGTCAGCCCTGCGGAACCCACATATGGGAAAAGCTGGTCCTCCACATACATGGGTTTTGCATCCCACAAATACTGTATTGTTGAACCATGTCTGGTTGAAAAAAAATTCAACCAAATGTGGACTTACACAGCTCAAACCCGTGTTGTTCAAGGGTCAACTGCAGTTTAAAAGTCCTTTCCCCTACATTAGCCTACCCTATGACGGAGGCAGCCAGAGGTATCTCAGAAAAAAGTGATGTGCCCAAAGTCACACAACAGGCAAATCTTACACACTCAACACTTTCTTTTTTTTTTTTTGAGACGGATTCTCGCTCTGTCACCCAGGCTGGAGTGCAGTGGCATGATCTTAGCTCACTGCAACCTCTGACTCCCGGGTTCAAGCAATTCTCCCTGCCTCAGCCTCCGGAGTAGCTGGGATTACAGACACCCGCTACCACGCCCAGCTAATTTTTGTATTTTTAGTAGAGATAGGGTTTCACCATGTTGGCCGGGTTGGTCTCGAACTCCTGACATCAGGGGATCCACCTGCCTCAGCCTCCCAAAGTGCTGGGATTACAGGCGTGAGCCACCACGCTCGGCCCTCAACACTATCTTTAGGTGGAGAGGAAAAACAATAAATTGGCCTTGGTGTGGCAGGGTGGGTAGCCTTTACTTTTACCAAGGAGGAAGCCCTATTTCGCCCCACATCAGAGACCTGACCCTGATTTCCTGCTCTGGGCCCGATAGTTGAGTTAAAAAGGTAAATAAGGCCAGGCGCGGGGACTCACGCCGGTAATCCCAGCACTTTGGGAGGCTGAGGTGGGCGTATCACGAGGTCAGGAGTTCGAGACCAGCCTGGCCAACATAGTGAAACCCCATCTCTACTAAAATTACAAAAATTGGCCGGATATGGTTGCATGCACCTTTAATCCCAGCTACTTGGGAGGCTGAGGCAGGAGAATCGCTGGAACCTGGGAGGCGGAGGTTGCAGTGAGCTGAGATCACGCCACTGCACTCCAGCCTGGGTGACAGAGCGAGACTCAGTCTCAAAATATATATATAAATAAATAAAAAGGCAAACGACTGGGCACGGTGGCTCAGGCCTGTAATCCCAGCACTTTGGGAAGCCAAAGTGGGCAGATCACCTAAGGTCAGAAGTTCAAGACCGGCCTGGCCAACATGGTGAAACCCCATCTCTACTAAAAATACAAAAAAGTAACCGGGCGTGGTGGCGGGCACCTGTAGTCCCAGCTACTCGGGAGGCTGAGGCAGGAGAATGGTGTGAACCCGGGAGGTGGAGCTTGCAGTGAGCCGAGATCACACCACTGCACTCCAGCCTGGGCGAAAGAGTGAGACTCCGTCTCAAAACAATAAAAAAAAAAGCTGGGCGTGATGGTGGGCACCTGTAATCCCCGCTACTGGGAGGCTAAGGCATGAGAATCGCTTGAACTCAGGAGGCAGAGGTTGCAGAGAGCCGAGATCATACCGCCGCACTCCAGCCAGGCCTACAAGAGCAGGACTCTGTCTCAAAAAAAAAAAAAAAAGGAAAACAGGTAATAACAGTAACTGCAAAACTTACCAAGTGTACTTTACTATGTGCCAGGCCCCGCCCTGAGCATTCACATAACTCATTGAAACCTCACGACCCTATTGGGCAGGTACTATTCTTTTTATTTGATAGACAAGGAAGCTGAAGTGCAGAACGATTAATTTGAGTAATGTCATTTAGCTTGCAAGTGTCAAAGATGGCATTTGAACCCAGACAGCCTGGCTCCACCATCTGGACTCTTACAGCCTTCAATCTCTAAGAGGGGGAAGGAACTTACATGACATCCTACTGGGAATTTGCTAGAAACCAGATCTCTCTGCCCTGCAGGCAAAAGGTACAACAGGGAAACACGAGAATGGGTCTCAGAGGCACCCCTGGTACCCCCGTCATCACCTGCTGAGACAGAGAGCCTCCCTGGCCATCCAGGAATAATCTAGAAGTTATCGCCCAAAACCATTTTACTGGGAGAACAAACACCAGGAGGCTACCTTCTAGAGGCTGCTGGGCCTCAGACCTCAAGAAGTGGAGGCCTCAGGCCCATGATCTATTCTGAAAAGACTAGAAAAAGGCTCCAGGGCCAGGCCACTCTCTGCTCTTCAGACACCACCCTGAGTTGCAAGTCCTGTGGCCATCTTTCTAGGTTGAGGTCTGGCCTGTGGAGTCACAGGGAATGTCCGCAGGCCCCACAGCCTGGTCTTCAGAGATGGCCCCATGGGGCAATTCTGTATACTTGCGGGAAGAGCTGCGGGCCAGATGGGCTGGGTAGCGTCGCCGGTTGATGTCCATTTTGGAGAGCACTGCTAGCGGCAGATCCACACGGCAGCGGGCTGCTAATGCCACCAGGTAGATGAGGACGTCACTAAGCTCCTCTTGAAGGGCTGCCCGTTCCCTGGGGGACCAGCCTTGGGGGCCAGGTTCCCCATCGGTTTTCCACTGACTAGGGGCAGAACACAGACAGACACACACTCAGATGTAACCTGGGGCAATGGGCTCTGCCAGTCCTTGCAGTAATAACACCCACCTCCAAGGACGACCTAACCAATCTGGGCCCTGGGAAGAGTCAGGTGGGGAAGAGACCCCGACAGATGATACCAAGATGTCTGTGTCTCTCCCTGGGCCAAGGAGTGGCCAAAAGAATGTTTCATCTGTTGAGACAAAGCTTTGAGGCCCAATTCTAATTCTCTCCAGCCCTAGCCGTCACCACCACAGACCAAACCTCGGACCTGGACCACTGCAGAAGCCTCCCCACTCATCTCCTGGCTAGCTCATCTTCTACTCCTGCCCAGACCATCTTTTCTATTTTTTGAGACGGAGTCTCGCTCTGTCGCCCAGGCTGGAGTGGAGTGCAATGGGGCGATACTGCAACCTCCGCCTCCCGGGTTCAAGCGATTCTCCTGCCTCCGTCTTCCGAGTTGCTGGGATTACAGGCATGTGCCGCCATGCCCGGCTAATTTTGTTTTTCTAGTAGAGACAGGGTTTTGCCATATTGGCCAGGCTGGTCTCGAACTCCTGACCTCAGGTGAGCCGCCCTCCTCGGCCTCTCAAAGTGCTGGGATTACAGGCATGAGCCACCGCACCCGGCCCACACCATCTTTTAAAAGCACAAATCAGGCTTGGCGCAGTGGCTCACGCCTATAATCCCAGCACTTGGGGAGGCTGAAGCGGGTGGATCATGAGGTCAGGAGTTCAAGACCAGCCTGGCCAAGATGGTGAAACCCCGTCTCTACTAAATATACAAAAAAATTAGCTGGGCATGGTGGTGGGCACCTATAATCCCAGGTACTCAGGAGGCTGAGGCAGAGAAATTCTTGAACCCAGGAGGCAGAGGTTGCAGTGAGCCGAGATCGCACCACAGCATTCCAGCCTGGGAAACAGAGCAAGACTCCGTCTCAAAAAAACAACAAAACAAAACAAAATGAAACAAAAAAAATTGGCTGGGTGCCATGGCTCATGCCTGTAATCCCAGCACTTTGGGAGGGTGAAGTGGGTAGATCACCTGAGGTCAGGAGTCCGAGACCAGCCTGGCCAACAAGGTGAAACCCCATCTCTACAGAAAATACGAATTAGTTAGGCATAGTGGCGCATGCCTGTAATCTCAGCTACTTGGGAGGCTGAGGCAGGAGGGCAGAAGAATCGCTTGAACCCGGGAGGCGGAGGTTGCAGTGACCCGCCATGACGCCATCACACTCCAGCCTTGGTAACAGGAGCAGAACTCCGTCTCAAAAACTAAACAAAACAAAACAAAACGAGACCCCACAAATTGTATTTTTCCCCTTCTCTGCTAAAATACAAACTGTGCTTGGAATACAATCTAAACTCTTGACAAAGCCCTCCTGTCCTGCATGGGCTGACGCCTGCCTTTTCCAATGCCACTGCCCCCCACTCTCACTCCCCGCCTAAGGCCACTTTGGCTTGTTCTGCCTTGCACACAGGCCAGACTGTCACAGGCCTTTTGCATTCACTGCTCCCTCTGCCTTGAATGCTTCCCCATCCCCCATCATTCCCAGGGCTAGCTCCTTCCTGTTATTCAGGGCTCAGCCTAGATGTCACCTCCTGGCTCGTCACCTTGTGTGTTTTTTGTTTGTTCGTTTTTGTTTTTGACAGAGTCTTGCTCTGTCGCCCAGGCTGGAGTGCAGTGGCACGATCTTGGCTCACTGCAAGCTCCGCCTCCCAGGTTCACGCCATTCTCCTGCCTCAGCCTCCTGAGTAGCTGCGACTACAGGCGCCTGCCACCACACCCAGCTAATTTTTTGTATTTTTAGTAGAGATGGGGTTTCACCGTGTCAGCCAGGATGGTCTCGATCTCCTGACCTCATGATCCGCCTGCCTTGGTCTCCCAAAATGCTGGGATTACAGGTGTGAGCCACAGCACCTGGCCGGTTTTTTTTTTTTTTTGAGACAGAGTCTTGCTGTTGCCTAAGCTGGAGTGCAATGGCGTGATCTTGGCTCACTGCCAGCTCTGCCTCCCGGATTCAAGCGATTCTCCTGCCTCAGCCTCCTGAGTAGCTGTGATTATAGGCGCCTGTGACCACACCCGGCTAATTTTTGTATTTTTAGTAGAGACAGGGTTTCAGCCTGTTGGCCAGGCTGGTCTTTTTTGTTTTGTTTTGTTTTGTTTTTTGAGACGGAGTCTTGCTCTGTCGCCCTGGCTGGAATGCAGTGGCACAATCTTGGCTTACTGCAACCTCTGCCTCCAGGGTTCAAGCAATTCTCCTGCCTCAGCCTCACGAGTAGCTGGGACTACAGGGGTGTGCCACCATGCCCAGCTAATGGTTGTATTTTTTAGTAGAGACAGGGTTTCACCATGTTGGCCAGGCTGGTCTTGAACTCCTGACCTCAGGTGATCTGCCTGCCTCGGCCTCCCAAAGTGCTGGGATTACAGGTGTGAGCCACCGCACCTGGACCTTTTTCGTTGGGTTTTTTTTTTTTTTGAGACGGAGCCTTGCTCTGTCGCCCAGGCTAGAGTGCAGTGGCGCGATCTCGGCTCACTGCAAGCTCCGCCTCCTGGGTTCACGCCATTCTCCTGCCTCAGCCTCCTGCGTAGCTGGGACTACAGGCGCCCGCCACCACGCCCGGCTAATTTTTTTGTATTTTTAGTAGAGACGGGGTTTCACCGTGTTAGCCAGGATGGTCTTGATCTCCTAACCTCATGATCTGCCCGTCTCAGCCTCCCAAAGTGCTGGGATTACAGGTGTGAGCCACCCCGCCCAGCCCCTTTTTTGTTTTTTTTTTTTAAGGCAGAGTCTTGCTCTGTCGCCCAGGCTGGAGTGCCATGGTGTGATCTTGGCTAACTGCAGTCTCTGCCTCCTGGGTTCAAGCGATTCTTGTGCCTCAGCCTCCTGAGTAGCTGGGATTACAGGCGCCCGCCACCATGCCTGGCTAATTTTTGTATTTTTAGTAGAGACAGGGTTTCACCATGTTGGCCAGACTGGGTCATCACCTTGTGTTCTTTTCCTCATAGAACTTGTCATAATTCCAGATCTTCTAATATGAGATTACTGATTTACTGTCAATCTCCTTCCACTGTGAAGGTGGAAACCTTTCTGCCTTGTTCCAGGCCATATCTCAATTCTAGAAGACCTAGCACATAGGTGATGTTCATAAATCTGTCATGAGGCCATGTGCAGTGGTTCAACCTGTAACCCCAGTGCTGCGGGATGGTGAGGCAAGTGAATCACTTGAGACCAGGAGTTTGAGACCAGCCTGGGCAACAACAGCGAGAGATCCCATCTCTACAAAAAGTAAAAATAAATTAGCCAGGCTTGGTGGTGGCGCACGCCTGTAGACCCAGCTACTCCGAAGGCTGAGGTGGGAGGATCGTTTGAGCTCCTGAGGCTTCAGTGAGCTATGATCACACCAGTACACTCCAGCCTCAGCAACAGAGTGAGACCTTTTCTCTTAAAAAAATGACTGTCCTGGTCTAGGGCTCATCGCCTCTTGCCTGGTCTACACCAGCCAACTCTCTGGTGTCCCCTGCCCCATTCTCTCAGTGATCCATCCAATCCACCCTGTAGACACAGTGACCTTTCCAACACTCATATCTGGTCAGGTCTTCTGTCCAAACTCTCCATCATACTCTAGCCCTAATCATATCTTTGTGGGTTCAACTCCCACCCCTCTCCTCCACAGCCCTATCACTCATCCAACGTGTGCCTATTGAGCGCCTACTATGCGCTGGGCACTTGGGACACATCAGAGAAAACAGATCCCAAATCCCTGATTTTTCCTGAGATGCTTACAATGAAGGAGCGTCAGATTCTCCCTGAATTGAACTTGCCCTTTCTTGCCTCACTGCCCCTGCAAATGTAGTTCCCATGTCTGGAATGCCACAGGCAGGTCCTCTACAGAATACCTTCCTTTCAGCCCCAGAGGCAGAGGAAAAGGGTTGTTGGGCCAGGCGTGGTGGCTCACCCCTGTAATCCCAGCACTTTGGGAGGCCAAGGCGGGTGGATCACCTGAGGTCAGGAATTTGAGACTAGCCTGACCAATATGGTGAAACCCCGTCTCCACTAAAAATACAAAAATTAGCCAGGCGTGGTGGGGGGCACCTGTAGTCCCAGCTACTCGGGGGGCTGAGACAGAACTGCTTAAACCCAGGAGGCGGATGTTGCAGTGAGCCGAAATTGAGCCACTGCACTCCAGCCTGGGCGACAGAGCGAGACCCCGTCTCAAAAAAAAGCCAAAAAAACAAAAAACAAAAGAAGGGAAAAGGGTTGTTGCCACTGCTTCTTCCTAGACGGGACCTGTCCTGATGCTTTCACACCTCACACCTCTCTCTTCCAGGAGGCTGAGTGCCCCTAGAGGGCAGGGACCCGTGAGTCCTCTCTGCATCCCAACAACAGCAAAGAGCCTAGCAATCAGGAGGGGAAACTGAACCCATGAATGTTTGAAGACCAAATAAATGCTCCCCTCCCCTCCCCCACAACTCAGACTCTACCAGGAAGCTTTCCATCTACTCACAAGAGTTCTGCCAGCTCCCCCACTTCCCCAACCAAGGCCAGGAGGAGATTCCGAGGCTGATGGAACTGTTCCCAGTCTCGTTCCGCAGCAAACTCAGCATGGAGGCGGCGGCTGAAATAGGACAAAGGAGTGTAAGTCCAAGTCTCCGGGTTAGAGGGTGATGCAGGGGCCAGAGGCAGCTACCCCCGTAGTATGTAATGGGGCCTGGGACCAGGAGATTCTGCAACTAATTCATTGGATGGTATTGTGCAGGTCATTTCCTCTTTCCGGAACTTGGTTCCCTCATCTATAAAATGGGCGTGCCCCTGAACTGCCCTTAACATCTCGCCAAAACTAACAAAACCCTCTTCATTATTCCATCTCCTGCTGCTACTTCTGCAGTTTCCTCCACCTGGAATCGCCGCACATCAAAATGCAATTTCTCTTACAGAAGGTAGTTCCACAGACCCTTCCTCTAAGAAGCCTTTCTTGACCTCCTCCAGCAAAAAATAACGTCTCCCACCTCTCAGCACTTCGTTTGCCCCTCTCGTACCCCCGGCGCCTGGAGAGCAGAGGCGGTATCTGGTGCCGGTATCTTCCCAGGGCTAGGCTGAAGGGCGTTCCTAGTTACCACTCGGAGGCACCACCCAATTTCCCTTGCCTCAGGTGTGCACCGCTGCGCCCATTTTGCAGATGAGGTAAGAAGGCTCACCCAGGGACAGCCCACAGAGCCAGGACCCGAGCCCCGCTGCCAGCCCGCTTCCCGACCACGTGGAGGAACCCTCCCCAAAACGCGGGAGAAAGGGGCGACTTCCCCACCCCGAGCTGGGCCAGGCCTGCTTACATGTCCTCGAGCGTGGGCTCCGGGCTGAAGCTGAACCGGCCGGGAGCAGCAGTGTCCTCTCCCCCCGTGTCCCCACGAATCTCCCCACCGGCCACAGACATGCCGCCCACCGCTGCACCGCGACTTCACGGAAAACCCACGAGCCACGCTCGAAGCCCCGCCTCCAGAGCTCCGACCAATTACGGGAGTTCTCTATTGCCTCACGGGGCGGAGCCTGAGGAAAGAGACCAATGACTTTTGTGGAGTTTGCTACAGCCCTCCCCTTCCCTCACTGGACCAATCTGAGGGAGCTTCAAGCGCGCGTTTCTAGTCTTAGGCCCTGGAATTCTTCCGCTAGGCCCTGTGTCTAAAGGTAGAGGTACCAATTCGACCTGGGGAAGAGACGAAGGGCAGAGGGTGGGGGAAGCGCAGGCGCGTCACTTCGTTTATGGGCGCCAGAGGGCGCCAAAGCGAAACGGCAGCGGAAGAGGGCCCGTCAGGTGGAAAACCCTATAAATGAAAGGCCCTATGCATAGGTATTAAATCAGGGCTTAAGGACGTTGAGAAACCTCGAGGCCAACCCCCACACTATTTGGATGGGATTGAAGGGGAAGAGCGGAGTAAGATCAGACGGCAGTAGGACTTCAGCTCCCCGCCATCGCTGTGTCCTGTGGTTGAAACGATGGAGGTCGCCCCATCCCTGTCCTAAGGGAGGCAGTAGGCCCCAGCGCAACGTACATTGCCCTGAAACACGTGGCCCCTTATGGTCTGGCCTGTGCCGGCCTCTCCAGCCTCATGGGTCCCCAGCACGGCTCCTCCACCCCACACACGAGAACTCCAGGCTCCACTCACACCAGGGAATACGCGAGGTGGCGAGTCACAGGGTTGCTGCTTTCAAATCAGAACCACTGAGTTATTGGCCATGGGAGGAGCAGAGATCTTTATGAAACCCTAGAACAGGTGTAGTCTTGCAAAGAATGATTTATTATTGTACCCTTATTAGGGCTACTATCTCTGATTTCCACGTTTAAAGAGGCTTCCAGCTTGCTGGAAGTGAAAGCGTAAGAAAGCGCAGGAAGAGGCAGAGTCAGATTTTGGAAATTAAAATCCCAAGGCTGTGACAATTGCAATTCTAGGTATATGCCCTAGAGAAATTAATGAATATGTGCAGAGAGACACATGCAAGAAGTTCATTACAGTTTTGTTTCTAAGAGTGAAAAAAATTGAAAATAAAATGACTATCAACGGAAGAATGGCTACATGGAAGTATATTTATACAAATGATATTATCCAGCAGTTAAGATTGGATACATGCAACAGAAACAAGTTTAAACTGCTTTTAGCAAGAAAAAGAAATCTATTATTTTTATTTTTTAAATTTTTTATAGAGACAGGGTTTCACCATGTTGCCTAAGCTGGTCTTGAACCAGGATTGCTGGATTGGGCTCTAGCAATCCTCCTGCCTTGGCCTCCCGAAGTGCTGGGATTACAGGCACGAGCCACCCCCACCGGCCACAAGGAATTTATTGTAAGGATACAAGAGTGTCTCCAGAATACAGTGGGACCTCAGGAATGAACTGGAACTGGGGTGGCTGTTTTAAGCATTTTACATATTTAATCCTCATAGCAACTAATTTAATCCTCACAAAAACCCTATATGGTAGGTAATATTGTTGTCATCCCCATTTTAAAGATAAGGAAACTGAGGCCGGGCGCGGTGGCTCACGCCTGTAATGCCAGCACTTTGGGAGGCCGAGGCGGGCGGATCACGAGGTCAGGAGATCGAGACCATCCTGGCTAACACGGTGAAACCCCGTCTGTACTAAAAATACAAAAAATTAGCTGGGTGTGGTGGCGGGCACCTGTAGTCCCAGCTACTCAGGAGGCTGAGGCAGGAGAATGGTGTGAACCTGGGAGGTGGAGCTTGCAGTGAGCCGAGATCGCGCCACTGTGCTTCAGCCTGGGCGAAAGAGCGAGACTCCGTCTCAAAAAAAAAAAAAAAAAAAAAAAAAAAAAGATAAGGAAACTGAGAGGTTAAATAACTTAACAGCTAGTAAAGTGGTAGAGCTGGCGTCAAATCCAGGCAGTTTGGCTTCACAGTCTGTTATTAGACCCTATGATGTATTGCCTGAAATGGCGATAAATATGAAAAAAATAAATGTAACTGTATTTTAAATACTATGAAAGGCTGGGCGTAGTGGCTCATGCTTGTAATCCTAGCACTTTGGGAGGCGGAGGTGGGCAGATCACTTGAGATCAGGAGTTTGAGACCAGCCTGGGCAACATGGTGAAACCCTTTCTCTATTAAAAATACAAACTTAGCTGGGTGTGGTGGTGCATGCTTGTAGTCCCAGCTGCTCAGGAGGCTGAGGCATGAGAATCACTTGAACCCGAGAGATGGAGGTTGCAGTGAGGCGAGATTGTGCTACTGTACTCTAGCCTGGGTGACAGAGCAAGACCCTGTCTCAAAAACAAAACAAAACAAAACAAACAAAACAAAATCTGGGCATGGTGGTGCACACCTGTGGTCCCAGCTACTTGGGAGGCTGAGGTGGGAGGATCACCTGAGCTTAGGGAGGTCAAGCCTGCAGTGAGACATGATTACGCCACTGCACTGCAGCCTGGGCGACAGAGTGAGACCCTGTTTCAATAAATACATACATATATACTATGAAAAGTGATTGGGGGCATGTTTAGATTGCATGGTCCAGGAAGATATATAGTAAGCACTGTAGGTTACCTACTTAATTGCTCTTTTTCCTCTTCTCCATTCTCTTTTTCTTTTTTCTTTTCTTTTTTGAGGAGGAGACAGGTTCTGGTTCTATTGCCCAGGCTAGAGTGCAGTGGCACAATCACAGCCCACTTGTGTAGTTAAGACTACAGGTGAGCATCACCATGCCTGGCTCCTCTTCTATTCTTGCAGAATTTTTTTTTTTTTTTTTAGGAGTCTCACTCTGTCGCCCAGGCTGGAGTGCTGTGGTATGATCTCTGCTCACTGCAACCTCCGTCTCCTGGGTTCACGTGATTCTCCTGCCTCAGCCTCCCAAATAGCTGGGATTACAGGTGCACACCACCACACCCAGCTAATTTTTGTATTTTTAGTAGGGATGGGGTTTCACCATGTTGGCCAGGCTGGTCTTGAACTCCTGACCTCAAGTGATCCTCCCCCTTCTGCCTCCCAAATTGCTGGGATTACAGGCGTGAGCCACCGCGCCCGGCCACTTACAGAATCTTGATTTTGTTCTGGGGTCCACGCTCCTCCACTTGATTGTTCTGCCTGACTGGTCATAGTGTTCCCATTGCCCTGGCCATTGATTGGTTTATGAATGAGCATGCTATGGATAATAAGTTGGAAGTCTTTTTTTTTTTTTAGACAGAATCTCGCTCTGTCGCCAGGCTGGAGTGCAGTGGCGCAATCTCTGCTCACTGCAACCTCCACCTCCTGGGTTCAAGCGATTCCCTTGCCTCAGCCTCCTGAGTATCCGGGACTACAGGCGTGTGCCACCACGCCCAGCTAATTTTTTGTATTTTAGTAGAGACAGGGTTTAACCATGTTGGCCAGGATGGTCTCGATCTCCTGACCTTGTGATCTCCCTGCCTCGGCCTCCCAAAGTGCTGGTATTACAGGTATGAGCCACTGCCCGGCCAAGTTGGAGGAACTCTATTGGATTTCTGGGAAACGTTCTTCTTAGTTCTTTAAAGAAATTACAGGGGCTGGCTATGGTTGTTCATGCCTCTAATCCCAGCAGTTTCAGAGGTGGAGGCAGGAGGATCTTTTGAGGCCAGCCCTGGCAACATAGCGACACTCTACACAAAATTAAAAAAAAAATTAGCTGGGCATGGTGGCATGCACCTGTATTCCTAGCTACTCAGGAGGCTAAGGTGGGAGGATCACTTGAGCCCAGGAGTTTGTTATAGTGAGCTATGATCAGCCCACTGCACTCCAGCCTGGGTGACAGAGGGAGACCCTGTCTCAAAAAAAAAAAATCAAACAAACAAACAAACAAAACCACAAAAGACACAGGATGTTTCTACCTCTAGATGTTGGTATATGGAGAGAAGATTGAGAGGAAACCTAGTCCTCAGGCTGAAATTGGCAAGTCAGCCAGATACAAAGGAACTTGATCCTTCCTAACATTGCTGAGCCACTTATTGTACAAGTTCCAGAAATACCCTAATTTCGGACTCTGGCTATATAAGAAAATGAATCCCTTTAATGGTCAAACTACTTTTAGTTCGGTTTTTTGTTACTTGCCTTGGAGAAAGTGACATTTAAGCTGAGGACAAATCAAGGGGAATAGAGTTCTAGGCAGAGGGAACAACCAATGCCTAATGCAGGAAAGGCTTGGCATATTGCAGTGTGGCAGGAAGGCAGTGAGCAAAGCAGAGAGTGGTTGCATGTGTACGGTGTAGGAGAAGTAAAAAGAGGTCAGATCAGACCAATTCACCACGAGTTTCATTTTAGATTTTTTTTTTTTTTTTTTTTGTAGATGTAGTCTCCCTCTGTTGCTCAGGCTGAAGTGCAGTTGTGCGATCTCAGCTCACTGCAACCTCTGCCACCCGGGTTCAATAAATTCTCCTGCTTCAGCCTCCCTAGTAGCTGGGATTACAGGCATGTGCCACCACGCCCAGCTAATTTTTGTATTTTTAGTAGAGACAGGGTTTTACCATGTTGGTCAGGCTGGCCTCGAGCTCCTGACCTCAGGTGATCTGCCTGCCTTGGCCTCCCAAAGCACTGGGATTACAGGTGTGAGCCACCGCGCCTGGCCTCAGAGGGTTTTAAGCAGGAGAGTGATCATATTTTGGGCAGATCATTTGAACCCAGGAGTTTGAGGCTGCAGGGAGCGATGATTGTGCCACTGCACTCCAGCCTGGGCAACAGAGCGAGACTCTGTCTCCAAAAAAAAAAAAAAAGAACTGGAGGAGGCAAGAGTAGAAGCAGGGGGATGAGTTACTGCTGTTGTCCAGGCAAGAGATGATGGTGACTTGAGCCAGGTGATGGTGGGTGAAGATGGAGCAAAGTGGATGTCTTGGGAACGTATTTTGAAGGTAGATCTGGAGGTTTTTGTTGGTTTTGAATGGGGGATGGGAGAAAGGGTAGAATGGCTTACAGATTTTGAGGGTTTGGCAACCCGGTGGGTGGATGGTGACTGATTTGGGGATGGAAAAGATGAGGGACAGGACTGAACACGTGTGGCCTCAGGCGTGTGGTTTAGGGCAAGGCAAGTTGAAGAGGCATGGTGAGTTGGCAGTGAAGTTTTGAATCTAAGGTTTAGAGGAGAGATCAGGGCTAGACATTCAGATGTGGCAGTCTCAATCATTTAGACAATACTGAAAGTCAAGGAACTGAAGATGAATAACTAACACAAGAATCTAGGCAGAAAAGACCAAGATTTGGAGCCAGGCATGGTGGCTCACTTCTGTAATACTAGCGCTTTGGGAAGCTGAGGTGGGAGGATTGCTTGAGCCCAGGAGTTTGATACTAGCCTGGGCAACATAGTGAGATGTTTTCTATATTATTAATGTTTACTTATTTATTTATTTATATTTTATTATTATTATTATTTTGAGATGGAGTCTTGATGTGTTGCCCAGGCTGGAGTGCAGTGGCACGATCTCGGCTCACTGCAACCTCTGTTCAAATGATACTCCTGCCTCAGCCTCCCGAGTAGCTGGGACTACAGGCATACACCACCACGCTTGGCTAATTTTTTTATTTTTATTAGAGACGGGGTCTCACCATGTTGGCCAGGCGGGAGTACAGTGGTGTAATCACAGCTCGCTGCAGCCTCGAACTCCTGGACTCAAGTGATCCTGCTGCCTCAGCCTCCCAAAGTGCTGGGGTTACAGGCATCAGCCACCGTGCCCCAGTAACTAGCTCTTTATGAGCCTATCTTCCCAAGAGACGGGATCCATGAGTCTTTTCAAATCAAAGGTGTTTTTCCAGTGCAAGCCAATAAAGGTTTAATGGCCGGCTGGATGGATTGGGCCAGGCAAGCAGGCCATGCTTGCAGTACATCCTTCTGCTACTGGGAGAAAAGGTGCTGCTATAATTCAGAATATTTGTTCTTAAATTTTTCAGGGAGAGTCATAACAGGGGCTTTTAGGAATCTCCAGCCTAGCTCATTCAGGCCAGAGAGTCCCCAACACCCTTTGAAGTCTTCTTCGAACCTGCTTTTCCATCCTGTCCCTGTACACACTTGCTGAAGTCCAGAGAGATGTTCCGGACTCTTCCCTCCCCACCTTTGCTTCCTCAGTTTCCTCCATCTGGAATGCCCGCCCCGTTCTGTGCACATCCAAATCCAAATGCCACCCATCCTGCAGAGCCCTGTTTCAAGGCCACCTCGTCTGAAAAGCCTTCCTAAACTTCCTCCTAAAAGGAAATAGGGTCAGGCACAGTGGCTCATGCCTGTAATCCCAGCACTTTGGGAGGCCAAGGCAGGAGGATCACTTGAAAAACCAGGAGTTAGTTTCGTTTCGTTTTTTTTCTTTCTTTCTTTCTTTCTCGTTCTTTCTTTCCTTCCTTCTTTCTTTCTTTCTTTCTTTCTTTCTTTCTTTCTTTCTTCCTTCCTCTCTCTCTTTCTCTCTTTCTTTCTTTCTTTCTTAGGTAGAGTCTTGCTCTGTCACCCAGGCTGCTGTGTAGTGCTGTGATCTTGTCTCACTGCAACCTCAGCCTCCCAGGTTCAAGCCATTCTCCTTCCTCAGCTTCCCAAATAGCTGGGATTACAGGCCTGTGCCACCATGCCTGGCTAATTTTTTTTGTATTTTTAGTAGAGACAGGGTTTCACCATGTTGGTCGGGCTGGTCTTAAACTCCTGACCTCAAATGATCCGCCCACCTCGGCCTCCCATACTGCTGGGATTACAGGCCATGGTGCCCAACCTGAAGCCAGGGACCAGCCTAGGCAACATAGCAAGACCCCATCTATACAAAAACACTTTTAAACTTATCTGGGTGTGGTGGTGTGTGCCTCTAGTCCCAGCTGCTCAGGGGAGGCTAAGGTGGGAGGATCACTTGAGCCTAGGATGTCGAGGCTGCAGTGAGCTATGATTGTGCCACTGCACTTTAGTCTGGGTTACAGTCTCAAATAAAAAAAGTGGTACCAGCTTCAATTGCAGGAGACACCAAGAGCCCCAGAAGAGTGAAAAGAAAGGGTCAGTACCTATGGACCAGGCACTGTTCTAGCTGCTGGAGATACTGAACATCCCTACCTTCCTGGTGCTTACATACTAGCAGAAGGGAACAATTCTTTTTTTTTCTTTTTTTCTTTTTTTTGAGACAAAGTCTTGCCCTCTTGCCCAGGCTGGAGTGCAATGGCATGATCTCGGCTCACTGCAACCTCCACCTCCCAGGTTCAAGCGATTCCCCTGTCTCAGCTTCCCAAGTAGCTGGGATTACAGGTGCCCGCCACCACGCCTGGCTAATTTTTGTATTTTTAGTAGAGACGGGGTTTCACCATGTTGGCCAGGCTGGTCTCGAACTGCTGACATCATGATCCGCCCGCCTCAGCCTCCCAAAGTGCTGGGATTACAGGCATGAGCCACCATGCCTTGCCCAGAAGGAGACAATTCTAAAGCGAACTAACACATTCTCAAGGGAATTATAGGCTAGGATAAGAGCTACAAAGCAAATAAACAGGGTGATGCATTGGAGAGTGGCTGGTTGTTGGCCAGGAGGTGGGAAAGGGCCTTTGTGAAGAGGTTTTATTTGAACTGAGACAGGACTGAGAACAAGCCAGTCAGGTGAGTGTGAGGTGAGGTTCCAGACAGCGGGAACTGCAAGCACAAAGGATCTTGATTTGTTTGAAGTCCCAGGGAAGGCTGATGGGCCAGCAGGTAGTGAGAGAGGTAGAGAGAGTGCCATGAGATGAAGCTGGAGATCTGTAGCAGGGGTGGGAAATTGCTGGAAAAGCTGTTTCTGCACTTTGAACAGGAGAAAAATGGATTGAATTGATTTACCTATTTTTTGTTGTTGATGTTAATAGTATTTACATAACTGGCTATGTAAATATTCAATGTTGGCCAGGCACGGTGACTCACACCTGTAATCCCAGGATTACTTTGGGAGGCCGAGGCAGGTGGATCACTTGAGATCAGGAGTTCCAGACCAGCCTGGCCAACATGGTGAAACCCTGTTTCTACTGAAAATACAAAAAGTAGTCAGGCATGGTGGTGTCTGCCTGTAATCCCAGCTACTCGGGAGGCTGAGGCGGGAGAATCGCTTGAACCTAGGAGGCACAGGTTGCAGTGACCCGCCATCATGCCACTGCACTCCAGCCTGGGCAACACCGTGAGACTCTGTCTCAAAAAAAAAAAGTCAATGTTCAATTATTATTCTCCCTATACCTCATACAAATGTATGACTACATTTCATTTGTTCTATAAGGTTGTTTTGGGCTGGAGTTGGTTAGTTGGTTTATTTTACAGGGTTATTCTTGGCTGTGTTGATTCATTTTTTGTTGTCATTTGTGAATTTTCTTTTTTCTCTCTTTTTTTTTTTTTTTGACATGGAGTCTCGTTCTTGTTGCCCAGGCTGGAGTGCAATGGTGCGATCTCGGCTCACTGTAACATCCACCTCCAGGGTTCAAGTGATTCTCCTGCCTGAGCCTCCCGAGTAGCTGGGATTACAGGTGCCCACCACCACTCCTGGCTAATTTTGTATTTTTAGTAGAGACAAGGTTTCTCCATGTTGGTCAGGCTGGTCTCAAACTCCCGACCGCAGGTGATCCACCCGCCTTAGCCTCTCAAAGTGCTGAGATTACAGGTGTGAGCCACCGCGCCTGGCAGTCGTTTGCTAATTTTCTAAATGATTATCACAAATTCTTTTTTTTTTTTTTCGGTAGAGACAGAGTCTCATTATGTTGCTCAGGCTGCTTTTGAATTCCTGGCCTCAAGCAGTCCTCCTGCCTCAGCCTCCCAAAGTGCTGAGATTACAGGCATGAGCCACCATGCCTGGCCACTAATTGTTTTCACATATTCGATTATCCTGCCAATACAATTTTCACACAATTAAATGTATCAATATTATATCAGTTTCATATTTTTCTTTTCTGGAAGGCCTTTCTGGAAGCCTTCCAGGCTCCCTGTCCAGTGTGGGCTGGTTGCTCTGTAAGCCTACTGTTTAGCTATTACCTTCACCTCTCTCCTGTGCTGGGTTGCATTTCCTTAATCTCATGTTTTTCTCTTTCTCAGTTTGCTTCCTTGTTTTTTGTTTTGTTTTGTTTTGATTTTTTGGTTTTTTTTTTGAGACAGAGTCACGCTTTGTCACCCAGGCTGGAGTGCAGTGGCACGATTTCGGCTCACTGCAACCTCCCCGCCTCCTGGGCTTAAGTGATTCTTCTGCCTCAGCCTCCTAAGTAGCTAGGATTGCAGGCACCCGCCACCAACTACGCCTGGCTAATTTTTGTATTTTTAGTAGAGACGGGGTTTTCTTTTTTTTTTTTTTTTTGAAACAATCTCGCTCTGTCGCCCAGGCTGGAGTACAGTGGCACGATCTCAGCTCATTGCAACCTCTGCCTCCTGGGTTCAAGCAGTTTTCCTGCCTCAGCCTCCCAAGTAGCTGGGATTACAGGCACCCACCACCATGCCTGGCTAATTTTTTACATTTTTAGTAGAGACAAGGTTTCACCATGTTGGCCAGGCTGGTCTTGAACTCCTGACCTCGTGATCTGCCCGCCTCGGCCTCCCAAGGTACTGGGATTAATAGGCATGAGCCACCGCACCTGGCCTGCTTCCTTGTTTTGTTGGAGCATATCCTCTGGTAGTTTCTTGAGAAAAAGTACATGGGATGAAGCCATTTTGATACCCTGTATGCCCCAAGATATCTTTATTTTACTTATTTGAAAAATGTGGCTTGCTGTAGACTTCTACAGAGATTATCATTTACCCTCAGAATTTTGAAGGCATTGCTTTTGTGTGTGTGTTGTTTTTAAATTTTTTTTCTGAGACAGGGTCTCACTCTGTTGCTCAAGCAATCCTTGCACCTCGGCCTCAGGCGCATGCCACCATGCCTGGCTAAACTTAATTTTCTATTTTTTTTGTAGAAATAGGATCTCACTGTATTGCCCAGGCTGGTCACAAACTCCTAGGCTCAAGTGATCCTCCTGCCTCGGCTTTCCAAAGTGCTGGAATTACAGGTGTGAGCCACCGCACCTGGCTGCTTTATTGTTTTTTAGCTTCCAATTTGAGGTTGTGAAGTCTGATGTCATGATGACATACAAAGGTGTGTCATTATTCCCACACCTTTGTATGTGATCATAGTGATCAGAAGCATGGGTTCTGGAGTCAGACCGCCTACAAGACTGACTATGCAAGCTTGGACAAATTTCTTATTCTCCCTATACCTCAGCTTCCTCATTTGCAAATTGGGGTTGTTAGAAGATTGGGTTAATACGTATAAAGCACTTACTTCCTGCACAGAATATGTGCTATATAAACATTTGCTTTCATTATTATTAGGATCTCTTCTTCATAACTGGCATTTTGAAATTTAATAAAATTAGCATGGATCTTTTAAAATGTACTGTGCTAGGAGTTCAAGAGGTATGTGGTTTACAACTTTTAAGTTCTAGAAAACTTGGATAATATTTTTTCTTCCATCTGCTTTACTGCCTTATTCTAGAACTCCGCTTAGATGTTGAACCTCCTGCCTCATTTGATCTTTATAGAATTTATTTTATTGTGCATCTTTTTGGGCTACTTTTTTTTTTTATTTTACTTCACGTTCTGGGATACATGTGCAGAACATGCAGGCCTGTTACACAGGTATACATGTGCTATGGTGGTTTGCTGCACCTATCAACCTGTCATCTAGGTTTTAAGCCCCGCATGCTTTAGCTGTTTGTCCTAATGCTCTCCCTCCCTTTGCCCCCAACCCCCAATGGGCCCTGGTGTGTGATGTTCCCCTCCCTGTGTCCATGTGTTCTCATTTGTTCAACTCCCACTTATGAGTGAGAACATGCAAGTGTTTGGTTTTCTGTTCCTGTGTTAGTTTGCTGAGAATGATGGCTTCCAGCTTCATCCATGTCCCTGCAAAGGACATGAACTCATTCTTTTTTATGGCGACATGGTCTACTTTCTTATTTATTTATTTTTGAGACAGAGTCTCGCTCTGTCACCCAGGCTGGAGTGCAGTGGCATAGTCTTGGCTCACTGCCAGCTCCACCTCCCGGGTTCACGCCGTTCTCCTGCCTCAGCCTCCCAAGTAGCTGGGACTACAGGTGCCTGCCACCACGCCCGGCTAATTTTTTGTATTTTTAGTAGAGACGGGGTTTCGCCGTGTTAGCCAGGATGGTCTTGATCTCCTGACCTCGTGATCCGCCTGCCTTGGCCTCCCAAAGTGCTGGGATTACAGGCGTGAGCCACCGCGCCCGGCTTATTTATTTTTTGAGACAGGATCTCACTGTGTCACCCAGGCTGGACTGCAGTGGTGACTGCAGTGGTGCAATCTTGGCTCACTACAGCCTCCATCTCCCAGGCTCAAGTGATCCTCCCACCCCAGCCTCCAGAGAAGCTGGGACTACAAGTGCACACCACCATGCCTGCTAATTTTTGTATTTTTTGTAGAGACAGGTTTTCGCCACGTTGCTCAGGTTGGTCTTGAACTCATGGGCTCAAGCCCACCTTGGCCTCCCAAAGTGCTGGGATTACAGGTGTGAGTAAGGTGCCTGGCCTTTTGGGGCTACTTTCTGATAAATTTCTGCAACTTTATGTCTCCTATTAGAAATTTTTTTTTTTTTTTTGGAGACAGAATTTTGCCTTGTCATCCAGGCTGGAGTGCAATGGCATGATCTTGGCTCACTGCATCCTCTGCCTCCTGGGTTCAAGTGATTTTCCTGCCTCAGCCTCCTGAGTAGCTGGGATTACAGGTTCATGCCATCAAGCCTGTCTAATTTTTATATTTTTATTAAAGATGGGGGTTTCACCATGTTGGCCAGGCTGGTCTCGAACTCCTGACCTCAGGTGATCCGCCCGCCTTGGCCTCCCAAAATGCTGGGATTACAGATGTGAGCCACTGCACCCAGCCCCCTATTAAAAATTTCAAGTTTTAGCTTTATCTTTATATTCTAAGTGGCTGGTTCTCTTAAGTATTGCTTTGCGGATATTTTTTATCTTTTTTCCTACTCCCTGTATTGTCCCTCTGAGTTTCCTTTTTCTGTTTAAGTTGGAGGCTCTCCTCACATGCTTGGTGATCCTTGACTGCTCATATTTAAGAATGAGGCATTAAAAAGCTTAACATTAGCTGGGCGCGGTGGCTCATGCCTGTAATCCCAGCACTTCAGGAGGCTGAGGCGGGTAAATTGCTTCAGGTTAGGAGTTGGAGACCAGCCTGGCCAACATGGTGAAACCACATTTTCTACTAAAAACACAAAATTCACCGGGCGTGGTGGTGCACACCTGTAATCTCAGCTACTCGGGAGGCTGAGGCAGAAGAATCGCTTGAACCTGGGAGGCGGAGGTTGCAGTGAGCTGAGATCGAACCACTGCACTCCAGCCTGGGCAACAGAGTGAGACTTTGTCCGGAAAAAAAAAAAAAAAAGCTTAACATCATTCAATAAAGGCTTTCACCTAGGAGGCCTTGTGGTAGAGTGATTTTGGGCTTTTATTTATTTTTTTTGAGACAGGGTTTCACTCCCGTCGCCCAGGCTGGACTGCAGTGTTTGCACACTGCAACCTCTGCCTTGCGGGTTCAAGGTTCTCCCACCTCAGCCTCCCGAGTAGCTGGGACTACAGGGGCACGCCATCACACCTGGGTATTTTTGTATTTTTTTTTGTTTTAGTAGAGACGGAGTTTTGCCATATTGGCCAGGCTGAACTCAAACTCCTGAGCTTAAGAGATCTGCCCACCTCGGCCTCCCAAAGTGCTGGGATTATAGGCGTGAGCCACTGGGCCTGGCCTGGCCAGTTTTTTGTTTGTTTGTTTTGAGATGGAGTCTCGCTCTGCTGCCCGGACTGGAGTGCAGTGGTGCAATCTCGGCTCACTGCAAGCTCTGCCTCCCAGGTTCACGCCATTCTCCCACCTCAGCCTTCCCAG
Source organism: Homo sapiens (assembly GCF_000001405.40). Lineage (NCBI taxonomy): Eukaryota > Metazoa > Chordata > Mammalia > Primates > Hominidae > Homo > Homo sapiens. The sequence continues at coordinate 30,442,891 of NC_000016.10, forward strand.
TAGCTGGGACTACAGGCGCCCGCCACCACGCCCAGCTAATTTTTTGTATTTTTAGTAGAGATGGGGTTTCATCTTGTTAGCCAGGATGGTCTCAACCTCCTGACCTCATGATCTGCCCGCCTCGGCCTCCCAAAGTGCTGGGATTACAGGCGTGAGCCACCGTGCTGGCCTGGCCAGTATTTTGAATATCTAATTGAGGAAGGGGGCTGGGCAGTCTCATTTTAAATTTTTATTTTTTCAGTTAGGCTCCCTATCCTCTGCTGTGTGTGGTGCTCCCAACTCTACCTGCGTAGGTGAGAGGCAGTCACCTGGCTGTGTGAAATAAGAGTGTGGAGAACGCTAAAGATCGAATTACCGTGTATAAACTCTCAAACAGTATGTTTTATCCCCAGGTCTTACCCCATCTTCCAAGCACATCTTCTTGCTTCTTGTCTTCCCCTACTATGAAGGATTCCTTTAAGTCAGTTACCCCTCTTCCACCTCCTTTCCATCTTTCAAGAATTGTTGACACCTTTCTTTTGCTATTTCCTGCCCACTCTCTAACCCTTGGGGCGTATGCCTGCTTCGAGTCCTTTTCTGTCATTTCAGGGGGAAGGTGCAACCCTAAATCTGGGTGTTAAATTACCCAATTCACCAGCATCAGGGAAAACACTCTCTCTCTGCTATACCAGACTCAGTGTATAAGCTGGTTCGTTTTATAAGACTGTATTGAATTTCAAACCACCAAACATTAGCCAGAATAGTTTTTCAACAAGGTTTCTTTTATTTATTTAGCAAGAAATTACTCTTTATTGATCAAATCACCAGGAATCTGCCGCAAAAGACTTAACATCTTAATGACCACTGAGGCCTGGGCTCTGAGGCTTGCTCTGCCTCTCCCAGTCCTTAATGGGGTTTAGAGGGAGAGACGTCATTAACAGAGACCAAGTCAGATGGTTGCAGGTCCTCCTTTCCCAGTCATCAGACAAGTTGCTCAATTCTTGTCCAGAGCAGGAAAGAGCCAGTACTTCAGTAAAATTGAATAAAGAATTTGATGTTGCATTATAAGATCTCTCTTAACAATTTAGATTTATCAACAATATTGGTCCAAAACTCATTTGCTTCTAATTTTTTTCATTTTGCAATTTACTTTGTGTGTGTGTTACTTTAATAATCTCACTCCCTGTGCAGAAATTAATCAACCCCGTGCAAAGAAAAATCCCTCAACCTGGAATAGCTTCATCTTACTTTGGCAAGAGAAAACAGAGGTATTTTTGCTCCTCTTCTACCCAAGTGATGAACAAATATCCCCCCAAAGTTCAAAATGTTACTCTGGCCTCGGAATGCATATAAAGACTGCTTTAGATGGGCTGATTCCAATCACCTAGAAAGGGCAGCCGGAACCACTATGCAGGCAGCCTTCTTTGGAAATTTCTTACAATCAACTCTTGAGAACCATCCGTGATTGTGGACAATGGCTCTAAGGTCCAAACAACTTCTGTTCTTTCATCTCACGAGCTAGGCTCAGAGGAGGCATTTGAACTGTCAGGAGCAAGAACAGCAGCTGTGGCCCCACGAGGCAGGACTTCAATAACTCGCGGCTTGTCAATGATCCGGGCCGTTCGGTTTCCCTTTTCCACAATGCCAACGATCCACGCTTGGTGACCCTCTCCGTACTTGGAGGATTTGATTTCAGAACAAAAGCGAGCCGCCTGTTCTCTTGGCAGACAAATCAGTAATCCCCCAGAGGTTTCAGCTGAGGTTCCTTGAAGAAGCCCAAACCGTCCACTGGCCTTGCTGACGGCAGCCATCTTGGCAATTATTGGCAGATTATGAATAACAAAGGACACTTCATTTCTTTGTTGTTTTGCAAGGTTCTGGGAGTGTCCTAGAATGCCAAAGCCTGTGATATCTGTGGCCGCATGGGCATTAAATGTGTGCATTAAACCTGCAGCAGTTCTGTTGAGGGTAGCCATATTGAACATGGCTTCCTGATAGGCCAGCTCCACCTCTTCTCTGGAGACCACCATCTTTACTTTATTCCATCTTTCAGGATTATCCAGCCATTGGTGGGCATTGACAGCAACCTGGGTTCCTAACGGTTTGGTTAACACCAGCACGTCCCCAACGACGGCGCTGTCCGGCATTATGAACTCATTTGGTTGGCATACTACAGTGGCAACTCCACCGATTATAATCCAAGGGTTGACCACCGTTTGCCCACCGGTCACTGCCGTCCCTCCTTCCTCAGCCGCATCCCGAAAGCCTTTGACCATGAGTGGCGTTACCTTTTCGCGTTCCTCCTCACTCATACTCTGGCTGACGCTGAGTAACATCAACATGTTGTCACACTCAGTAATCCCCATGGCGTAGAGGTCACTCAGCACGTTGGCACAAGCTATGCGCCCCATCATGTAGGGATCTTCTACCAAGGGGTAAAAGAAGTCCGTGGTCTGCACCAGTGACAGGCCCCCGTGCCTCAGGGGGATGACGCAGGAGTCCATCCCGATGCCCAGGGCTGGAAAGGTGGGGCTGGGGCCCGCTCCTGCCGGCAGGCCGGCTTCCTGGGACGCCTCTTCCTGGCCACCCACCAGGCCCCGGCCCAGCGGGGGCCGCACGTCCGGCCGCGTCAGTCCCGCCAGGAGTTTGAGCAGCGCCTCCTGCGGGACCTTGCAGCCTCAGCCCTTCATGCCGGAGAAGCCCGTCAGCCGCCAGCTCGGGCTGAGGCCCAACGCCTGGGGCTCGAAGGGCCGGTAGTTCGAGAAGCTCCGGCCCAGAGTCAAGCCCGCCGGGCCCGAGGAGCCTTCCGCCGCTGCCATCGCCTCTCCGCAGGCGCCCGTCGCCGAGGCTTCCGCCATGGCGCCTGCCCGGCAGGGAAGCGAGAGGAGAAGAGGGCCCTTTTATTTTCCACTCAGATTAATATGAAGCAAAAGTCAAATATTACCTGCAGGGATTCTCCCTAGCGCTACTCAAGCCGTCAGACCCACGGCATGCACAATCTTCCTGATAGAGGAGCCGCCGGACTCCCTTATTTATAGCCCTGGCGATTGACAGCCGCAACATCCAATGACGACTCCGCCACCGAGAGGCGGGCTTCCTAGACTCTAAAAGGTGCAACAACCTCCGGCTTGCAAAACCGCTTGCAACGGGATTGCAGAACGTCACGTGCTTTCCTTCGCTCTCTTAGTAATTTAAATGGTTTCTTGGCAGTGGCTGACGGAACTCTGCTCCCTTCCAGTCACTTTTCCAAGTCCAGCAAATTGTAGACGAGGGAAGATTGGTCACTCGGCAAACCTCATGATCGGCAGGATTGTCCCAAAGGTCACTTGACAGCGCACATGATCGATCCAGGATGGCAAAATAGCCCAAGGGAAAAAACAGAAAGCATGAGAAATTAGAAATTAAACTACTACCATTAAGTTAGCAAACTGCAGGCAGCATCAATATAATGAAATGTTAACAGGAACTTCAAGAACTCTAGGACTCAGGAGGTCGAGGCTGCAGTGAGCTGCGTCCGCGCCACTGCACTCTAGTCTGGGCGACAGAGCAAGAACCTGTCTCTAAAACAAACAACAATAACAAACAAACAAACACCCCCCCCACACACACAGACACACACAAAAAGAGAGATTTAGGACTGGAAGTCCAGACACCTGCATGGATTCTAATGGTGTTTCCCACCAGCTTTGTGTGGAGTCACTCTCCGCGTCGGTTGACTCATCCATCTGTGGAACAGAGTGGGTTACATAGGACTGGTCTATTCTAAAATTCCTATATCTCTGTAAATAAATATATATATATATCTTATATAGCCATGAAGGGCAGTTTGCCAATATCTATTAAAAACTCCACCTCCCAGGTTCAAGTGATTCTCCTGCTTCAGCCTCCTGAATAGCTGGGATTACAGGTGTGCGCCACCACACCCGGCTTATTTTTGCGTTTTTAGTACAGACGGGATTTCACCACGTTGGCCAGGCTGGTCTCAAACTCCTGACCTCAAGTGATCTGCTGGCCTCGGCCTCCCAAAGTGCTGGGATTACAGGCATAAGCCACCACACCCAGCCAATAAAAACTTTTTTAAAAGACAAGAAAATGAATAGAAGACTCAGCATAGGGGCTATGTCTAGGGAGGGCTACATAGGGAGCTTCTGGGCTATGTTTAATTCTGTTCATTGGGCTGGTGGTGGGTACGTGGTACATGGTTGTTCTTTAAACTGTACATAGATATTTTCGGGGCCGGGCACAGTGGCTCACACCTGTAATCCCAGTACTTTGGGAGGCCGAGGCGGGTGGATCACGAGGTTGGGAGATCGAGGCCAGCTTGATCTATATGGTGAAACCCCGTTTCTACTAAAAATACAAAAATTAGCCGGGCATGGTGGTGAGCGCCTATAATCCCAGCTACTCGGGAGGCTGAGGCAGGAGAATTGCTTGAACTTGGGAGGCAGAGGTTGCAGTGAGCCAAGACTGCACCACTGCACTCCAGCCTGGGTGAAAGAGCGAGACTCTGTCTCAAAAAAAAAAAAAAAAAAAACTGCACATAGATATTTTCCCACACTATTTTTGTAGGTATGCTATATTTCAGAATTTAAAAAACATGCAAAAAGAAAGCATGATGGAGTGGGAAAATACAGTGAAAGCAAAAGACCTTGTATGATGTCTGCATTGCTGTCAGTGAGCTGGCTGACCTTGAGGAAGTGATCTAGCCTCTCTGCACCTTAGTCTTCTCTTCTGTTAAACCAGGGTCACAATCTCTGCTTAGGATCTAGTGGAAGGGCCATAGGAAACCTCAGCTGAAAAGTGTTTTGCAAAATGTTAAGCCTATTGTACAGGGAAAGGATCCTCATATCTCTAAGGGAAAGAGGAAAACATTGTATTATGTCTGTAATCACCTCACCTGAGTTAAAAAGTGACTAGGTCAGGTGGTGCTGGTTATACATTCTCTTAGTTCTTTGGACTTCTCCCTCTCTGCACTTAGTACAATTTGCAATTCTTTTTTTTGTTTGTTTGTTTTTTGAAATGGAGTCTCGCACTGTCACCCGGGCTGGAATGCAGTGGTGCGATCTCGGCTCACTGCAACCTCCACCTCCCGGGTTCAAGCAGTTCTCCTTCCTCAGCCTCCCAAGTAGCTGGGATTACAGGCACCCGCCACCACAACCAACGAATGTTTTGTATTTTTAGTGAGACAGGGTTTCACCATGTTGGCCAGAATGGTCTTGATCTCTTGACCTCATGATCCGCCCCCTTCGGCCTCCCAAAGTTCTGGGATTACAGGCATGAGCCACCGCGCCTGGCCCTGTAATTCTTTAATCATGTGATAATGCCATGCCTATCTGTCTGGCCCCCTCGTTTGTAAGCTCTGCAGAGCAGGGGCTGCTCTGTTGTTTCTGTTTGTTTGTTTTGTTTTGTTTTGAGACAGAGTTTTGCTTTTGTCACCCAGGCTGGAGTGCAGTGGCTTGACCTCAGCTCACTGCAACCTCTGCCTCCCAGGTTCAAGCGATTCTCCTGCCTCAGCCTCCCGAGTAGCTGGGATTATAGGCACCTGCCACCATGCCTGCCTAATTTTTGTATTTTTAGTAGAGATGGGGTTTCACCATGTTGGCCAGGCTGGTCTCGAACTCCTGACCTCAGGTGATCCTCCTGCCTCAGCCTCCCAAAGTGCTGGGATTACAGGCATGAGCCACTGCACCTGGCTGAGGGGCCTCCTTGATAATACTCATAACCTCTACTCCATGCCCTTCTAGGAAGCAGAGGTCTTTGGGGGAAGGTTTTCATCCATACAGTTCCCTGTTGCTTCTACTTGGAGCAATATTCACTTGGGCCAGTGCAAAGAAAGTCACGAATTTGCCTTGGCCAGTGACCAACCTGCTGTGCTCAGAATGACACATGCATGTGCCTCTGTGCAGGTGACCCATAGGGGCCTCTCAAGGGTGACCCTGAGGGCTGCAGCCTCAGCACCTGGAAGCATTCCTTTTGTTCTTTTCTTATTTCTCACTGAGAGATCCATTGAGCTATGTTTTACTATTTGTGGCCGAGCGCAGTGGCTCACGCCTGTAATACCAGTACTTTGGGAGGCCAATGTGAGCGGATCACCTGAGGTCAAGAGTTCGAGACCAGCCTAGCCAATATGGCGAAACCCTGTCTCTACTAAAAATACAAAAATTAGCCGGGCATGGTGGTGCATGCCTGTAATTTCAGCTACTCAAGAGGCTGAGGCAGGAGGATAACTTGAACCCAGGAGGCGAAGGTTGCAGTGAGCAGAGATCGCACCAATGCACTCCAGTCTGGGTGCCAGAGTGAGACTCCATCTCAAAAAAAAAAAAAGAACAAGAAGACCTCGCTTGAGCCTGGGAGTTCAAGTTCAAGGTGACAGTAAGCTATGGATTGCGCCACTGCACTCCAGGTTGGGAAAAGAATAACAGGATTGGAGTCCTAGCCCCTGGTTTGCTTTTCACATACAACAACAGCATTTGGGTCAGGTATGTGGCCCAATTGTGATAATCATTTGGGGTTATAACACTACACTTGAAGGATCAGTACATCTAAAAAATTCTTATTTTTTACTGTGGTAAAATATACATACCTTTAGTACACTATTCCCATTTCCCCCTTTTTTTTTTTGAGACAGGGTCTTGCTGTGTCACCCCAGCTGGAGTGCAGTGGTTTAATCATAGCTCACTGCAGCCTTGACCTCCTGGGCTCAAGCAATCCTCCCACCCCAGCCTCCCAAGTAGCTGGGACTACAGGTGCACACCACCACTCCTGCTAAATTTTTGTAGAGATAGGGTCTTGATATGTTTCCCAGGCTGATCTCCAACTCCTGGGCTCAAATGATCCACTCACCTGAGCCTCCCAAAATGCTGGGATTACAGGTGTGAACTACAACACCCGGCCCCATTTTTTTTCTTATTGTAAAATCATTCTGTTGTCATTGTAGAAAAATCACAAAATACAGCTTCGTAAAAAGGAGGAATGTTAAAACGACTTGAAATCCCATTTCCCAAAGAGAAATCCTTGGGATACCTTAATGGATGGTGTTTTAAACATTTTCCACCTACACGCATCACCCTCCAGGGGGCGCCCTGTCACCCTCCGCCCTGTGGGGAACCCTGCCCTGTGTGCTGTGTATGTATGTTTTTTTTTAAATTAGCAAAAATGGGATAATCTCATTTATTTATTTATTTTATTATTTTTTGGTGAGACGGAGTCCCACTCTGTCGCCCAGGTTGGAGTGCAGTGGCACAATTTTGACTCACTGCAACCTCCGCGCCCCAAGTTCAAGCGATTCTCCTGTCTCAGCCTCCTGAGTAGCTGGGATTACAGGTGCCTGCCACCATGCCCAGCTAATTTTTTGTATTTTTAGTAGAGATGGGGTTTCACCATGTTGGCCAGGCTGGTCTCGAACTCCTGACCTCAGGTGATCCGCCCACCTTGGCCTCCGAAAGTGCTGGGGTTACAGATGTGAGCCACCGCGGCCAGCATCATTTTTTCTAGTAAGAAATAAAATAATGGTTAAAAATTACCTGAGATACCTGGTTATAGATGCTCAACACTCCCTGGGTTCATTCACAAATACTTACTGAAGACCTCCTCTGTGCCAGCCACTGTGCTAGACCCGGGGATACAGCAGTGAACACAACAGACAAAATTGTCTCACAGCAGTGAGCCAAGATCATGCTACTGCACTCCAGCCTGGGCAACAAGAGCAAAATTCCGTCTCAAAAAAAAAAAAAAATTCAAGAGGTTTGGAACCTCTGAAGTGTCCTTCCCACAGTCTGAGCCTGCACTACCTTGGCTCAGCATCTGAATGAGTGCCCCCATTGCCGGTCCCTGACCTCGCCCTGACCCTGACCCAGGCCCGGCATGGCCTCAGTTCCCAAGCCCCACTTCCCCTGGACTTGCCTGTGGGACTTAAGAGTAGCAGGCTCTGCCTCAGAAGACTTGAGAGATGACACCTATGGCCACCACCCTCACACCTTCATCAGCTGCCACCATCCCAAGTGACAGAAAGCTTCATCTTTGTATCTGGGGCAAATGTGAGAAGGCCTAGTGCATCATCTCTTGCCAAAAAAGCAAGAGAGCTATGCCTGGTGGGGCAAGCCTGTAGTCCCAGCTAGTTGGGAGGCTGAGGCAGGAGGATCACTGGAGTCCAGGACTTCAAGGCCATGGTGTGCTATGATGGCACCTGTGAATGGCCACTGCACTCCAGCCCAGGCAACACAGTGCTGCTCTCAATTGCCCTTTGGAATGGCTGTTTCTCTGCCCAAGAAACACTATTATCTTCAAGAGGAAGTCTCTCCTCTGTGATCTCATACCCTGGTCTTTCCTCTGTTCTAGCATTTACCATTCTGGGTTTTCTGTGACACCTGTGAGCCCTACAGCTGGAACCCCGCTTCACTGGTCTCCATGTGCCCAAGGCTTAGCATGGGGTCTGGTACAAAGAATGTCTTTTTTTTTTTTTTTTTTTTTTTGAGACGGAGTCTCGCTCTGTCGCCCAGGCTGGAGTGCAGTGGCACGATCTCGGCTCACTGCAACCTCCGCCTCCCAGGTTCAAGCGATTCTCCCGCCTCAGTCTCCCCAGTAGCTGGGACTATTTTTAGTAGAGATGGGGTTTCATCATGTTGTCCAGGTTGGTCTCGAACTCCTGACCTCAAGTGATCCGCCAGCCTCGGCCTCCCAAAGTGCTGGGATTACAGCCGTGAACTACCGCGTCTGGCCAAAAATTAATTATTATTATTATTATTTTTTTTTTTAGACGGAGTCTTGCTCTGTAGCCCAGTCTGGAGTGCAATGGCATGATCTCGGCTCACTGCAACCTCTACCTCCTGGGTTCAAGTAATTCTCCTGCCTCAGCCTCCTGAGTAGCTGGGATTACAGGCGCCTGCCACCTCGCCCAGCTAATTTTTGTATTTTTAATAGAGACAGGGTTTCGCCATGTTGGCCAGGCTGGTCTCAAACTCCTGACCTCAGGTGATCCGCCTGCCTCGGCCTCCCAAAGTGCTAGGATTATAGGCATGAGCCACCGCACCCAGCCAATTAATTTTTTAAAAAAGAGATTAAGTCTCTCACCCATGCTGCACTCACCCGGGCTGGAGTGCAGTGGTGCAATCACAGTTCACTGCAGCCTGGAACTCCTGGGCTCAAGCAATCCTCCTGCCTTATCTTCCCACCATGCCAAGCTTATCTCAAATCCGTTATTAATTTTTTTTATTTTAAAAGTAATATGTGCTCTTTATTTGAAAACAAACATTATGGAGATATATACACAGCCAGCCCTTTGTATCTGTGAGTTTCATGTCCGTGCATTCAACAAATCATGCATTGAAAATGATTATAAAAGGAAGAATGAATGGTTACCTCTGCACTGAACATGTACAGACTTTTTTCTTGTAATTATTTTCTAAACAATACAGTGTTCCAATGATTTACATGCCATTTACATTGTATTAGGTATTATAAGTAATCTAGAAATGATGTGTGTAGATTACATACAAATACTATGCCATTTTATATAAGGGGCTTGAGCATCTGTGGAACTTGTTATTTGCAGGGCTTCCTGGAATCAATCCACCATTGATATGGGAGGGACGACTGTGTATATCAATATCAATATCAATATCAATATCATTGCACATGGAAGGTTCCCAAAACCTCATCTCTTCTGCGCTCTATAAATAAGACATCTCTAAAATCTAGAAATAACTGTGCAGAGTTCCTCACACCAATTTGTTTTAAAGTATACCTAACAAATGTTTAGTAGGCAGAGATGTGGAAGTGAGAGGCTGAGAAAAAACAGATTTCCTGCCTAACAGATAAACGAGATGTGACACACACTGTTTTGTATCTTGATTTTTTTCTGCTTACATTATCATAACAATCTTTCTATGCTAGCACATGTAAATCTACCTTTTTATTTTGGGGACAGGGTCTGGTTTTGTTGCCCAGGCTGGAGGGCAGTGGCGTGACCTCAGCTCACTGCAACCTCCGCCTCCTGGGCTGAAATGATCCTCCCACGTCAGCCTCCCTGTAGCAGGACGAGCCACAGACAAAACTCCTCAGACACCGAGTTAAAGAAGGAAGGGGTTTATTCGGCTGGGGGGCATCGGCAAGACTCCTGTCTCAAGAGCCAAGCTCCCCGAGTGAGCAATTCCTGTCCCTTTTAAGGGCTCACAACTCTAAGGGGGTGTGCGTGAGAAGGTCGTGATCGATTGAGCAAGCAGGGGGTATGTGACTGGGGGCTGCATGCACCGGTAATTAGATCGGAACAAAACAGGATAAGGATTTTCACAGTGCTTTTCTATAGAATGTCTGTAATATATAGATAACATAACCGATTAGGTCAGGGGTTGATCTTTAACTACCAGGCCCAGGGTGTGGTGCCGGGCTGTCTGCTTGTGGATTTCATTTCTGCCTTTTAGTTTTTACTTTTTCTTTCTTTGGAGGCAGAAATTGGGCATAAGATAATATAAGGGGAGGTCTCCTCCCTTTCCCCGAGTAGCTGGAACCACAGGCATGCACCACCATACCCAGCTAATTTTTGTATCTTTTGCAAAGATGGGGTTTTGTCACGTTGCGGAAGCTGGTTTCAAACTCCTGGGCTCAGGCGAACTGCTCACTTTGGCCTCCCAAAGTGTTGGGATTACAGGCATGAACCACTGTGCCCAGTCGATATTTTGTTAAAGGATGGATAATATTCTATGAAATTGATATATTTAATTGATTTAACCAACTTATTGTTGGATATTTCATTTGTCTTGTCTTCTTCCTCTTTTTTTTTAATTAAAAGATTTCCTTGGTCAGGTGTGGTGGTTCATGCCAAGTAATCCCAACACTTTAGAAGACTGAGATGGGAGGATTGCTTGAGCTTAGGAGTTTGAGACCACCCTGGGCAACATGGCTAGACCCCTGTCTCTACAAAAAATAAAATTAGCTGGGCATGTGATACATGCCTGTGGTCCCAGCTACTTGGGAGGCTGAGGTGGGAGGATCACTGCAGTGAACCAAGATTGTGCCACTGCACTCCAGCCTGGGTGACAGAATAAGACCCTGCATTAAAAAAAAAAAAAAAAAAAAAGATTTCCTGGAACATGCATTTGCATTGATTGAATGATTGCTTGATTGATTGATTTTAGGCTAGTCAGGTGAAGCAGTGGGAGCGGAGAAAGACACAGGAATCTGTAACTGGTTGTGATCAATTCGCTGTAAACACCACTGCACTCGGGCCAGCCCCTTTTGCCTTTATTCTGAGGCATCAGATGTCCTAAAAGTTGAAGCAGGTATTCCCCGTGGGGTGATCAGAGGACTTGGGAATTTGTCTTATGGGGGAATATTAGTTATAACTAAGGATGTTCAGCCAGAAAGAGAGAAGACTAAGAGGTGACATGAGCCCTGTCCAAATTTCTGAAGGAGCTTCCAGGTGTGGAATGGAACAGACTCGTCCTGGGCATTTCCACAGGTCAGAGCCACCTCTCAGCATGGGAGTCACAGGGAAGCATTTCCTATAGGCAGAGCTGCAATGCATCTCTGTGGGAAGTTGTGAGCATCCTGTCTGAAGGTGCGTAAGCAGGGCTGGCTGAACACTTAGTGAGAGGGAATAGAGACAGGACTTGTGTGAGGCAGGGGAGCGTTGGATTAGATGATATTTGGGGTCCTTTCAAATCTGACATTTTATTACTACACTTCTAGTTGATGTCTCACGCGTCCATGTGAAGAAACCACCAAACAGGCTTTGTGTGAGCAACAAGGCTGTTTATTTCACCTGGGTGCAGGCGGGCTGAGTCCGAAAAGAGAGTCAACAAAGGGTGGTGGATTATCATTAGTTCTTACAGGTTTTGGGATGGGGGTGAAGAGCCATGTTTTGCGGGCAGGGGTGGATCTCACAAAGTACATTCTCAAGGGTGGGGAGAATTACAAAGAACCTTCTTAAGGGTTGGGGAGATTACAAAGTACCTTCTTAAGGGTGGGGGAGATTACAAAGTACATTGAACAGTTAGGGTGGGGCAGAAACAAATCACAATGGTGGAATGTCATCAGTTAAGGCTATTTTCACTTCTTTTGTGGATCTTCAGTTGCTTCAGGCCATCTGGATGTATATGTGCAGGTCACGGTATGATGGCTTAGCTTGGGCTCAGAGGCCTGACAGTTGAAGGTATCATAAAAGGTGACCCGGAGAAGTTGGCCCAATGCCTTAGAGGCCTGGGGATATTTTGGCAAGTGGTGATGGGGGATGTGTTTTCCAGGCGAAGGGAACAGGCTGATCAGAGAGACTGAGGAAGGGAAGCAGGGTGTGAGGCCAAAGAGAGAGACTGGGCCAAGCTATGGCACAAGATTGAACGTTACCGCAGGTGACAAATAATTTTGTTGTGTCTGCCTAGCACGACAACCTCCACATAAGAACTACTTCCTCAGCCAGATGAGGCGGCCGAGTGCTGGGTTTGCATGTAGGATATGACCCTGTTCCTTTGACCATAGGTTACCACAGGATGGACATTTGACTCCAGCTGGGCCAATCAGAGATCCTCCCTCCTAAGACCTAAGACTGTGGAAATTGAGACTTTAGCCTCCATGGTCATTCTTTTCTTTCTTTCTTTTTTTTTTTTGAGACAGGGTCTCGCTCTGTCTCACTGGCAGTGCCTGAGTGCAGTGCAGTGCAGTGCAGTGGCAAGATCTTAGCTCACTGCAACCTCCGCCTCCCAGGTTCAAGCGATTCTCCTGCCTCAGCCTCCCAAGTAGCTGGGACTACAGGCGCCCACCACCCCTGGCTAATTTTTGTATTTTTAGTAGAGATGGGGTTTCACCATGTTGGCCAGGCTGGTCTCAAACTCCTAACCTCAAATGATCCACCCACCTTGGCCTCCCAAAGTGCTGGGATTACAGGCATGAGCCACTGCGCCCGGGTGTCCATGGTCTTTCAATTAAGTAAATGCAAAGTTGGGAACTGACGTTGCCACTGAAGGGCAGTTATCTTCACTGTGTGTTGAAGAGGAGAAAGTAGCCTGTAGAGAGAGGGAGAATGGAGGGATGTGGGGGCCTCCTCCAGCCGCCCAGGAGACCTGATGTCTTTGGGTTCCTCTAAGGGTTTTTTTGATAGCCCTTAAATTATTGGGGTATTGTTTGTTTGGTTATTTGTTTGTTTTTTGAGACAGGGTCTGGCTCTGTCACCCAGGCTGGAGTGTAGTGGTATGATTATAGTTCCCTGCAGCCTCAGCCTCCTGGGCTCAAGGGATCCTCCTGCCTCAGCCTCCTGAGTAGCTGGGACTGCAGGCGAATGCCACCATGTGCGGCTACAAATTATTCTTTTAGTTCTAGCCAGCTCTCCGGGGCTCCTCCGACTTGCCACAGTATGAGCTTTGGCCAAGAACTTCCAAAATAATAGGGAGCCATCCAGGGTTTTGAAGGGAGTCATCCACGGCTCCCCAGTGAGCTTCAGGAATATTTAGCTGGAGGAGGAGTGGCATAAGGGGCTGAGAGGAGTCCAGCAGCTAGTGAAGCCAGCAGGAGGCCTTCGTAATCATTCAGCTATTAGAGGTGCTATTGGAGATGATTAGAAAGATGCTGTAGGAATTCCCCTAAACACTTTAGCTCCTTACACCATGTAAACACATCAGTCAGCAACAGGTTTCTGTTTGATTTGTTTTCTTTTTCTTTCTTTCTTTTTCTTTTTCTTTTTTTGAGATGGGGTCTTGCTCTGCTCAGCCCAGGCTGGATCACCACTCACTGCAGCCTCAAGCTCCTGGGCTCAAGGGATCCTCTCATCTCAGCCTCCTGAGTTGCTAGGACTACAGATGTGTGCCACCATGCCTGGCTAATATTTTTATTTTTTGTAGAAATGGGGACTCACTACATTGCCCACAAGCTGGTCTTGAGCTCTCGGCTTCAAGCCATCCCACCTTGGCCTCCCAAAGCCCTGGGAATACAGGCATGAGCCACTGCACCCGGCCAAGGAACAAAGTCTTAGTCATCCTTGGGGAGTAGTGACACTGCCTGTGGCATGGTGGCTATTATTCAAGTGTGTTTCTGGCTCAGCCTCCCTGAATATAAATCTGGGTTCAAGAGGCAGACGGAGAGAGAAAGAAGAATCGGTAAAAACTGAAAGAGCTAGCCGGGCAAGGTGGCTCATACCTGTAATTCTAGCACTTTGGGAGGCTGAGGGAGGCGGATCACTTGATGTCAGGAGTTCGAGGCCAGCCCGACCAACATGGTGAAACCCTGTTTCTTCTGAAAATACAAAAATTAGAGGGCGTGGTGTCACATGCCTGTAGTCCCAGCTACTCGGGAGGCCGAGACAGGAGAATTGCTTGAACCTGGGAGGCTGAGGTTGCAGTGAACTGATACCGCACCACTGCACTCCAGTCTGGGTGACAGAGCAAGACTCCATCTCAAAACAAACAAACAAACAAAGAAACAAGACAGAAACAGCTACTTCGCTAGCCTGTACACCCTGGAGCCCAAGCAATAGCTTTGGGACACCTTCTGCATGATGCAAAGCAGAGAGAGAGCCCTTCTCCCCAGCTCTGCCACAGCTCCTTCAGCCCTGGCACATCCAGGGCTCAGGGCCAAAAGCAAGGGGAATGGCTGTGTCTGAGGTCAGACTATAGAACAGCAGCCAAGGGGCAAAAGCCTGGAGCAGCTCACACTCCAGGGAGAGGAGTGGAGTACCAGTGAGATAGTGCTGGAGGCTTTCTGCAAGAACTCAGGTTTGCAGGAAGCTAGGGAACCTGGAATGGCAGGTGGAGGCAATGAGGCCACAGCATGGGTATGTGAAAGTTAATATGATGCTATTTGAACTCACAGGTTGGTGAGTTCTGTAGAGGTGCGAGCTATATATATACAGAAGGAGGCCCGAGGCCCAGAGAGAGGAATACCTTCATCCACATTATTTGTTTGTTTTTTGTTTTTTATTTTGAGACACAGCCTTGCTCTGTTGCCCAGGCTGGAATGCAGTCAAGTGATCTCTGCTCACTGCAACCTCCACCTCCTGGGCTCAAGCGATTCTCATGCCTTAGCCTCCTGAGAAGCTGGGATTACAGGCATCTGCCACCACGCTGAGCTAATTTTGTATTTTTAGTAGAGACAGGGTTTAACCACACTGGCCAGGCTGGTCTCGAACTTTTGGCCTAGGTGATTCGCCTTTCTTAGCCTCTCAAAGTGCTGGGATTACAGGTGTGAGCCACCGTGCCCAGCCCATTCATCGACATTAAAGGCAAGAGAGTGTTGCCCATATCTGGTTCCCAGGTCTCTGGCCCTCAACTATATGCTCGTTTGCAAACACACACACACACACACACACACACACGCACAAACACACACACACACATCAACCATCCACTTAGAGGCTGGAAATGAAGCCTCTGGAGTGAGCTCACCCAGTGACAACAGATCCTATGGACTGCATATGAACACCCCCAAGAGAAGCCATCCTTCCAAAATCCTACCTGTGGTGCGTTCAGCTCAGCCCTTCCTCAGAAAATCCAGGTTGAGTTTCTAGAACTTTAGTTTTTATTTATTTATTTATTTATTTATTTATTTATTTATTTGAGACGGAGTTTTGCTCTGTCACCGAGGCTGTAGTGCAGTGACGCGATCTCAGCTCACTGCAACCTCTGCCTCCCGGATTCAAGCAATTCTCCTGCCTCAGCCTCCCGAGTACCTGGGACTATAGGTGCCCACCACCACGCCTGGCTAATTTTTTTGTATTTTTAGTAGAGACGGGGTTTCATAATGTCGGTCGGGCTGGTCTTGAACTCTTGACCTCAAATGGTCCACGCGCCTCGGCCTCCCAAAGTGCTGGGACTACAGGCGTGAGCCACTGTGCCCGGCCTTGAGTTTCTAGAACTTTGGAATGCCCAGACCCACCTACCATGAGATCACAAGGGCCTTGGAATATGATGGTGGCCTCCAAGCTCCACCCATCGTAAGCTCCCACCACCACCTTAGAAACCGCTCGCTTGAGGTGCAGCCTCCCCTTAACCTCTTGGCAGGTGGGAAGAAGGGGAAGGAGCAGTGTGGTGACCCACAAACATCTGTCAGAGCCATCCTAACCGAAGTGGCCTTTGTCACGCACCCAGGAGGAAGTGGTGGGTGGGGAGCCAGGCTGGCGCAGAGAGCAGTAGCTGTCAGTGAGGCAGCGCCTTCCCCAGCAAGGCCTCTGTGAAGCTGCAGACAGACCTTTAGCCCTGAGCCCTCCAGGGACTGGAGGCAGCCAGGCCTGGTGGACTAGCGTGGGGCAGGGAAGCCCTAGCCTATTTCTCCAGCCCGAGCCCTGCTGCCGGCTCCATATCCATGGCCCATTTGTCCCAAGTGTACCCAGCAGCCTCCTGCTGCCACACCCCAGCTTACTCTACTTTTTTTTCTTTTTTTGAGGCAAGGTCTCATTCTGTCACTCGGGGGGGTGCAGTGGCGCTATTTCGGCTCACCACAGCCTTGACCACCGCAGGCTCAGGAGACCCTCCCACTTCAGCCTCCTGGGTAGCTGGACCACAGGCACATGCCACCACAGCCACCTAATTTAAAAAATTTTTTTCTTCGTAGAGAAGGGGTTTTGCCATTTTGCCCAGGCTTACCCAAGATTTTATTCATTTGATTCATTTAAAAGCCACAAGAGGCCAGGAATGGTGGCTCACGCCTGTAATCCCAGCACTTAAGGAGGCCAAGGCAGGTGGATCACCTGTCAGGAGTTTGAGAACAGCCTGGACAACATGGTGAAACCCCGTCTCTACTACAAATACAAAAAATTAACTGGGCATGGTGGTGCGCGCTACTCGGGAGGCTAAGGCAGGGGAATCGCTTGAAACCAGGAGGCGGAGTTTGCAGTGACCCGAGATCGTGCTACTGCAGTCCAGCCTGGGTGACAGAGCGAGACTCTGTCTCGAAATAAAAATAAAAAAATAAGTAAAAGCCAAAAGAGAGAAAGGTTCAGTAGGAAAGTATGTGGACTGGGACTAGAGGGGCCATGAGGAATGGAGGCAGCTCTGCAAGTTATTGCTGTTGTTGTTTTTTTTTTTTTCTTAAGGTAATTTAACAGAAATGTTTAGTTTAATGGCATAATTAAAAACCAACCAACCAATCAACTTTCTCTTCTACCTATGGAAAGAACAATAAAAATAAATCAAGGACTTTAAAAAATTTAAAAATAAAGCGGCCGGGCACGGCGGCTCATGCCTGTAATCCCAGCACTTTGGGAGGCCGAGGCGGGCGGATCACGAGGTCAGGAGATCGAGACCATCCTGGCTAACATGGTGAAACCCTGTCTCTACTAAAAATACAAAAAATTAGCCAGGCGTGGTTGCAGGCGCCTGTAGTCCCAGCTATTCGGGAGGCTGAGGCAGGAGAATGGCCTGAACCTGGGGGGCGGAGCTTGCAGTGAGCCGAGATCGCGTCACTGCACTCCAGCCTGGGCGACAGAGCGAGACTCCGTCTCAAAAATAAATAAATAAATCAATTTAAAAATAAATCAAGGACTTCTAGATCTTTTGCATAAAACAGCTTAAAAAGAGAAGGGGTTGCCGGGTGCGGTGGCTCACACCTATAATCCCCAGCACTTTGGGAGGCCGAGGCGGGCGGATCATGAGGTCAGAAGTTCAAGACCAGCCTGACCAACATGGTGAAACCCTGTCTTTACTAAAAATACAAAAATTAGCTGGGTGTGGTGGTGTGCACCTGTAATCCCAGCTACTCAGGCGGCTGAGGCAGGGGAATCGCTTGAACCTGGGAGGCGGAGGTTGCAGTGAGCCGAGATTGTGCCACTGCACTCCAGCCTGGGTGGCAGAGCGAGACTCTATCTCAAAAAAAATTAAATAAATAAATAGAGAGGAAGGGGAAGGGGAGGGGGCGCAACTGTTGCTAATGGAATGCTATAATGCACAAAGTCAAGGATTTAATAAATTCTAAAACTCTCTACATGAATTAGTGATAACCATATTATTAGAAATATAAATGCATAGAATATAAAGTATATGGTATTAAAAACAGACCTTGCTAATATAAACATATATAAAGTATGTCACTTCTCTTGTAATAACAGTATAACGATTGATCTACAGTTTGCCCTTTGCCTGGTACTCTTAAACCACTCCCCTGATGGTCAACGTTGACATTGGATCAACAGCTGCTGAACTCAGGAGACCCCACAGATGTCTAGATTCAGCACCTGGGGGCCCCACGTACCCTCTATGCTGTGTGTTCCCATGACTCCAGAAATAATTAATTGCAATTTGCATTGTCAAGTCCACAGGCAAGTTTGAAATCTAGCTAGAAGTAGCAACAAAGGCAAAATAAGCTGGAGTTTGTTAGAAAAGCAATGAGAAGTTTTCTTAAAATGCTTCCAGTTCAAGTCAGAATTAAGGTAAACATCAGGTCCCACCAGCTTTGCAGAGCTG
The DNA here is from genome assembly GCF_000001405.40 of Homo sapiens. Taxonomy (NCBI): domain Eukaryota; kingdom Metazoa; phylum Chordata; class Mammalia; order Primates; family Hominidae; genus Homo; species Homo sapiens. The sequence continues at coordinate 30,461,247 of NC_000016.10, forward strand.
TAGATGTTTTGTTCTTTCAAAAAAAAAAAAAAAAAGAATCTATAATAAGCATGTTTGGCCTGGCATGGTGGCTCATGCCTGTAACCCCAGCACTACTTTGGGAGGCCAAGGCGGGCGGATCACCTGAGGTCAGGAGTTTGAGACCAGCCTGACCAACATGGTGAAACCATGTCTCTACTTGAACCCGTGCCTCAGCCTCCCAAGTAGCTGGGACTACAGGCTTGAGCCACCATGCCTGGTGAATTTTTTAATTTTTTATTTTTAGTAGAGACAGGAATATAAATTAGTATAACCACTATGGAGAACAGTTTGGAGGTTCCTCAAAAACTAAAAATAGAGCTACCATATGATTCAGCAATCTCATACAGAGCATATACCCAAAAGAAAGACAATCAGGGCCGGTCGTGGTGGCTCACACCTGTAATCCCAGCACGCTGGGAGGCTGAGCCAGGCGGATCACTTAAGGCTGAGGCAGGAGAATCACTTGAATCCAGGAGGCAGAGGTTGCAGTGGGCTGAGATTGGGCCATTGCACTCCAGCCTGGGTGACAGATGGAGACTCCATCTCAAAAAAAAAAAAAAAAAAGACAATCAGCCTATCAAAGAGATATGTGAACTCACACGTTTGTTGCAGCACTGTTTCCAATAGCTAAGATTTGGAAGGAACTTAAGTATCTATCAACAGATGAATGGATAAAGAAAATGTGGTTCAGGCCGGGTGTGGTGGCTCACACCTGTAATCCCAGCACTTCGGGAGGCCAAGGCAGATGGATCACTTGGGGTCAGGTGTTTCAGACCAGTCTGGCTAACATAATGAATCCCTATCCCTACTAAACATACAAAAATTAGCCAGGCATAGTGGCAGATGCTTGTAATCCCAGCTATATGGGAGGCTGAGGCAGGAGAATCACTTGAATCCAGGAGGAGGAGGTTGCAGTGAACCAAGATTGTGCCACTGCACTGCAGCCTGGGTGATGAAACAAGACCCTGTCACCCTGTCAAAAAAAAAAAAAAAAAAAAAGAATGAACAAGACCCACTATTTGCTAACACAACAGGGTGACTGTAGTCCACAATAACTTAACTGTACATTTCAATATAACTGAAAGAGTGTAATTGGATTGTTTAAAACATAAAGCATAAATGCTTGAAGGGATGGATATCCCATTCTCCATGATGTGATTATTTCACATTGCATACCTGTGTCAAAACATCTCACGTACCCCATAAATATATATACCTACTACATTCCCACAAAATTTGAAATAAAACTTTTTTTATAAAACTGCAACAACAGCTAGGTGCAGTGGCTCATGCCTGTAATCCCAGCACTCTGAGAGGCCGAGGCGGGCAGATCATCTGAGGTCAGGAGTTCAAGACCAGCCTGGCCAACATGGTGAAACCCTGTCTCTCTTAAAAACACAAAAATTAGCTGGGCGTGGTGGTGGGTGCCTGTAATCTCAGCTACTTGGGAGGCTGAGGCAGGAGAATCGCTTGAACCCAGGAGGTAGAACTTGCAGTGAGCCAAGACCACACCATTCCACTCCAGCCTGGGCAACAAGAGCAAAACTCTGTCTCAAAAAAATAAGAATGCAACAACATGGACGAATTTCAATGGCATTATGCTGAGTGAATGAAGCCAGGCACAAAAGGCTACAGACTATACGCCATGGTTTGAAGATGTCCCCCAAAAGCATGTGTTAAAAAAAGAATCCCCAATGCAACAGTGTTGGGAGGTGGGGCCTAATGGGAGGTGTTTAGGTCATGGAGGCTCTGCCTCCCTAAATAGATTAATGCTGATTATAAAGGGACTGGTGGGAGGCTGAGACAGAGAACTGCTTGAACCTGGGAGGCGGAGGTTGCGGTGAGCCAAGATCACACCACTGTACTCCAGCCTGGGCTACAGAGCAAGACTCTGTCTCAAAAAAAAAAAAAAAAAAAAAAAAAACGGGACTTAATGCTATGAGTTCAATCTCTTGTTTTTTTTGTTTGTTTGTTTGTTTTTTATTTTTCGTTTTTGTTTGGAATGCTGTCTCCTTCAAAAGATGTGATGTGATACCTTCTACTGTGGGATGACACAGCAAGAAGGCCCTCACCAGATGCAGGTCCTTCAGCCTTGGAATTCCCAGCCTCCAGAACCATAAGCCAAATAATAAATCTCTGTTCTTTATGAATTACCCAGTCTCAGGTATTCTGTCCGAGCAGCACAAAACAGACTAAGACCCTACATGATTCCTTTTTAGGCTATTCTGAAAAAGCAAAACTGTAGGAAAAGAGACAGATCAATAGTTGTCAGGGAGTTGGGGTAAATGGAAGAAATTTACTACTAAGTAGTAAAAAAGGGGCATTTGAGTGTGATGGAAATATTCTATATCTTGATTGTCATAGTGGTTAATCAACGGTATATATTTGTCAAAACTCATGAACTCTACTCTTTTAAACAGTGAATGTTAATAAGTGTAGATGATACATAAACAAATCTGGCTTTTAGTTTTTAATTTAATTTAATTTTTAAAAATAGAGATGAGGTCTCACTGTATTGCCCAGGCTGGTGTTGAACTCCTGGGCTCAAGTGATCCTCCCACCTCAGCCTCCGAAAGTGCTGGGATTACAGGTGTGAGCCACCACCCCCAGCCTAAATCTGGCTTTAAAGAGTCCTGGGAGATTTATGTATTTCAAAAATTAGATGGAGGGTTTTTGGTTTTCACTGTCTTGGTGGCTATGGGGATGCTCATTGTCCAAGCTGCCTGTTTCATTCTAAAGCAACGGTTCTACTCAAGGGATTTCATATCTTCATGTCCAGATTGGACACTGGAACCCGCCTTGCAGCCTCTAAATCCAGGGGTTTGGGATTCTGTCTCCAGACCTCCACACATCACCCTCCAGGACTGCCTCTTCCAGCACAGAGAGTCACAGACATTGATCGCCCTCACTTGCAGGACCAGAAGCATTCTTCAAGGCCCAGTCTCTGGGAATTTAGCCCTCTTGTTTTTCTTTGGCGGGGGGGCGGATGGAGTCTTGCTCCGTCGCCCAGGCTGGAGTGCAGTGGTGCAATCTCTGCTCACTGCAACCTCTGCTTCCTGATTCAAATGATTCTCTTGCCCCAGCCTTCCCAGTAGCTGGAATTACAGCCACGCAGCACCATACCCAGCTAATTTATATACATGTTTTAGTAGAGACGGGGTTTTGCTATGTAGGCCAGGCTGGTCTTGAACTCCTGACCTCAGGTGATCTGCCCACCTCGGCCTTCCAAAGTGCTGGGATTACAGGCATGAGCCACCATGCCCGGCCTAACCCTCTTCGTTCAACCCCTTCAGCCCATCCCTTTTGGACAATACAGCTCTTTGCTTCTAAGAATCTAGACCTTCAAGAGCAAAAGGCTCTTTTTTTTTTTTTGAGACAGAGTCTTGCTCTGTTGCTCAGGCTGGAGTGCAGTGGCGCGATCTCTGCTCACTGCACCCTCAGACTGCTGGGTTCAAGTGATTCTCCTGCCTCAGCCTCCCGAGTAGCTGGGATTACAGGCGCCCGCCACCACGCCAGGCTAATTTTTGTATTTTTAATAGAGATGGAGTTTTACCATGTTGGCCAGGCTGGTCTTGAACTCCTGACCTCATGATCTGCCTGCCTCAGCCTCCCAAAGTGCTGGGATTACAGGGGTGAGCCACTGTGCCCAGCAAAAGCAAAAGCCTCTTAACTCTCCTTAGGGGCAGGGGCAACCCCAAACATTTACTCATTCAGTAATACTTACTAATCATCTACTATGCTTCAGGCACTGTTTTAGGTCCTGGGGATAGACCAATGAAGAAAAACAAATAATAACAATACTTCCTCTGTGGAGTTTACATTCTAGTAGGAAAAATGGACAATAAACTGGACAGCAAAGTAAATTAGATCATATAGGGCCAGGCGCAGTGGCTCAGGCCTATAGTCCCACCACTTTGGGAGGCCAAGGCGAGCGGATCACCTGAGGTCAGGAGTTCGAGACCAGTCTGGGCAACATGGTGAAACCCTGTCTCTACTAAAAATACAAAAATTAGCCAGGCATGGTGGTGCGCACCTGTAATCCCAGCTGCTCTGGAGGCTGAGGTAGGAGAATTGCTTGAACTCCGGAGGTGGAGGTGGCAGTGAGCCAAGATCATGCCACTGCACTCCAGCCTGGGCATAAGAGTGAGACTCCATATAAAAAAAAAAAATAGATAGTACAGAAGGAGGCTATAAATGTAAAGGAGAAGCTGACATTCAAGCAGAGACTGAAAGGACACGAGGGTACAAGCCATGTATGAGGCTTTCTTTTTTTTTTTTTTTAAGATGGAGTCTAGCATTGTCACCAGGCTAGAGTGCAGTGGTGCGATCTCGGCTCACTGCAACCTCCACCTCCTGGGTTCAAGCAATTCTCCTGCCTCAGCCTCCCAAGGAGCTGGGATTACAGGCAAGCACAGTCATGCCCAGCTAAATTTTGTATTTTTAGTAGAGACAGGGTTTCATCATGTTGGCCAGGATGGTCTCGATCTCCTGACCTTGTGATCCGCCCACCTTGGCCTCCCAAAGTGCTGGGACTACAGGCATCAGCCACCGAGCCCGGCCATGTATGAGGCTTTCTTGGGAAAGAGCATTCAAGCAAGAGAACAGGCATGCTGGAATGATCACAGTCCAGGGCAGCAGCGTGACTGGTGAGGAGAGGGCCAGAGGGCCATGAAGTCAGAGAGAGAACGAGATCTCTGATGGGTTAAATCTCTGTAGGCCACAGTGAGAACTTTGGCTTGTATTTTGAGTGAAATATGGAGCCACTGGAGGATTTTTTTTTCCTTTTTTATAATTTTTCCTTTCAACTGTAGAGATGGGGATCTCACTATATTGCCCAGGCTGGTCTCAAATTCCTGGCCTGAGGTGCTCCTCCCACCTCGGCCTCCCAAAGTGCTGGAGTAACAGGTGTGAGCCACTGCCCCTGGCTACACTGGAGGGTTCTGAATAAGAAAGTGACATGATCTGGCTTTCCCCACCCCCATCCCTACCCGCTGTTTACTGATCCTCCCAGCCCCTAGCAACTGCCATTCTACTTTGTCTTTCTTTCTTTTCCTTCCTTCCTTCCTTTCATCTTTCTTTCTTTCATCTTTCTTTCCTCTTTTTCTTTCTTTCTTCCTTTCTCTGTCTCTCTCTGTCTCCCTTTCTTTCTTTCTTTCTTTCTTTCTTTCTTTCTTTCTTTCTTTCTTTCTTTCTTTCTTTCCTTCCTTTCTCTCTCTCTCTCTCTCTCTCTCTTTCTTTCTTTCTTGGGACAGAGTCCCACTCTGTTATCCAGGCTGGAGTGCAGTGACGCGATCTTGGCTCACTGCAATCTCCGCCTCCCAGGTTCAAGCGATTCTTGTGCCTCAGCCTCCCGAGTAGCTGGGATTACAAGCGTGTGCCACCATGCCCAGCTAATTTTTGTATTTTTAGTAGAGACAGGGTTTTACCATGTTGTCCAGGCTGGTCTCGAACTCCTGACCTCAAGTGATCTACCCGCCTCGGCCTCCCAATGTGTTGGGATTACAGGCATGAACCACCATGCCCAGCCTTGCTTATTTTAAATCTGAAAACATAATATGATAAAAACGTATAAGCTTGCCTGCTGAAAATTAAACCCTAATTCAAGTCTAAATTTTGAAGATGGCTTGAGGGAAAACCTTCACACAGGAGATGGCTGACTTAGCCATTAATTCTCAGATGTTCTGTGGTGAGATAATTACAGTTTTTCCAAACAGGTCAAACCTGTATGGTTAACTAATAGAACTAATTTTTTTTCTTTTCTTTCTTTCTTTCTTTTTTTTTTTTTTTTGAGACAGAATCTCCCTCTGTTGTTCAAGCTAGAGTGCAGTGGCTTGATCTTGGCTCACTGCAATCTGTGCCTCCCAGGTTCATGTGATTCTCCTGCCTCAGCCTCCTGAGTAGCTGGGATTAGCGCGTGCCACAATGCCTGGCTAATTTTTGTATTTTTAGTAGAGATGGGGTTTCACCATGTTGGCCAGGCTGGTCTCGAACTCCTGACCTCAGGTGAGCCGCCCACCTCGGCCTCCAAAAGTGTTGGGATTACAGGCATGAACCACAGTGCCTGGCCTAAGTTTTTTTTATTCATGAAAAATATATGGCTTCAATTGTTAACAATGATTCCTCTTGGGATTTAGGGATGGGCGGTGGACACTAAAACAATGCTTGGGGCCGGGCACGGTGGCTCACGCCTGTAATCCCAGCACTTGGGGAGGCCGAGGTGAGTGGATCACGAGGTCAGGAGATCGAGACCATCCTGGCTAACATGGTGAAACCCCGTCTCTAGTAAAAATACAAAAAATTAGCTGGGCTTGGTGGCGGGCACCTGTAGTCCCAGCTACTCGGGAGGCTGAGGCAGGAGAATGGTGTGAACCCGGGAGGCGGAGCTTGCAGTGAGCTGAGATCACACCACTGCACTCCAGCCTGGGTGACAGAGCGAGACTCCGTCTCAAAAAAAAAAAAAAAAAACAATGCTTATCCTTCTTTACACATTCCATAGTGTTTGAATCTAAAAACTTATACTCTTTTTGTAATTTCAGAGCAAAACAAAAGAATTTGGTTGGAACTGCTCTACAGAGAATCAAAGAAATCAGCCTGAATTATCTGATCTTAACTGAATTTTCAAAAGACTGTCTAATACCTTCTAATTACCACAAGCCAGCTTGTCCTTTTCCAGCCGCCTGGCAGTACAGATGATAGATAATCCGTCTGAAAAAGGCTTCCTCAGGGCAGTGACATCTTTCCAGGTTGAACGGGATTTCTTCACCGCACAGGGAGAGTCTGAAGATCCTTCCCAATTTCTTGTAAACGAATATAGTTCCTTCACTCTGTTGTGTTTTAAATATTTTTATGTTTTGGTTTGTTTGTTTGTTTGTTTGTGTATAAGGATAGGGTATCACTCTGTAACCCAGGCTGCAGGACAGTGGCCTGATCACAGCTCACTGCAGCCTCTACCTCCTGGACTCAAGTGCTCCTCCTACCTCAGTTTCCCGAGTAGCTAGGACTACGTGCGTGCACCAGCACACTTGGCTAATTTTTTATTTTTATTTTTAGTAGACACAAGGGTCTTGCTAAGTTGCCCAGGCTGGTCTCAAACTCCTGAGCTCAAGCAATCCGCCCACTTTGACCTCCCAAAGGGCTGGGATTACAGGTGTAAGCCACCATGCACGGCCAATATTTTTTGTTTTTTAATGGTAGTTTAATTTTTTTTTTTTTGAGACAGTCTTACTCCTGTTGCCCAGACTGGAGTGCAATGGCGTGATCTTGGCTCCCTGCAAGCTCCACCTCCTGGGTTCAAGTAATTCTCTTGCCTCAGCCTCCCGAGTAGCTGGGATTACAGGCATGCGCCACCACGCCCGGCTAATTTTGTATTTTTAGTAGAGATGGGGTTTCTCCATGTTGGTCAGGCTGGTCTTGAACTCCCAACCTCAGGTAATCCACCCGCCACGGCCTCCCAAAGTGCTGGGATTACAGGCATGAGCCGTGGTGCCCAGCCTATTTTTTATTTATTTTTTATTTTTTGAGATGGAGTCTTGCTCTGTTGCCTAGGCTGGAGTGCAATGGCGCGATCTCATCTCACTGCAACCTCTGCCTCCTGGGTTCAAGCTATTCTTCTGTCTCAGCCTCCCAAGTAGCTGAGATTACAGGCGTGCACCACCATGCCCAGCTAATTTTTGTATTTTTAGTAGAGGCAGAGTTTCACCATGTTGGCCAGGCTGGTCTCGAACTCCTGACCTCAGGGGTTCTGCCCACCTTGGCCTCCCAAAGTGCTGGGATTATACGTGTGAACTACTGCGCCTAATTTTTTTAAGTGGTAAAGTTATACATCCTCATTGTAAAAAAAAAAATGCAGACCATATAGAAATGTATAAATCTCATTTTACAGAGCTAACCACTGTTTAAAGTATGGTTGTATATCCTTTCCAATTTAACAAATATATACATATATATAATTTCATGTTTATTTTTTATTGAGATACAATTCACATACCATAAATCACCATTCTAAGGTATACAATTCACCAGGCACAGGGCTGTAATCCCAGCACTTTGGGAGGCTAAGGAGAGAGGATCAGTTGAGCCCAGGAGTTTGAGACCTGCCTAGACAGCATAGTGAAACCCTGTCTCTACAAAAAATACAAAAATTAGCTGGGCATGGTGGCACACACCTGTAGTTCCAGCTACTTGGGAGGCTGAGGTGGGAGGATTGCTTGAGTCAGGGAAGTCGAGGCTGCAGTGAGCCATGATTGCACCACTGCACTCCAGCCTGGGTGACAAAACAAGATCCTGTCTCAAAAATTTAAAAAAAAGAAGTATAGAATTCAGTGATTTTTAAATAGATTCACAAAATTGTGCAATCATTACCACAGTCTATTTCCAGAACATTTCATCACCTAAAATGAAACCCTATGCCCATTAGTACTCGCTCCCTAGCCTCCATTTCCCCAGCAAGCACCAACTTGCTTTCTGTCTCTCTAGATTTGCGTTCTGGATATTTCACTTAACGGAGTCAGACTATATGTGACTTTTTTTTTTGCTGGCTTCTTTCACTAAGCATATTTTCAAGGCTTACTCATATTGTAGCATGTACCAGTACTCTACTTTTTTTTTTTTTTTGAGATGGAGTCTCACTCTGTCACCCAGGCAGGAGTGCAGTGGCACGATCTTCGCTCACTGCAACCTCTGTCTCCCGGGTTCAAGAGATTTTCCTGCCTCAGCCTCCCGAGTAGCTGGAATTACAGGCGTGTGCCACCATACCCGGCTAGTTTTTGTATTTTTAGTAGAGACGGGGTTTCACCATGTCGGCCAGGCTGGTCTCGAACTCCTGACCTCAGCTGATTTGCCTGCCTTGGCCTCCCAAAGTGCTGGGACTACAGGTGTGAATCGCCAGCCTGATTCTTTTTTACAGGCAAATAATATTACATTGCATGGCTATACCTTATTTTGTTTATCCATTTATCAGCTGATAGACATGTAGGCTGTTTCCAGTTTGGGGCTAGTGTGAGTCATTATTCATACTGCTATGAGCATACATGTATAAGTTTTTGTACGAACATATGATTTCAATTCTTTTGGGTATATACCTAGGAGGAGAACTTCTGGGTCATATAGTAACTCTATGTTTAACGTTTTGTTTTTGTTTCCTGAGACGGAGTCTCACTCTGTTGCCCAGGCTGGAGTACAGTGGTGTGATCTTAGTTTACTGCAACCTCTGCCTCCCAGGTTCAAGCAATTCTCCTGCCTCAGCCTCTCGAGTAGCTGGGACTACAGGGCGCACCACCACACCCAGATAATTTTTGTACTTTTAGTAGAGACGGGATTTTGCCATGTTGCCCAGGCTGGTCTCAAACTCCTGACCTCAGGAGTTCTCATGTCAGCCTCCCAAAGTGCTGGGATTACAGGGATGAGCCACCATGCCTGGCCTATGTTTAACTGTTTTAAAGAACTGTTGGGCTAGGTGCGGTGGCTCACGTTTGCAATCCCAGCACTTTGAGAGGCTGAGGCGGGCAAATAATTTGAGCTCAGAAATTCAAGACCAGCCTGGGCAAGGTAGAGAGACCCCCATGTCTACAAAAAATAAAAAAGTAGTCAGGTGTGGTGGCCCGCACCTGTAGTTCCAGCTACTCAGGACGCTGAGGTGGGAGAATGACTCGAGCCCGTGAGGTTGAGGCTGCAGTGAGCCGAGATCACACCACTCCAGCCTAGGCAAGAGTGAGACCCTCTCTCAAAAAAAAAAAAAAAAAAAAAAAAAAAAAGAACCATCAAAATGTTTTGCACAGCAGTCACGCCATTTTACATTTCTGCCAGCAATGTGCACCAGGCTTCCAGTTTCTTCACATCTTCACTAACTCTTATTTCCTTTGCTTTAAACTCTAACCATCAAAGTAGGTGTAAAGGGTATCTCACTGTGGTTTTGATTTGCATTTCTCTAATGACTAATAGTGTTAAGTATCATTTCATGTGCATGTTGGCCATTTATATGTCATTGGAGAAATGTCTACTCAAACCGTTTGCTCATTTAGAAACTTAGGTAGGTTGGTCTGAGTGCAGTGGTGTTTAAAACTAATTTTTTTTTGAGACAAAGTCTCACTCTGTCGCCCAGGCTGGAATGCAATGGTGAGATCTTGGCTCACTACAACCTCCATCTCCTGGGTTCAAGCAATTCTTCTGCCTCAGCCTCTCAAGTAGCTGGGATTACAGGCATGCGCCACCACGCCTGGCTAATTTTTGTATTTTTGGTAGAGACGGGGGTTTCTCCATGTTGGCCAGGCTGGTCTCGAACTCTTGACCTCAGGTGATCCACCTGCCTCGGCCTCCCACAGGGCTAGGATTAGAGGTGTGAGCCACCGCACCAGGCCGTTTAAAACTAATGGAGCACAACCAGTTACCAATATCTTTGTTCCTTCTCCACTCCCTCTGCTTCACTTGACTAGCCTAAAATAAATAAATTTAAAAAACTGGGCACAGTGGCTCACACCTGTAATCCCAGCACTTTGGGAGGCCGAGGCAGGAGGATTACTTGAGCATAGGAGTTCAAGATCAGCCTGGGCAACATAGTGAAAAACCATCTCAAAAAAGAAAAATTAGCCAGGCATGGTGGCATGCACCTGTGGTTTCAGCTACTTAGGAGCAGAGGTGGGAGGATCGCTTGATTCTGGGAGTTCAAGGTTGCATTGAGCTGTGATCGCGCCAGTGCACTCTCGCTTGGGTGACAGAGCAAGACCTTGTCTCAAAAAATTTAAAACAAAACAAAAAAAACTGGTTATTTGTCTTTTTATTGTTGAATTATAAGAGTTTTAAAAAATATATTCTGGAAACAAATCCCTTATTAGAGATATGATTTGCAAATATTTTCTCCAATTTTTTTTTTTTTTAAAGACAAAGTTTCACTTTGTCGCCCAGGCTGGTCTTGATTCCTGGCTTCAAGAGATGCTCTTACCTCCACCTCCTGAAGCCCCAAAGGGCTGGAATTACAGCCAGTGAGCCACTGCACCCAGCCTCCAATTCTTTAGATTTTACATTTTAGAACCAAAATGGGTTAAATACACTGTTCTGTAATCTGCTCTTTTCTTTAATAGTAGTTCATGTACATCTTTCAAGGTCCAGAGAAAGCTCTCACTTTCTCCCCGTTTTATTTTTCCTTCCCTCATTCTTTTTCACTGCTGCATAGCATTCCATTGTAATTTTGCCACTGTTTATTAGACCAGTCCTCTGCTGAGCTTTACAGAGCCCTTAGTTGGGATGTTAGTGAGAAACCATGACAGCAGTGGAGACTGTCATCTCCCTGACATGCTGTCAGCTTTTGGATGATGTGAAAATGCAAGCAGGCACAGGAAATGTCTCTAACTTGCTTACACTTCCTCCCTGAACCCCTGCGGTTTCACAACTCCTGCAGGCACACCTCCCTCCCCGCCTGCCAGTGTCACCAGCCTGTTGCCTCTGTGAGAAAGTACCACTGTAAGAGGCCAAAGGGCATGATCATTTTCCTCTTTCACCCTGTCTAGGTTGCCAGCAAATCCCACGGGCCTCCTGACGCTGCCCCTGGGGCCACAGGTCCCTCGAGTGCTGGAAGGATGAAGGATTCCTGCATCACTGTGATGGCCATGGCGCTGCTGTCTGGGTTCTTTTTCTTCGGTAGGCAAGGGAGGAGGCAGGGGAAGGGACATGTGTCTGTGACCAGAGAAACTGCAGGGCTTGGTGCAGCTGGAGTAAACAAGGAGCTGCCCCCTAAAAGTGGGATTGGCCTTAGGGATATGGGGCCCAGGGATCTTGGAAGGAGAAAGGGGAGAGTGGGGAAATAAAAGAAACAAATAAGCAAGGGGTGGAGGCAAAGACAGAGAAGGGAGCATAAGAAGGGGCAGTGGGTTCTTTAAAAAGACAGATAGGGCCAGGCGCGGTGGCTCACGCCTGTAATCCCAGCACTTTAGGAGGCTAAAGTGGGCAGATTACTTGAGGTCAGGAATTTAAGACAGACTGGCCAACATGGCAAAACCTCGTCTCTACTAAAAATACAATAAAATTAGCTTGGCGTGGTGGCACAGGCCTGTAATCCCAGCTACTCGGGAGGCTGAGGCATGAGAATCATTTCATCCCATGAGGCAGAGGTTGCAGTGAGCCAAGCTCGTGCCAATGCACTCCAGCCTGGGTGACAGAGCAAGACTCTGTCTCTTAAACAACAAACAAACAAAAGGCAGATAGTTATTGAGTAGCTAGAGCTGGGAGGAGGGTGCTGGGTTCTGGGGCCACCTCTGCGCGTTTTAGGCAAGTCCTTTCCCCTTTCCAGCCCCACACCCTTCATCTAAACAAATGAAGGCCCAGCCTCCATGACATTCTAGGATGCTCTGAACTAAACTCCATGCGGGGAGAGAAAGCAGGGCGGAAAGGACAGCTGGGTGTGCCAGGGCGCCTGGGCAGGCTGACTGAGGGGGAAGGGAGCTGGGATCTACAGATGCTCCGAAAGACTGGCCCGGTGGGGTGGGGAGGCAGCCCCCCAGGGATCAGGGGAGCTACAATCTGAGACTGTGGGAGGAGGCGCCTGGGCCCCATGACCGCAGGAGAAGTGGGTGGCAGAGGCGCACCCGGCTCGGGGGCATCCCCATCTTGGCCTCTGCCTGAGAACTTGGTCACCCTCTGCCTTGGGGCCCCTTGGGTCTGCTCCTCTCTCTGGAGCCTCTAACTTCTCATCCTTCCTTTTTTGCAGAGAGGCCAAACGGGAAGTTGTATCCTCAGGCCCTGGGAAGAGCTTTCAGAGCTCTAGGGGGGCCGGGAGTTGCTCCTTCCATATTCCCAGAAGTCAACGCCCTGGAGGGGAAGCGCAGGGTGCGGGTGGCCTGGGGAGCGACATCCGGGTGGGCCTGGGATCGGCCACCTGCTGGGCACGTGCAGGGGCGGGGGTCCCTCGGTCGCAGCTGACGACCCTTGCCTTCCTCAGCGCCGGCCTCGAGCTACAACCTGGACGTGCGGGGCGCGCGGAGCTTCTCCCCACCGCGCGCCGGGAGGCACTTTGGATACCGCGTCCTGCAGGTCGGAAACGGGTGAGCTGTGCCCCACAAGTCCTCCTCCTGATGCCCGCCCTGGGGCAGCCCCCGAGGCGGTGGCCGCCTCCCCGACCCTCGCCTGGGCTAGTCGGTGGCACGAGGCAGCTCTCCAGGGGTTCCCGTCTGGAGGAGCCTGTGGTGGGAATCCTCAGAGACAGGAGTGAGGGATCAAAAAGCGGGATACACGCGATCAGGGAGGCCATGGAAGTGCAGAACAGGGAAGGATCCCAGCCCCAAAACACTTCGCATTGCCCAGTAGGTTCCTGACACTCCCTTACTCCCCTGCGAGCGCCTGGAAGCCAGGAGTCTGTTCTCTCTTCCTAACCCTTCTTAGATACGCCACCGCCCAGCACACAGTAGGTAAGCCATGAATGGCTTTTGAATCAAGGATTGAATGAATGTACTTATCATGAGACATTCTGGCGGATCATTCTCTGGGCCTCAGAGACTGTAAATGCAAAGGAACCTTAATTTTCTAGGATTTTAGCATTTGGAATTATTTCTCTGCGATTCTGTAGGGAAGAGATGAGGACGGAGGCATCTTCTTTTTTTTTTTTTCTTTTTTTTTTTTTTGAGAGGGAGTTTTCGCTCTTGTCGCCCAGGCTGTAGTGCAACGGTTAGATCTCACCTCTCTGCAATCTGTGCCTCCCAGGTTCAAGCCATTCTCCTGCCTCAGCCTCCCAAATAGATGGGATTACAGGCATGCACCACCATGCTGGGCTAATTGTTGTATTTTTAGTAGAGACGGGGTTTCACCATATTGGCCAGGCTGGTCTCAAGTTCCTGACCTCAGGTGATCCACCGACATCGGCCTCCCAAAGTACTTTGGCCTCATGCGAAAGTTACAGGCATGAGCCACCCCACCTGGCCAGAGGCACCTTCTTGAAGGGGAATGGCTGCAGTGCTTGGAGAAATGAGACAGGAGATCTGAACCTCCTTAGCAGGCAGGAGTAGATGGGTACAGATCTGGGCCACTCCCTCTCACAGGTGAGATTTCTCACCAGGGTCATCGTGGGAGCTCCAGGGGAGGGGAACAGCACAGGAAGCCTCTATCAGTGCCAGTCGGGCACAGGACACTGCCTGCCAGTCACCCTGAGAGGTGAGTAACTGGGGGGTGAGCTGGGAGGAATGGGATCTTGGGGAAACTGAGGCTGGCCCCAGCCCACCTAGACTGCCTGAGCTCCTCCAGACCAACCTTCTGGTGCCTACAGGTTCCAACTATACCTCCAAGTACTTGGGAATGACCTTGGCAACAGACCCCACAGATGGAAGCATTTTGGTAAGAATTTTGTGCAGTGGTGTTATCAGAGCCTGTGAAGCTCAATTCAAGTAATGAGAGAAGAAAAGAAGAAGAATGTGGATAAAAGTTCCCACAGATGGTCAAAGGCATCAGAGTCAATTAGTGTTTATTGAGAACCAATGATGAACCAGCCTTTTTTTTTTTTTTTTTTTTTTTTTTGAGACAAGGTCTCATTCTATTATTCTATTGCCCAGGCTGGAGTGCAGTGGCGTGATCACAGCTCATTGTAGCCTCAACCTCCCTGCACTCAAGTAATCCTCCCACCTCAGCCTCCCAATTAGCTGGGACTATAGGCGCATGCTACCATGCCCAGCTAATTTTTATATTTTTTGTAGACAGAGAGTGTCACCATGTTGCCCAGACTGGTCTTGAGCTCAAGAATCCTCCTGCCTCTAATCCCAGCACTTGGGAGGCCGAGGCAGGCGGATCACGAGGTCAGGAGATCGAGACCATCCTGGCTAACACGGTGAAACCCCCATCTCTACTAAAAACACAAAAAATCAGCCGGGCATGGTCGCGGGCGCCTGTAGTCCCAGCTACGCAGGAGGCTGAGGCAGGAGAATGGTGTGAACCCGGGAGGCGGAGCTTGCAGTGAGCCGAGATCATGCCACTGCACTCCAGCCTGGGCGGCAGAGTGAAATTCCGTTTCAAAAAAAAAAAAAGAATCTTCCTGCCTCAGCTTCCAAAGTGCTGGGATTACAGGTGTGAGCCACCACACCCAGCAGAGCCAGCTATTTTCAATAACTTAACCTCACTTTTCTTCCAAATATGAAATATCTGTGATCATTGATATGCAATATGATTTTTAGTGGTATACAAACTTTTAATGTTTTCATGGTTATAAATTTAATGGCTTATTAGAAAAAAATATATGACAAGCACATCAAATTTATAATTTCTTACATCATATTGCTTAGGAAGAGGCTGAAGTTAAACAAAAATTTAAAGGAAAATATTAAGAAAATAATAGTATGCTCATATGGCAGATATTGTGAAGTATTACACAAATGCCTAAAGTTTAGGAAACACTGCTTTTTTTTTTTTTTTTGAGACAGAGTTTCACTCTTGTCACCCAGGCTGGAGTGCAGTGGCATGATCTCAGTTCACTGCAACCTCCGCCTCCTGAGTTCAAACGATTCTCCTGCCTCAGCCTCCGGAGTAGCTGGGATTACAGGCGTGTGCCACCATGCCTTGGCTAATTTTTGTATTTTTAGTAGAGATGGGGTTTCGCCATGTTGGCCAGGCTGGTCTCGTACTCCTGACCTGAGGTGATCTGCCCGCCTCGGCCTCCCAAAATGCTGGGATTACAGGCATGAGCTACCACACCTGGTCACTTTATTTCTTTTAAACCCTCAAGACACTCCGGTGAGATAGGGATCAGTGTACACATTTCACACACGAGGAAACAGGACCAAAGGGTTAAGAGACTTGACCAAGGTCACATGGTTGCAAAGTGGTAGAGTCAGGATTTGAATAAAATTCTCATTTGATCCCAAGTTCATTGCTCTCTCCAACTTATCCCAGCCAGCATCCTTCTGTGTGAGAGATAGAAGACTGAGTGAAATATTCATCCAGTATTTAAGTAGAGCTTGTTTATTTAGCTACTATTATAGCCAGGCATTGGGCGAGGTTCTGACAGGGGAAGGGGAGTGAGATACAAAGTTGATGAGGCCGGGCTGGTGGCTCACATCTGTAATCCCAGCACTTTGGGAAGCCAAAGCTGGAGGATTGCTTGAGGCCAGGAGTTCAAGACCAGCCTGGTCAATCCTGTCCCTACAAAAAAAAAAAAAATGTTTTTTTCATTAGCTGGGCATGGTGGCACACACGTGTAGTCCCAGCTACTTGGGAGGATCAGTTGAGGCCAGGAGTTCAAGGCTGCAGTGAGCTTGATCATACCACTACACTACAGCCAGGGAGACAGAGTGAGACCTGTGTCTAAAAAGAACAAAAACAAAACAAAGCAAAAAGATGACCATGATACAAGCCCAGACTTTGAAGAAATTGCAATCTGGCAGGAAAGGGTCATAAATGAAAGAAATGACTTTGGGAGGCCGAGACAGGTGGATCGCTTGAGCCTAGGAGTTTAAGACTGGCCTGGGCAACATGGCAAAATGCCATCTCTACAAAAAAAAAAAATAGCCAGGCATGGTGGCGTGTGCCTGTAGTCCCAGCTATTTGGGAGGCTGAGGTAGGAGAATCACCTGAGCCCAGGAAGTTGAGGCTGCAGTGAGCCATGATTGTCCCACTGCACTCCAGCCTGGGTGATGGGAGTGAGACCTGAAAAGAAAGAAAGCAAGGAAAGAAAGCAAGAAAGCAAAGAAAGGAAAGAAAGAAAGGACGGAGGGAGGGAGGGAAGGAAGGAAGGGGAGAGGAGGAGAGAGAGATAGGAAGGAAGGAAGAAGAAAAAGAAAGATGAAGGAAGGAAGGAGAAGGAAGGAAGGAAAGAAAGAAAAGGCTGGGTGCAGTGGCTCACTCCTGTAATCCCAGCACTTTGGGAGGCCGAGGTGGGCAGACACAAGGTCAGGAGTTTGAGACCATCCTGGCCAATATGGTGAAACCCCGTCTCTACTAAAAGTACAAAAATTAACTGGGCGTGGTGGTGGGCACCTGTAGTCCCAGCTACTGAGGAGGTTGAGGCAGGAGAATCACTTGAACCCGGGAAGCAGAGGTTGCAGTGAGCCAAGATCGCACCACTGCACTCCAGACTGGGTGACAAAGCGAGACTCCGTCAAAAAAAAAAAAGAAAGAAAGAAAAAGAAAGAAAGTGGGGGGCGGAGGGGAGGGGAGAGGAAGGGAAAAAGAAAGAAAGAGGCATGGCCGGGCGCGGTGGCTCATGCCTGTAATCCCAGCACTTTGGGAGGCCGAGGCAGGCAGATCACGAGGTTGGGAGATCAAGACCATCCTGGCTAACACGGTGAAACCCCGTCTCTGCTAAAAATACAAAAAATTAGCCGGGTGTAGTGGCGGGTGCCTGTAGTCCCAGCTACTCAGAAGGCTGAGGCAGGAGAATGGCGTGAACCCGGGAGGCGAAGCTTGCAGTGAGCCGAGATCATGCCATGCAGTCCAGCCTAGGCGATAGAGCGAAGACTCCATCTCAAAAAAAAAAAAAAAAAAGAAAGAAAGAAAGAGGCACTGTATATTCTGGGAATCTTGATAATTTGATTTGGCTGGAACACAGAAAAAGAGATTGGGACTAGGAGAAGATGGACCTGGAAATGTGGGGTCGTGCCCAGTGTAAGCCCAGATAAGGAGTCCAGACTCACCACCAGTCCTACAGGCGGTGAGCATCCATTGGCATAGAGCATTGGTAGGATGGGAGGGATGGACAGTAGAGACTGTGGAGGCGGACATTCCTTGCCTTGGTAACCAGTTGGATAGAGGAAGTGAGAAAGAGGACAAGGACTCTGAACGTTCCTAGTTTTGGTTGATGTTGCCCAAAAGACACATAGCAAATAGGAGACCCAAATCTTTGGCCTTTGCTTTCTTTAGGCCTGTGACCCTGGGCTGTCTCGAACGTGTGACCAGAACACCTATCTGAGTGGCCTGTGTTACCTCTTCCGCCAGAATCTGCAGGGTCCCATGCTGCAGGGGCGCCCTGGTTTTCAGGGTAAGGAACTGGGGACTCATTGGGTAAAAATACCTCCAAATGGCTGTCCCTAGAGAGAACCAGCATGGGCAGGTCAAACACCAGAGATGCTTC
The DNA here is from genome assembly GCF_000001405.40 of Homo sapiens. Classification (NCBI taxonomy): domain Eukaryota; kingdom Metazoa; phylum Chordata; class Mammalia; order Primates; family Hominidae; genus Homo; species Homo sapiens. Next base: position 30,479,302 of record NC_000016.10, read on the forward strand.
ACTGGGTCCCTTGCGTCTGGCTTCTGCAGAATGTATCAAGGGCAACGTAGACCTGGTATTTCTGTTTGATGGTTCGATGAGCTTGCAGCCAGATGAATTTCAGAAAATTCTGGACTTCATGAAGGATGTGATGAAGAAACTCAGCAACACTTCGTACCAGGTAAAAAAGTTAGTTAGGATTCTTGGTTGCATGCAATAGATGCCTACCTGAACTGACTTAAACCATGAAAGGAAATGTTAGTATGTGGAATCCTCAGAGCCTATGGGCATGGCTATAACTGGGCCTCTGGAAGGGACAAGAACCAGGGAGTAGAAAGCTTCTAGGAGTCTCTCTAGTTCTCATTTCCTTTTTTTTTTTTTTTTTTTTTTTTTTTTTGAGATGGAGTTTTGCTCTTGTTGCCCAGGCTGGAGTGCAATGGCACAATCTCGACTCACTGCCTCCCAGGTTCAAGCAAGTCACCTGCCTCAGCCTCCCAAGTAGCTGGTATTACAGGCAACTGCCACTACACCCAGCTGATTTTTGTATTTTTAGTAGAGATGGTGTTTCACCATGTTGCCAGGCTGGTCTTGAACTCCTGACCTTGTGATCTGCCCACCTTGGCCTCCCAAAGTGCTGGGATTACAGGCGTGAGCCACCGTGCACAGCCATTTTTTCTTTTTGAGACAGGGTCTCACTGTGTCCCCAAGGCTGGAATCATGGTGGCACGATCATAGCTCACTGTAGCCTCAAACTCCTGGGCTCAAATGATCCTCCCAACTAGCTGGGACTACCCATGTGCACCACTGTGCGTGGCTAATTTTTAAATTTTCTGTAGAGATGGTTTATCATTGTGTTGCCCAGACTGGTCCCAAACTCCTGGATCTCTCAAGAGATCCTCCTGCCTTGGCCTCCCAAAGTGCTGGGATTACAGGCATGAGCCACTGTGCCCAGCTAGTTCTCATTTCTGTTTCTTTTTGCGTCTTTGCTTCCTTCTTCTCTTTTCTCAGTCTCCGTAGACTGGCTCCCTTAGCGCCTTTAGACCACATAGACCTATGGAAAGCTCCTAAGTTCATGTGTTAAAGTTCCAAGAGGGTTTTTTACCTTCCCCTCAACCAACACCTCCCTTTGCAAATTTCCAGTTCTCAGAGAAGAGGTTCTGGCTGGCGTAGCTTCAGTCAGGTGTTGATCCCCGGCCCAGCCAACTGTATCTAGTTAAGCAGCGTCACTCAGCAGAAATATGGCTGCTGGAACCCATCCCTATCAGTGACATAGGTGGACCCAGAAAACAGGAGCTCAACACACAGTGTTACATGAGGGAGCAAGGTTTATTTCATTTTATTTCTGTGTTTATTTGTATATTGCCTCATTTTCAAAAGAATTATCTGAGGCAAGGATGTGGAGTTGGGTTGCCCAGGTCCTGCATAAGAAGAGATTGAGCCAGGCATAGTGGCTCACACCTGTAATCCCAGCACATTGGGAGGCTTAGCCGGGAGGATCACTTGAAGCCAGGAGTTCGAGACCAGCCTAGGCAACATAGCAAGACCCCATTTCTACAAAAAATAAAAACTAGCCAAGTGTGGTGGCACGTGCCTGAAGTCCCAGCTACTTCGGAGGCTGACGAGGGAGGATGGCTCGAGCCTGGGAGGCTGAGGCTGCAGTGAGCTATGATTGTGACCGTGCACTCCAGCCTGGGAGACAGAACAAGACCCTGTTTTGAAAAAGAAGAAGTAGAGTTTGGGGCTGGGCACGGTGGCTCATGCCTGTAATCCTAGCACTTTGGGAGGCTGAGGCAGGTGGATCACCTGAGGTGAGGAGTTCGAGACCAGCCTGGCCAATATGGTGAAACACCGTCTCTACTAAAAACACACACACACACACACACACACACACACACACACACACCACACACACACAAATATTCGGGTGTGGTGGCACGTGCCTGTAATCGCAGCTACTTGGGAGGCTGAGGCATGAAAATCGCTGGAACCCGGGAGGCAGAGGTTGCAGTGAGCCAAGATTGTGCCAGTGCACTCCAGCCTGGGCAACAAGAGCGAAACTCCATCTAAAAAAAAAAAAAAAAAAAAAAGAAGTAGAGTTTGGAACAGACAAATGGAAAGGGATATATAACTGAATGTCATTTCTTCCTTCCTTTTCTAGTTTGCTGCTGTTCAGTTTTCCACAAGCTACAAAACAGAATTTGATTTCTCAGATTATGTTAAACGGAAGGACCCTGATGCTCTGCTGAAGCATGTAAAGCACATGTTGCTGTTGACCAATACCTTTGGTGCCATCAATTATGTCGCGTGAGTTCCCTTTTGCAGGAGAGCACGTGTCCTGTGATTTGTTCTGGGTGATCTACCCACTTCCAGCTGCAGGGCATGGGAACTCAGTAGGTAGGTACAGCAAGGGGCAGTTTATTGTCTGAATTGAAGTGGAACAATTTTACTGCAGATTCTTTTGGTTGTACGTAACAGAAATCTACTCTGTACTAATTAAATCCAAGAGAAAGTCTAAGCCAGGTGCACAGTCTGTAATCCCAGGGCTTTGGGAAGCTGAGGCAGGAGGATCTTTTGAGCCCAGAAGTTTTTGTTTGTTTGTTTGGTTTTTGGTTTTTGTTTTTGTTTTTTGAGATGGAGTTTCGCTCTTGTTGCCCAGGCTGTAGTGCAATGGCATGATCTCGGCTCACTGCAACCTCCACCTCCCAGGTTCAAGCCATTCTCCTGCCTCCGCCTTTCAAGTAGCTGGGATTACAGACCTGTGCCACCACGCCTGGCTAATTTTTTTTGTATTTTTAGTAGAGATAGGCTTTCACCATGTTGGCCAGGCTGGACTCAAACTCCTGACCTCAGGTGATCCACCTGCCTCACCCTCCCAAAGTGCTGGGATTACAGGTGTGAGTCACCACACCTGGCCTATGAGCCAGGAGTTTGAAGCTGCAGTGAGCTATGATCACACCATTGCACTCCAGCCTGGACAACAGAGCAAGATCTTAACTCTAAGAAATTAAAAATAAATTAAAAAAGAAGAGCCAGGACACCAATGTGGCCGGAGAGAAATAAGTGAGGGGGGAAAATAGTAGGTGATGAGGTCAGAGAGATCATGAGGGTCTGGATGGGTTAGTGACTTGGAGACCATAGTGAGGACTTTGGCTTTCCTCTGAGTAAGATGAGAAGTCATTAGAGGTTTTGAGTAGAGGAGTGATGATCTATGTTTTTTAAAAGATCCCTCTGGCTGCAGGGTTGATATTAGACTGTAGAGGGGGCAAGGGCGGGTGGAAGTGATAGGGCCAGTTAGAAGGCTACTGAAAAATCCAGATGAGAGACAATGGTTGTATAAACCAGGGTGGAAATCCATGAACAGGACCCGCAATAGGCCCATGTCTGTGTGGATGGAGATTGGAGAAGCATTTTGCATCCAAGATAGAACCAGAGGTCTTGACAGCAGGTGTTCATGGGTAAGACGGTTCACACCTTGCTGCTGTTCCAGCAAGAGCTATGGCCAACCCAACTTGCTCAGAGGAAGGCTGTGGGCAAAACAGGAATTTTCTTTTTCTTTTTTTTTTAGAGTCAAGGTCTCACTCTGTTGCCCAGGCTGGAGCGCAGTGACGTGATCCTAGCTCACTGCAGCCTCAAACTCCTGGGCTCAAGCGATCCTCCTGTCTCAGCCTCCTGAGTAGTTGGGACTACAATCACACACCACCATGCCTGGCTAATTGTTTTCATCTTTGTAGAGTTGGAGTCTCGCTATGTTGCCCAGAATGGTCTGGAACTCCCAGGGCAGAAATTTTTAGCCTTGGCCCATCTGGTGTTCAGTTCTCCCTTCTTTATTTTATTTTTTTAATTTTTTTGAGGGTGGAGGATTTTAGCAAAAAACAGAAAGCCTGCTAGACAAATTCTAAAAGAGCTGTAACACTAGTTCTCCCTCCTTCATCTCACATGCACAACCGCCTCCTTTGTGCTGGGAGCCAGAGATACAGCAACAAATCCAACATGGTCCTTTCCTTGAGGAACTCATGGTTTAGGGGGAAAATTGACAGAGAAATGAGTCACGGTAATTCACTAGGTTCACTGCTATGGTAGAGATCCGGAGGCAGCCTGTGGACTATGGGAAGGCAGAGGAGGTGCTGGAAGAGCTTGCTCTGGAAGAGTGACTCCCCAGTTTTCTTCAGCTGTAGGACCCTCTCTTCCACATTGAAATCTCACTTGGATCAATATCTGTAGCTGATTAAAGAGTGGTGGCCATGTGGTTGCAATGGAGGGTAGGAAGCCCAGAGTCATTCCTCACAAAACCTCCTCCTCCTGTCCATGGGCTCTGGGACACCCTCTGGACTGCCCAGGATGCAGTGTGAGGACCACTGGTCCAGAAGGAAAGGGGTGGCAGCAAAGAGGTTTAGAGGTGACTGCTGCAGGCTTGGAATCCCGGCCTGGGAGATCCAGGAAGGGCTTTTGCGTAACCAGCATGGAGGTGACTTGATGAGCAGGTGGGGAAAGAGACCTCAGGCCCTAGTTTGGGGGAGTCTCTCATCTCCTCCTTTCCTGGACACAGGACAGAGGTGTTCCGGGAGGAGCTGGGGGCCCGGCCAGATGCCACCAAAGTGCTTATCATCATCACGGATGGGGAGGCCACTGACAGTGGCAACATCGATGCGGCCAAAGACATCATCCGCTACATCATCGGGGTAGGGCCCCTGCTGCTTCCTGCATCATATCTTCCCTCTCCTCTTTCTGAACCCCAAGCCCCTTTCTCCCTGGGGCCAGACTCTTGTGAAAATAATAGCAAACTGGACTGAGGTTTGGGGGATTTCAGCTCTTCACTCTCCACTCCCTCACAGATTGGAAAGCATTTTCAGACCAAGGAGAGTCAGGAGACCCTCCACAAATTTGCATCAAAACCCGCGAGCGAGTTTGTGAAAATTCTGGACACATTTGAGAAGCTGAAAGATCTATTCACTGAGCTGCAGAAGAAGATCTATGTCATTGAGGGTGAGTGGCAGGCCCTGGGAGAGGGCTCGGGAGTCTGCATAAAGAAATTCCCCTGGGACATCAGGCCGGGCTTGGTGGCTCACACCTGTAATCCCAGCACTTTGGGAGGCCGAGGCAGGTGGATCAATTGAGCTCAGGAGTTTGAGACCAGCCTGGGCAACATGGCAAAACCCCATCTATACTAAAAATACAAAAAATAGCCAGGTGTGGTGGTGGGTGCCTGTAATCCCACTACTCAGGAGGCTGAGGCGCAAGAATCGCTTGAACTCAGGAGGCAGAGGTTGCAGTGAGCCAAGATCGCACCACACTGCACTCCAGCCTGGGTGGCAGAGGAAGACTCCATTTCAAAAAATAAAAAACAAAAAACAAAAATGGCCGGACGCGGTGGCTCACACCTGTAATCCCAGCACTTTGGGAGGCTGAGGTGGGCAGATCACCTGAGGTCAGGAGTTCGAGACCAGCCTGGCCAACATGGCGAAACCCCGTCTCTACTAAAAATACAAAAATTAGCTGGGCTTGGTGGTGCATGCCTGTAATCCCAGCTACTCAGGGGGCTGAGGCAGGAGAATCGCTTGAACCCAGGAGGCGGAGGTTGTAGTGAGCTGAGATGTGCCATTGCACTCCAGCCTGGGCAACACAGCAAGACTCAGTCTCAAACAAAACAAAACAAAACAAAAAAACAAAAAAAAACCTCCCCTGGGACATCCTATTAGAAACACAAAGAATAATAAGCACTTACTGAATATCTGATCTTGTGCCAAGGGCTTGCCTAAATAAAACAGACCTTTAGAAGGAATTTAGGAGAGGGCCATTTGAGAGCAGCCTCTGTGATCTTTCTTTCTCTTCCTTCTTTCTCTCCTTCCTTCCTTCCTCCCTTCCTTCCCTTTCCCTCTCCTCCCCTCCCCTCTCCTCCCCTCTCCTCCCCCCTTCCTCTCCCCTCCTCTTCTCTTCTTTTCTCTTCTCTCTTTTCTTTTTTTTTTTGAGACAGAGTCTTGCTCTGTTGCCCAGGCTGGAGTGCAGTGGCGCAGTCTCTGCTCACTGCAAGCTCCACTTCCCAGGCTCACGCCATTCTCCTGCCTCAGCCTCCCGAGCAGCTGGGACTACAGGCGCCAGCCACCACGCCTGGCTAATTTTTGTATTTTTAGTAGAGACAGGGTTTCATCGTGTTAGCCAGGATGATCTCGATCTGACCTCGTGACCTGCCCGCCTTGGCCTCCCAAAGTGCTGGGATTACAGGCGTGAGCCACTGCGCCCAGCCTCTTTTCTTTTTTGCTTTTCTTTCACAGGGTCTCACTCTGTCACCCAGGCTGGGGTACAGTGGCATGATCACAGCTCACTGCAGCCTTGACCTTCCAGGCTCAGGTGATCCTCCCACGTAGCTGGGACTACAGGTGTGTGATACCACACCTGGCTAATTTTTTTTTTTTTTTTTGTATTTTTTGTATTTTTTGTAGAGGCAGGGATCTCGCTATGTTGCCTGGGCTGGTCTCGAATTCCTGGCCCCAAGCAATCTGCCCACCTCGGCCTCCTAAAGTGCTAGGATTACAGGCGTGAGCCACTGCACCCGGCCCTCTCTGATATTTCTTTCTGAAATTCCATCTTCTCTTGGAGCTCAGGTTGATCTAGGACTGACCTATGTCTTGCTGGTGTGATCTGAGCCCCGCAGAGTGAATGTAATTCCTCCCCCTTCTTGCTCAACTGTCTTGCTGTCACTTATCCAAGGCTCCACATTACTTCAGAAGGGCAGGCTGGCAGGGGCCAGTGTGAAGAACCCACAAGTCTTCTTTCCTGGCCTAGAATAAGAGAAGATTTATATTGTGGTCACCAGATGGAGGACTGGTTATGGAGGGCATTTCCCCAGGAAGCTTACTTGACTGAAAGATATGTGATTCCTACAGGAAAGTCTCCTTTGCTAGGACACAGCCTTGGTGTTCGGTTCAGTTAAAGAAGCAATGGGCTGAGCGTGGTGGCTCACGCTTGTCATCCCAACACTCTGGGAGGCTGAGGCAGGCGGATCACTTGAGGTCACCCAGCTACTTGGGAGGCTAAAGTAGGAGAATCGCTTGAACCCAGGAGGCAGAGGTTGCAGTGAGCTGAGATTGTGACACTGTACTCCAGCCTGGGTGACAAGAGCAAAACTGTCTCAAAAAAAAAAAAAAAATCAGCAGCAATGGTCCAGCCTGGGCAGCATAGCAAGAAGCCATGTCTAAATAATTAATAAAAATGAAAAGTGATTTTTTAAAAAAAAGTTTTTAAAAAAAACTCACTCTCAACTGGCTTTTAAGCTGAGATATGAAAGATGAGATTCAAACAGCAATGTGAGAAAGGTGGAATGAGGGCAGAGAGAAGCACAGGTGCAAGCCCAGGGGCGGGGAAAGGGCTCGGCATGCCAGGAAAATGGAAAAAGTTCAGTGTGACCGAAGCGCAGTGAGGAAGGGAGAGAGAAGGTTGGCAGGGAGGTAAGGGTCTTCCAGGCCCTCAGAAAGAGTTTGGATTTCAGTGTGAAGATCGATGAGAAATCATGAAGGAGTTTTTTGTTGTTGTTGTTTTGAGACAGGGACTCACTCTGTTGCCCAGACTGGAGTGCAGTAGTGCGATCACGGCTCACTGCAGCCTCAAACTCCTGGGCTCAAGCAGTCCTCCCACCTTGACCTCCTGAGTAGCTGGGACTACAGATACACACCACCACACCTGGCTAATTTTTAAATTTTTTGTAGAGACAAGAGTTTCTTAGCCAGGCGTGGTGGCGGGCGCCTGTAGTCCCAGCTACTCGGGAGGCTGAGGCAGGAGAATGGCGTGAATCCTGGAGGTGGAGTTCACAGTGAGCCAAGATTGTGCCACCGCCCTCCAGCCTGGGCGACAGAGTGAGACTCCGTCTCAAAAAAAAAAAAAAAAAAAAAAGAGTTTCTACTATATTGCCTAAGCAGGTCTTGAACTCCTGGGCTCAAGCAATCTTCCTGCTTCAGCCTCACATAGTGCTGGGATTACAGGCATGAGCCACTACGCCCGGCCGAGACAGAGTTTCTACTATATTGCCCAGCCTGATCTTTAACTCCTGGGCTCAAGCAAGTCTTCTGCCTCAGCCTCACAAAGTGTTGGGATTACAGGCGTGAGCCACTGTGCCCAGCCCATGAAGAGGTTTTTTGTTTTGTTTTGTTTTGTTTTTTGAGACAGTCTTGCTCTGTCACCAGGCTGGAGTGCAGTGGTGTGATCTTGGCTCACTGCAACCTCAGCCTCCTCGGTTCAAGCGATTCTCCTGCCTCAGCCTCCCAAGTAGCTAGTAGTACAGGCGCCTGCCACCACACCCAGATAAATTTTTTGTATTTTTAGTAGAGACGGGGTTTCACCATATTGGCCAGGCTGGTCTTGAACTCCTAACCTCAGGTAATCTGCCCGCCTTGGCCTCCCAAAGTGCTAGGATTACAGGTGTGAGCCACTGTGCCTGGCTTTTTTTTTTTTCAAGACAGAGTTTCACTGTGTCAGCCAGGCTGGAGAGCAGTGGTGCGATCTTGGCTCACTGCAACCTCCAGTTGTTTTTGAGCCTCCCAGCCTCGAGCAATTCTCCTGCCTCAGCCTCCCAAGTAGCTGGGATTACAGGCATGTCCCACCATGCCTAGCTAATTTTTGTACTTTTAGTAGAGATAGGGTTTCACCATGCTGGTCAGGCTGGTCTCAAACTCCTGACCTCAGGTAATCTGCTTGCCTTGGCCTCCCAAAGTGCTGGGATTACAGGCATGAGCCACCACGCACAGCCAGTGAAGAGTTCTTAAGGAGAAGCTATATAAGCCAGGCACGGTGGTGCATACCAGTAGTCCCAGCTACTTGGGATGCTGAGGCAGGAGGATCTCTTCAGCCTAGGAGTTTGAGACTGTAGTGAGCTATGATCACACCACTGCACTCCAGCCTGGGCAACACAGCAAGACCCTGTCTCAAAAAAAAAAAAAAGAAAAAGGGTGTATTTCAAAGGCAGGAGTATCATGATTTGGTGATGTGTTGGAGATGAGATGGAGTATAGAGAAGACTCCAGGTGGATTTGGTTTCTTAGCATGGTTCATTAGGTGAGTGGGGGTGCCATTCATTGAAGTGAGAAGCCTGAGTCAGAGCAGAAACCAAGAGCTGAGTCTTGGACACATGGAGATGAGTAATTGGATATTCAAATCTGGAGGCTGGGCACAGTGGCTCACACCTGTCATTGTCCCAACACATTGGGAGGCCGAGGCGGGTGGATCACCTGAGTTCGAGACCAGGCTGGCCAACATGGTGAAACCCCATCTCTACTAAAAATACAAAAATTAGCTGGGCATGGTGGTGCACCTATAATCCCAGCTACTCGGGAGGCTGAGGCAGGAGAATCGCTTGAACCCAGGAGGCAGAGGCTGTGGTGAGCTGAGATTGCACTACCGCACTCCAGCCTCGGTGACAGAGAGAGACTCCATCTCAAAAAAAAAAAAAAAAAAAAAAAAATTAGCCAGGTGTGATGGTGTGTGCCTATAGTCCCCACTATCCAGGAGGCTAAGCCCGGAGGGTTGCTTGAGCTTGGGTGGTTGAGGCTGCAGTGAGCTGTGATTGCGCCACTGCACTCCAACCTGGGCAACAGAGCAAGACCTTGTTTCAACAACAAAAAACAAACAAATCTGGGACTCCCAGGGTAAAAGCCAACTCCGCATTAAGCCACTTCCTGGGTCTGCCTGACCCTCACATGCATGCCTTCTACCTTACCCAGAAGTAAATACCTCACTTCTTCCCCGTCCTGCCATGAATTTTTTTCACTGCATTTACTGCTGTTGGGTCTCACCTGTTCTCTGCTTTGTTCCCCAGGCACAAGCAAACAGGACCTGACTTCCTTCAACATGGAGCTGTCCTCCAGCGGCATCAGTGCTGACCTCAGCAGGGTGCGTGCTGGGCTGGAGCAATGGGCTGCAGGGAGTGCAGTTGGCTCTGGGGGGTGGGTCGGTGGGTAGCTGACCCGCTCATCTCCTTCCCTGGGCAGGGCCATGCAGTCGTGGGGGCAGTAGGAGCCAAGGACTGGGCTGGGGGCTTTCTTGACCTGAAGGCAGACCTGCAGGATGACACATTTATTGGGAATGAACCATTGACACCAGAAGTGAGAGCAGGCTATTTGGGTGAGTACTTCTCTTTTCTGCTGGGATCTTCTGGTTGTTGAGGTCAGATGGTCGCTCAGCCTGGCTTCCAAAACAATAATGAAAGCAGTTAAGCAACCAGCATGAACAAAGTCAGAGTTTAAATATGGCTATAACATTCATAATTTATTGTCTGTATTTTCTGATGCTTTGACATCTTGGGGCCGTGCTAATCCTGAAAAGACTACCTCTCCCAGGGTAGGCAAATTCCTAGAGATAGTAAACAACTTGCCTGTGAATATGCCTTGTAGCTGGTCCTAGTGGCTCATGCCTGTAATCCCAGCAGTTTGGGAGGCTGAGGCAGGTGGATCACCTGAAGTCAAGAGTTCAAGACCAGCATGGCCAACATGGTGAAACCCTGTCTCTACTAAAAATACAAAAGTTAGCCAGGCATGGTGGCGCATGCCTGTAGTCCCAGCTCTTCTGGAGGCTGAGGCAGGAGAAACGTTTGAACCTGAGAGGAGGAGGTTGCAGTGAGTGGAGATCACGCAGCTGCGCACCAGTCTGGGCAAAAGAGCAAGACTCTGTCTCAACAAACAGGGCCGAGCACAGTGGCTGACACCTGTAATCCCAGCACTTTGGGAGGCTGAGGCAGGTGAATCACCTGAGGTCAGGAGTTCGAGACCAGCCTGGCCAACATGGCAAAACCCCATCTCTACTAAAAATACAAAAATTAGTCGGGCATGATGGCGGGTGCCTTTAATTCCAGCTACTCAGGGGGCTGAGGCAGGAGAATCGCTTGAACCCAGGAGGCGGAGGTTGCAGTGAACTGAGGATCATGCCACTGCACTCCAGCCAAGATGACAGAGCGAGACTCCGTCTTAAAAAAAAAAAAAAAAAAAAGGCCTTTTATATGCAAACCAGCCAATTCCGAGCCCATATCCTCAGCCACCTCCTTTGTCTAATCCTTACACAATAAGCCGATAGTTCCTCTGCCCTAAATCAGCTCAGAGCCAGGCATCAGTCAACCAGAGGCCACCGCTATAGCCCAGAGCCAGCCAAAATTATTCAAACTGTGCAATCCTAAACTTGCTTGAACTTGCCAACCTAGCTCGCCACCCTTCCTTGTGGAAACCACAAGAAGAGCTCTGGGCCATGCTCTTCCCTGGCTCCTCCTGCCTCTTCACTAATGTAGTGTTTCCCTCTCTGGCCCTGCATGGCATCCAGTGCCTACTCCCTCTTGGAACTGTGGCTAGTAAACTTCTTTCAATGACAGTGACTCTCTGTATCATCAGTCACACCTATATATTAAATCCCAGGCACATTTTAAAACAACCTGCCTTATTAGTAAGAGGACTGGCCACTCCTTTTTAAGGCTTCCTCCTCTTGAATTGTCCAAGAGCACCTGAGGTCAAGAGTTCAAGACCAGCCTGGCCAACATGGTGAAACCCCGTCTCTACTAAAAACACAAAAAAATTAGCTGGACGTGGTGACACGCACCTGTAGTCCCAGCTACTTGGGAGGCTGAGGCAGGAGAATCACTTGAACCTGGGAGGCGGAAGTTACAGTGAGCCGAGATTGCACTACTGCACTCCAGCCTGGGTGACAGAGAGAGACTTTGTCTCAAAAAAAAAAAAAAAATTAGTTGGGCATGGTTGTGCATGCCTGTGGTCCCAGCTACTTGGGAGGCTGAGATGGGAGGATCACTTGAGCCTGGGAGGTTAAGGTTGCAGTGAAAAAAAAAAAAGAAGAAATGACTCTAAAATTTAATCTCTAGCTGGGTGTGGTGGCTCACACTGTAATCCCAGCACTTTGGGAAGCTGAGGCTGGCAGATCATTTGAGGTCAGGAGTTCGAGACCAGCTTGGCCAACATGGTGAAAGTCCGTCTCTATAAAAATGCAAAAAATTAGCCAGGCATGGTGGCATGCACCTGTAATCCCAGCTACTCGGGAGGCTGAGGTAGGAGAATCTCTTGAACTCTGGAGGTACAGGTTGCAGTGAGCCGAGATCGTACCACTGCAGTCCAGCCTGGGTGACAGAGCAAAACTCTGTCTCAAAAAAAAAGAAAAAAGAAAAAAAGTTTAATCTCTAGTTAGACACCCACCCCACTATACACACACATAAATATATACATATATGTGGATAGATAAATAAACAGAATCCTGAGTGTCTACTATGCTACTTATCCTTCAGATCTCAGTTTAGCTATCACTAGTGTAGCACTAAGCATTTTATATACATGTCTTATTTAACTCTCAAAACACACCCCATGAGATTGGTACTGTTCCTTTTTTTTTTCTTTAGACATAGGGTCTCACTTTGTCACCTAGGCTGGAGTGCAGTGGCACCATCTTGGCTCACTGCTGCCTTGACCTCCTGGCTTTGAGCAATCCCCCTTCCTCAGCCTCCCAAAGTGCTGAGGTTATAGCCGTGAGCCACAATGTCCAGCCTCTTCCCTTTTTGTAGATGAGAAAACTGAGGCACAGAGGCATGAAGCAATTTACTTAACTACTACACAGCTAGGAAGCAGTAGCACTAGGATTTAAACCTTGTCTCATGGAGTTCAAGAATTTGGAGTTCTTAACCCTTGTGCTTCCAGACTCCATACGACAATAGGGAAGCGGTTCCGTCTCTTCACTCTTCCTTCCATGTGCTGTAGGGCCTTGGACAGCTCTGTTTTCTTCACTCACTTTCAACTGCTCTGCACAGAGACCATCAGATGGGGTCAGTGACTCATCTCAGAGGATTCTTGCTGGTGGCTCTTGGCTCTAGCCCAATCTTGGGTCCAATTTCCTGCAGTGTTTCCTCGAACATTCAATAGAGGTTGTCCTGGTATCTTAGAGGAAAGAACCTCATTACAGGAAGTTGAAGATGAAGACAGCCTGACACTGACATGATATCTTTTTTTTCTTTTTTTTTTTTTTTGAGACTGAGTCTCTCTGTCGCCCAGGCTGGAGTGAAGTGGCGCGATCTTAGCTCACTGCAACCTCCACCTCCCAGGTTCAACTGATTCTCTTGCCTCAGCCTCCTGAGTAGCCGGGACTACAGGTGCCCGCCACCACGCCCAGCTAATTTTTTGTATTTTTAGTAGTGATGGGGTTTCACCATGTTGACCAGGCTGGTCTCAAACTCCTGACCTCAGGTGATCCACCCGCCTTGGGCTCCCAGAGTGCTGGGATTACAGGCGTGTGCCACCGCTCCCGGCCAACATGGTATCTTTTTTTTTTTTGAGACGGAGTCTTGCTCTGTCACCCAGGCTGGAGTGCAGAGGCGCTATCTCAGCTCACTGCAAGCTCCGCCTCCTGGGTTCACGCCATTCTCCTGCCTCAGCCTCTCGAGTAGCTGGGACTACAGGTGCCCGCCACCATGCCCAGCTAATTTTTTGTATTTTTAGTAGAGACGGGGTTTCACCGTGGTCTCGATCTCCTGACCTCGTGATCCGCCTGCCTCGGTCTCCCAAACTGCTGGGATTACAGGCGTGAGCCACCGCGCCCGGCAACATGATATCTTTAAGCATGAAAATTTTTCAAGTTTCCTGCTTTATTTTATTTTGTTAGAGACAGGGTCTCACTCTGTCACCCAGGCTAGAGTGTAATGGCACCATCGTAGTTCAAGGCAGCCTTGAACTCCTGGGTTCAAGCAATCCTTTTGCCTCTCAGCCTCTCTAGTACCTGGGATCACAGGTGTGCATCACCACACCTGGCTAGTTTTTGTAATTTTTTGTAGAGACGGGGTCTCACTATGTTTCCCAGGCTGGTCTCAAACTTCTGGCCTAAGTGATCCTCCTACCTCGGCTTCCCAAAATGTTAGGATTACAGGTGTGAGCCACTGCACTTGGCCCAGACATGCTTTATTTTTAATATCCATGCCAACTTTGCATTCTTCTGACTAATATATACCATTTTATTTTATTTTATTTTATTTTATTTTATTTTATTTATTTATTTATTTTGAGACGGAGTCTCGCTCTGTCGCCCGGGCTGGAGTGTAGTAGCGAAATCTCAGCTCGCTTCAAGCTCCCCCTCCCAGGTTCACATTCTCCTGTCTCAGCCTCCCAAGTAGCTGGGACTACAGGCGCCTACCACCACGTCCAGCTAATTTTTTGTATTTTTAGTAGAGACGGCGTTTCACCGTGTTAGCCACGATGGTCTCGATCTCCTGACCTTGTGATCCACCTGCCTCGGCCTCCCAAAGCGCTGGGATTACAGGCGTGAGCCACCGCACCTGGACTCCCATTTTAATTTATTATTTAAGAAAAAAGAGGCCGGGCACAGTGGCTTATGCCTGTAACCCCAGCACTTTGGGAGGCTGAGGTGGGTGGATCACCTGAGGCCAGGAGTTTGAGACCATCCTGGCCAACATGGCAAAACCCTGTTTCTACTAAAAATACAAAAAATTATCTGGGTGTGGTGGCTGGGCGCCTGTAATCCCAGCTATTTGGGAGGTTGAGGCAGGAGAATTGCTTGAACCCGGGAGGCGGAGGTTGCAGTGAGCTGAGATCACGCCATTGCATTCCAGCCTGGGCAAGAGAGCGAGACTCTGTCTCTAAAAAAGAAGAAAGAATGGAGTCTTCCTTACTAATCCTCAGGTAAACTGAGGCTCAGAAGAGGCTCCACGCTCCACTTGTTGTGCATAGCTGCTTTTCCCTGGGTGTGCATGTCACCCACAGTTGAAGACATGCCATCCCCAAGATGGCAGGATTTGTTTGGCTGGGAGCACATGGATGCTTTTCTCAGGAGAAGGTCTTCAGCTGTTTCCATGCATCTCTGCTACTAACCCAATTCCCTGGGGCCCCTGCCCCTCTCCTGCTGGGTGTTCTTCCAGCATCCTGTGTTCCTAACTCCACACCCCACACACTTTCCTCAGGTTACACCGTGACCTGGCTGCCCTCCCGGCAAAAGACTTCGTTGCTGGCCTCGGGAGCCCCTCGATACCAGCACATGGGCCGAGTGCTGCTGTTCCAAGAGCCACAGGGCGGAGGACACTGGAGCCAGGTCCAGACAATCCATGGGACCCAGGTGCGCCCAGTCCGAGGGCATCTGCAGACCAGGGACTGGCGGGACACACATCACACTCCCTTCTGTCCTTTGAATGCTCATCCACTTACCATGTGGCAGCCCCTGTGCTAAACATGATCACATTTATCCCTCATAACACACAGAGGTAAGCCCTGTCATCTCCCTCTCTAGTTTAAGAAACTGAACCTCAAAGAGCCCACCTTGTCTTAACGCACATAGACTAGGGGTGGATCCAAGATTGGAACCTGCATTTGAGGGAGTGGCACAAGATGAACACGGTACAGGTATCTCCCTGCCAACCCCTGCTGTTCCCACAGGCGCTTCCCCAAACACCTGCCTCTCCCCACAGATTGGCTCTTATTTCGGTGGGGAGCTGTGTGGCGTCGACGTGGACCAAGATGGGGAGACAGAGCTGCTGCTGATTGGTGCCCCACTGTTCTATGGGGAGCAGAGAGGAGGCCGGGTGTTTATCTACCAGAGAAGACAGGTGGGGCCAGGATCTGGAGCTGAGAGGGAGGAGGGAGAGCAGCAGAGATTCGCAGCTCCCAGTTATTCTGAAGGCTTTCTCTGTCTGGTCACGTGGCGATCAAACTTTTAGAACGACAGAGAGGCAATAGCAAATCCTCACTGGGGAAAGACTGTATGCAGGGTCCAGTGCCAATATTTCTTTTTTCTTTTGAGACAGAGTCTCGCTCTTATGGCCCAGGCTAGAGTGCAGTGGCACGATCTCGGCTCACTGCAACCTCCACCTCCCAGGTTCAAGGGATTCTCCTGCCTCAGCCTCCCGAGTAGCTGGGATTACAGGCATGTGCCACCATGCCCAGCTAATTTTTGTATTTTTAGTAGACATGGGGTTTCACCATGTTGGTCAGGCTGGTCTCGAACTCCTGACCTCAGGTGATCCACCCACCTCGGCCTCCCAAAGTGTTCGGATTACAGGTGCCTGCCGCCACACCCAGCTAATTTTTGTATTCTTAGTAGAGACCATGTTTCGACATGTGGGCCAGGCTGGTCTCTAATCCTGACCTCAGGTGATCCACCCGCCTCGGCCTCCCAAAATGCTGGGATTACAGGCGTGAGCCGCTGCACCTGGTAGGCAGCGCCAAACTTTTTATAGATATGACCTCCCTTTCCTCATGACCACCTGCTGAGATACTACAAGCTTTATTTTATAAATGGGAATCCCTGGGGTGCGGTGGCTCATGCCTGTAATCCCAGCACTTTGAGAGGCTGAGGCAAGATGATTGCTTGAAGCCAGGAGTTCAAGACCAGCCTGGGCAACATGACAAGACCCTGTTTCTACAAAAATAAAAATAAATAAATTAAAATTTTAAAGTTAGCCAGATGTGGTGGTACATACCTGTAGTCCCAGCTACTTGGGAGGCTGAGGTGGGAGGATCGCTTGAGCCCAGGAGTTCGAGGCTGTAGTGAGCTGCGATTGCACCACTGCACTCCAGCCTGTGCGACAGAGCAAGACTCCATCTCAAAAAAAAATTATCAAAAAAATGTATATATATATAAATGGAAACCCCAAGCTCAGTAGGGGAAACCACAAGGTCACAGTAAGAGGACAGTAAGAGTCTGGGCTGGTGCTTGAACCCTGGTTAGTCTAACAGCACCATTCCAATTCTGTGAGGGACCCCATCTTACGTTTCTTTAGCATTCTTCACTCAGTTGTTCTGTGACAGCATGCTGAGTGACTTGGGTGTGACCTGTCTCTTGCTACTTCCTAGTTGGGGTTTGAAGAAGTCTCAGAGCTGCAGGGGGACCCCGGCTACCCACTCGGGCGGTTTGGAGAAGCCATCACTGCTCTGACAGACATCAACGGCGATGGGCTGGTAGACGTGGCTGTGGGGGCCCCTCTGGAGGAGCAGGGGGCTGTGTACATCTTCAATGGGAGGCACGGGGGGCTTAGTCCCCAGCCAAGTCAGGTGACGTATGCTGCCTGCCAATCACACTCCATTCTCAGGTGCCCTAAGCCCCCAAGCCCAGACCCCACTCCCCAGCCCGATCCTTCCCTCCCTCCAACCTACCTCTCCTCAGCTTAGTGGCAATTTCTTTCTTGCTCTCAGCGGATAGAAGGGACCCAAGTGCTCTCAGGAATTCAGTGGTTTGGACGCTCCATCCATGGGGTGAAGGACCTTGAAGGGGATGGCTTGGCAGATGTGGCTGTGGGGGCTGAGAGCCAGATGATCGTGCTGAGGTGAGATGGGTCTCCCAGGTCACACCTGATGACCCCAGCTCTTATCCTGTTTTGTTTATATTTTATTTTATTTATTTATTTTGGTTTTTTTTAGAGACAGGGTCTCTCTTTGTTGCTCAGGCTGGAGTGCAGTGGCATGATCATAACTCACTGCAGCCTCGAACTGCTGGGCTTAAGTGATCCTCCCACCTCAGCCTCTCGGGTAGCTGAGACTACAGGTGCTCGCCACCACACCTGGCTAATTTTTTTTTTTTTTTTGGTAGCAATGGGGACTTACTTTGTTGCCCCAGCTGGTCTCAAACTCCTGGTCTCAAACTATGCTTTCTCCTCAGCCTCCCAGAGTGCTGGAGTTACAGGCAGGAGCCACTATGCATGGCCTAATTTTTATTTTTTTTAATATATGGTCTTCCAGGCCAGGCACAGTGGCTCACACCTGTAATCCCAGAGACAGCTTACATATTGGAAAACATATAATTAAAAATTAGCAGGGTGTGGCAGCTGGGCACGGTGGCTCACACCTCTAATCCCAGCACTTCGGAAGTCCGAGGCGGGCGGATCACGAGGTCAGGAGATGGAGACCATCCTGGCTAACACGGTGAAACCCTGTCTCTACTAAAAATACAAAAATTAGCCAGGCGTGGTGGCGGGTGCCTGTAGTCGCAGCTACTCGGGAGGCTGAGGCAGGAGAATGGCGTGAACCCAGGAGGCGGAGCTTGCAGTGAGCCGAGATCGCGCCCCTGCACTCCAGCCTGGGTGACAGAGTGAGACTCCGCCTCAAAAAAAAAAAAAGATTAACAGGGTGTGGTGGCTCATGTGGGTAATCCCAGCACTTTGAGAGGCTGTGGCAGGAAGATTACTTGAGCTCAAGAGTTTGAGACCAGCCTGGGCAACACAGTGGGACACCATCTGTACTTTTTTTTTTTCTTTTGAGAGAGAGTCTTGCACTGTTGCCCAGGCCAGAGTGCAGTGGTGCGATCTTGGCTCACTGTAACCTCCACCTCCTGGGTTCAAGCGATTCTCCTGCATCAGCCTCCCAAGTAGCTGGGATCACAGGCATGCACCACCATGCCCTGCTAATTTTTTTGTATTTTTAGTAGAGACGGGGTTTCGCCATGTTGGCCAGGCTGGTTTTGAACTCCTGACCTCAAGGGATCCGCCCGTCTCGGCCTCCCAAAGTGCTAGGATTACAGAGTGAGCCACCGTGCCCAGCCCTTTTCTTTTTTTTTTTTAATTGGCCAGGTATGGTGGTGCATGACTGTAGGCCCAGCTACTTGGGAGGCTAAGGCAGGAGGATGACTTGAGCCTGGGAGGTCGAGGTTGCAGTGAGCTGTGATCATGCCACTGTACTCCAGCCTGAGCTACAGAGTGAGATCCTACCACAAAAAAATAATAAATAGGCCGGATGCAATGACTCATGCCTGTAATCCAGCACTTTGGGAGGCCGAGGTGGGTGGATCATTTGAGGTCAGGTGGACGTGGTTGTGGGGGCCCCTCTGGAGGAGCAGGGGGCTGTATACATCTTCAATGGGAGGCACGGGGGGCTTAGTCAGGAGTTCAAGACCAGCCTGGCCAACCTGTTGAAACCCCATCTCTACTAAAAATACAAAAATTAGCTGGGCATGGTGGCATGCGCCTGTAATCCCAGCTACTCGGGAGGCTGAGGCAGGAGAATTGCTTGAGCCCAAGAGGAGGATCTCAAAAAAAAAAAAAAAAATAGGAGCCAGGCACTGGGGCTCACTCCCGTAATCCCAGCTACACAGGAGTCTGAGACAAGAGGATCGCTGGAGGCCAGGAGTGTGAGGATGCAGTGAGCTATGACTGCACCACTGCACTCCAGCCTGAGCAACAAAGCGAGGCTCTAACAACAACAAAAGCTGCAACTTTATTATGAAGCATAATAAAATTCATGCAAGCATCACTGAAGGCTTAAACATAAGCATGAAAGTAACTCAGTATGATTTCTCTTCCTAAGAGCTTTCTCTTCTTCATGGAAAATGGGTCAGAGGCTGCTAGAATGAACTGGGAGCCCTAATTAGTTATCACCATTATTGGCCAGGCATGGTGGCTCATGCCTATAATCCCAGCACTTTGGGAGCCCAAGCCGGGAGGATTGCTTGAGCTCAGGAGTTCAAGACCACCCTGGACAACATAGGAAGGTCCCTTCTCTACAAAAATTTATTTAAAGTTAGCCAGGTGTGGTGGCACATGCCTGTGGTCCCAGATCCTTGGGAGGCTGAGGTGGGAGGATTACTAGAGCCTGGGAGGCCGAGGCTGTAGTGAGCTGTTATCATGCCACTGCACTCCAGCCTGGGCAACAGGGTGAGACCCTCTCTCAAAATAAATAAATAAAAAGTATCATTATTATTTTCCTTAAGAGGAGACAGTGACATGTTGAGGTCTGCTTTAGGGAAGGAGAGTTCTCTGGCTTTGCTGGCGGGAGCCCCACATCTGAGGGGGGACGTGCAGTTGGGTTGGAGGGAGAGAGTTGGTTGCCTTCTGCCCTGCAGCTCCCGGCCCGTGGTGGATATGGTCACCCTGATGTCCTTCTCTCCAGCTGAGATCCCAGTGCATGAAGTGGAGTGCTCCTATTCAACCAGTAACAAGATGAAAGAAGGAGTTAATATCACAATCTGTTTCCAGATCAAGTCTCTCATCCCCCAGTTCCAAGGTCAGAGCTCTCCTCCTGCTCCCAGGGCAGCTGCCGCCCCAAATCCAGGCTTATGGCCTGGGATCCCCCACCATTTAACTCTTGCCTTTTCCGCCCTGCCCAGGCCGCCTGGTTGCCAATCTCACTTACACTCTGCAGCTGGATGGCCACCGGACCAGAAGACGGGGGTTGTTCCCAGGAGGGAGACATGAACTCAGAAGGAATATAGCTGTCACCACCAGCATGTCATGCACTGACTTCTCATTTCATTTCCCGGTAAGGGAGCCAGCGCCAATGCTCTGGGATGAGCTACCTGCAGGGGCAGGCTCAGCTCCGTCACTGTCCAGTGGGTGACACGTCACTTCCATCCCTCTGTGCTGTCACTTCCTCTCCTGTGCAATGGTAGTAATAACACCCTTAGCATATTTTCTTCTAGTGTTTTTTTTAAATTATATATATATGTGTATATATATGTATATATATGTGTATATATATATATGTATATATATATATATATATATTTTTTTTTTTTTGACACAGAGTCTCGCTCTGTCACCCAGGCTGTAGTGCAGTGGCACGGTCTCACTTACTACAGCACGATCTCGGCTCATGGCCACCTCCACCTCCTGGGTTCAAGCAATTCTCCTGCCTCAGTCTCCCGAGTACCTGGGATTACAGGCACCTGCCACTATGCCTAGCTAATTTTTGTATTTTTGGGAGAGATAGGGTTTCACCATGTTAGTCAGGCTGGTCTCGAACTCCTGACCTCTGGTGATCTGCCTGCATTGGCCTCCCAAAGTGCTGGGATTACAGGCATGAGCCATCGCTCCTGGCCTATTTTATATTATTTATTTATTTATTTATTTATTTATTTATTTATTTATTTATTTGAGACAGAGTCTCGCTCTATCACCCAGGCTGGAGTGCAGTGGCATGATCTCGGCTCACTACAGCCTCTGCCTCCCGGGTTCAAGCGATTCTCCTGCCTCAGCCTCCCGAGTAGCTGGGATTACAGGTGCATGCCACCATGCCCAACTAATTTTTATATTTTTAGTAGAGTTGGGGTTTCACCATGTTGGCCAGGCTGGTCTCGAACTCCTGACCTCAGGTGATCCTCCTACCTCGGCCTCCCAAAGTGCTGGGATTGCAGGCATGAGCCACTGCCCCCGGCCATATTTTATATTTTTAGAGATGGGGGTCTTACTTTGTTGCCCAGGCTGGACTCTAACTTCTGGCCTCAAGAGGTTCTCTTGCCTCAGCTTCCTGAGTAGCAGGGACTACAAGTGCACACCACTGTGCCTGGCTGCTTCTAGGTTTTTAATTTTTTTAATTTTTTATTAAAAAAATTTTTTTAGAGACAGGGCCTTGCTCTATCGTCCAGGCTGGAGTGGAGTGATGCAATCATGGCTCACTGTAGCCTCCAACTTCTGGGCTCAAATGATCCTCCCACCTCAGCCTCCCGAGTAGCTAGGACTACAGGCATGCACCACCACATCTGGATAATTTTTAAAAATGTTTTTGTAGGCCAAGCGCGGTGGCTCAGCACTTTGGGAGGCCAAGGTGGGTGGATCACCTGAGGTCAGGAGTTCGAGACCAGCCTGGCCAACATGGTGAAACCCCATCTCTACTAAAAATACAAAATTAGCTGCGTGTGTTGGCACATGCCTGTGATCCCAGCTACTTGGGAGGCTGAGGCAGGAGAATTGCTTGAACCCAGGAGGCAGAGGTTGCAGTGAGCCAAGATCGTGCCATTGCACTCCAGCCTGGGCAACAAGAGTGAAACTCCATCTCAAAAAAAAAAAAAATAGTTTTTGTAGAGACAAGGTCTTGCTGTGTTGCCCAGGCTGGTCTAAAACCCTTGGCATCAAGTAATCCTCTTACCTTGGCCTCCAAAAGTGCTGGGATTACGGGCATGAGCCACCGTGCCCAGCAGCTTCTACTTTTTAATATATTTATGGGCATTTTTAACATGATTACAATGGCAATGTAGTTACTATTTTTCCCTACTCTTTTCATACATTATATATTAATGCTGCTACACAGCTTTCATAATTTTTAATTATGAAATATTAAAATGTTTGGCTGGGCACGGTGGTTCATACCTGTAATCCCAGCACTTTGGGATGCCGAGGTGGGCAGATCACCTGAGATTGGCAGTCCAAGACCAGCCTGGCCAACATGGAGAAACCCCATCTCTACTAAAAATGTACAAAATTAGCTGGGCGTGGTGGCCCATGCCTGTAATTCCAGCTACTTGGGAGGCTGCGGCAGGAAAATCACTTGAACCCAGGAGATGGAGGTTGCAGTGAGCCGAGATCGTGCCATTGCACTCCAGCCTGAGCAACAAGAGTGAAACTCCATCTCAAAAAAAAAAAAAAAAATTAAAATATTTAATTTTTACAGAATATTCAATCATCATGGTATGTTGTTATTTGCCAGGTACATATCATGCATCCCAGAAAAACTTAGGGATTTTTTAAAGTTTTTAAATTAAGTCTCATGTATGGTACATGGAAAAAAAAAGTTTTTAAAAAAGTTAAAACAGGCCAGGCACGGTGGCTCATGCCAGCACTTTGAGAGGCTGAAGTAGGTGGATTGCTTGAGCTTAGGAGTTCAACACCAGCCTGGGCAACATAGCGAGACCCCTTCTCTACAAAAAACACCAAAAAATTAGCCAGCCTTGGTGGAGCGCACCTGTAGTCCCAGCTACCTGGGAGGCTGAAGCAGGAGGATTGCTTGAACCCAGGAGGTGGAGGTTGCAATGAGCTGTGATTGTGCCACTGCACTCCAGCCTGGGCAACAGAATGAGACTCTGTCTCCAAAACAATAAAGTTTGAACAACTGTTGAAATACCCAGATTCAGTTGCTTATAAGCAATCCTGTATAAAAATGGGATTAATATGGCCGGGCGCGGTGGCTCACGCCTCTAATCCCAGCACTTTGGGAGGCCAAGGTGGGCGGATCACGAGGTGAGGAGATTGAGACCATCCTGGCTAACACGGTGAAACCCCGTCTCTACTAAAAATACAAAAAATTAGCTGGGCGTGGTGGTGGGGGCCTGTAGTCCCAGCTACTTGGGAGGCTGAGGCAGGAGAATGGCATGAACCCGGGAGGCGGAGCTTGCAGTGAGCCGAGATCGCGCCCCTGCACTCCAGCCTGGGCGACAGAGCAAGACTCCATCTCAAAAAAAAAAAAAAAAAAAAAAAAGGATTGATATCAAATTGTTATGTTCTCTTAAATATTTCATAAAAGGCCAGGCATGGTGGCTCATGCCAGTAATCCCAGCACTTTGGGAGACTGAGGTGGGCGGATCACTTGAGGTCAGGAGTTCAGGACCAGCCTGGTCAACATGGTGAAAACCCATCTCTACTAAAAATGCAAAAAATTAGCCAGGTGTGGTGGCAGGCGCCTGTAATCCCAGCTACTCAGGAGGCTGAGGCAGGAGAATCATTTGAACCCAGGAGGCGGAGGTTGCAGTGAGCTGAGATTGTGCCATTGCATTCCAGCCTGGGCAATGATAGTGAAACTCCATCTCAAAAAAAAAAAAAAATTCATATAAGACAGTATAGGATTGGGACATAAGAATTTGAAGTTTGTTTTAAACTTTTTTTTTTTTTTGAGATGGAGTCTCACTGTGTTGCCCAGGCTAGAATGCATTGTTATGATCTGGGCCCACTGCAGCCTCTGCCCTCCTGGGTTCAAGTAATTCTCCCACCACATCCTACCAAGTAGCTGGGATTACAGGTGAACACCACCATGCCTGGCTAATTTTTGTATTTGTGATAGAGATGGGTTTTCACCATGTTGGCCAGGCTGGTCTCAAACTCCTGACCTCAGGTGATCCACCCACCTCGGCATCCCAAAGTGCTGGGATTACAGGTGTAAGCCACTGCACCCAGCCTGTTTTAAACTTTTTATTATGAGAATATGAATCACACAAAACTAGAAAAAAAATAGTTTAATGAATCCCCAGGTCCTCATCACCCAGTTTCAACAATTATCGACTCACCCTCTATTTCATTCAAACCTCTACTCAGTGCCCCTCTGCCTACTCCCATTCCACCTCTTATAAGATTTAGACATTTTAAACATAAATTTGCCAGAAAAGAAAGCAGTGTGACATGGTGGAAAGATCCTGGACTTTGGATTTGGACAGATTTGGGTTCAAATCTTGACTGTCACTCCAAGCTCTTAGGACAACTGTGCCACCTTTTTAGTTTTCATTTTCTTTTTTTTTTTTTCTTTTCTAGAGGGGGACAGAAGGAGGGAGGATGAAAGAGAAAGAGAAAGAAAGGAGGGAAGGAAGGAAGGACAACGGAGGAAGGAAGGAAGGGAGGGAGGGAGGGAGGCAGGCAAGGAGGGAGGGAGGGAAAAGAAGAAAGAAAAAAAGAAAAGAAAGAAGGAGAGAAGGAAGGAAAAGAGAAGAAAGAAAAGGAAGGAAGGGAGAGCTCATTTTCCTTATTTTAAATGTTGGGGTAATAATACCTACCTCTTAGGGCTAGTAGAACCTTCAGGTGAAAAACAATTTGAGTACCTACAAAATGCCAGTGTCAGGCATTGGTAATAGCAAATGACTAAGACCCAGCCCTATTCTCAAGGAACAAAATTCTAGAACTAGGATATTCTAGTTATTCTGAAATTTTCTTAAGCAAACTTTGATAATGGCTGCCTAGGTCAAAATTCAGGGGCTTCAGTTAGGACACAGTGGGGGAAAAGTGCTGGGATTGATTAGTGATGTCTGCTGGGGAACCGGGGCTCAGGGATGATAACTGTGCTGAGAAGCCCCCTGGGTGTGCTGTACACACCTGCTATGTAGTCAATGGATTTTCAATACTGGTAGGGTCTTAGACAAAGAACTACCAGAATTTCATCACTTGTAAAATGCTGACAAGGTATACATCTAATCGGAAGTGCGGTAAAAGTTAGATTCATGACATAGGCTGTATTCTTATCACCCTCAGGTATGTGTTCAAGACCTCATCTCCCCCATCAATGTTTCCCTGAATTTCTCTCTTTGGGAGGAGGAAGGGACACCGAGGGACCAAAGGGCGGTAAGAAGAGATGGCTAGGGATGGTGGGGAGTTTATCAGAGAAATCCATTTGGCAAGAAGAGCCGCCCATGGCCGGGCAGCACACTCCTATAATCCCAGCACTTTGGGAGGCTGAAGTGGGTGGATCACTTAAGGTCAGGGGTTCAGGACCAGCCTGGCCAACATGGTGAAACCCCATCTCTACTAAAAATACAAAGATTAGTCGGGTGTGATGGTGCACTTGAGGCCAGGAGTTTGAGACCAGCCTGGGCAACATAGTGGGACTCCCTTTCTACAAAACATAAAAAATTAGTTATTGTGATGGTGCGCCCCTGTAGTCCCAGCTACTTGGGAGGCTGAGCAGGGAGGATCACTTGAGCCAGAGGGTTGAGGCTGCAGTGAGCTATTGAGCTATGATTGCACCACTGCCCTCCAGCCTAGGCAACAGCACGAAACCCTGTCTCTAAAGAAGAAAAAAAAAAAAAAGAGCCGGCCGGGTGTTGTGGCTCACACCTGTAATCCCAGCACTTTGGAAGGCTGAGGGGGGTGGATTGCTTGAGACCAGGAGTTCGAGACCAGTGTGCCAACATGGCGAAAACCCATCTCTACTAAAAATATTTTTAAAAAATTAGCCAGGCGTGGTGGTAGATGCCTGTAATCCCAGCTACTCAGGAGGCTGAGGCATAAGAATCGCTTGAACCCAGGAGGCAGAGGTTGCAGTGAGCAGAGATTGTGCCACTGCACTCCAGCCTGGGCAACAGAGTAAGACAGTCTTAAAAAAAAAAAAAAAAAAGAGCTGCCAGCAGAGTAAGACTGCACAAATGGCAGTAGGCTGAGGCAGCAGAGTGGGGCAGCCCTGGAAAGGCAGCTGGCTCCTGGGCAGGGCCAACCACAGCCAGCCCAGTTGAGCTAAGCCCCTGCCCCTCCAGCTCTCCTTCATGAGGTCTGCTGCCTCAGTTAATCTCTCCTCTCTCCATCCTGCCCACTACCCCTCGCTCAGCAGGGCAAGGACATACCGCCCATCCTGAGACCCTCCCTGCACTCGGAAACCTGGGAGGTAAGAGGGGAGAAGGGGCAGGCAGAGAGGCCTGGGAACAAGTCCCTCCTGATCTGAGCCTGTTACTCCTTTCTTCTTGGTGTTTCAGATCCCTTTTGAGAAGAACTGTGGGGAGGACAAGAAGTGTGAGGCAAACTTGAGAGTGTCCTTCTCTCCTGCAAGGTCAGTAAGGCCTCCCACCCTCCAGCCTCCCATCCACTCTGTTTTAAGACCCCCCACTCCACTCACCAGATATGTCATTTGCAGACACCACTTCCCTCTCTTGGGCCTTAGTTTCCTTTTCTGAGAAATTTGAGGCTGAACTCAGGGGCTCATGCCTATAATCCCAGCACTTCAGGAGGCCAACCAAAGGGGGAAGATTCGTTAAGGCCAAGAGTTCAAGACCAGCTATGGGAAACATAGCAAGACCCTGTCACTAAAAAAAAATTTAAAAATTAGCTGGGCACGGTGGCTCATGCCTGTATTCCCAGCTACTTGGGAGATTGAGGCAGAGGATGGCTTGAGCCAGGAGTTTGAGGCTGCAGTAAGCACCACTGCACCCCAGCCTGGGTGACAGAGCAAGACTCTATCTCTAAAAAATAAAAAGCAAATAAAATAAAAAGCAAATCCCTCATGGAACTCCTATCAGTCATCAGTAAATGAGATTGCAAGAATTGTAAAACTGAAAGTCTGAGCATGGCCTGGCGCGGTGGCTCACGCCTATAATCCCAGCACTTTGGGAGGCCAAGGCGGGCAGATCACCTGAGGTCAGGAGCTCGAGGCCAGCCTGGCCAACATGGTGAAACCCTGTCTCTACTGAAAATACAAAACTTAGCCAGGCATGGTGGCACGTGCCTGTAATCCCAGCTATTTGGGAGGCTGAGGCAGGAGAATTGCTTGAATTCTGGAGGTGGAGGTTGCAGTAAGCCGAGACTGTGCCATTGCACTCCAGTCTGGGCTACAGAGTGAGATTCTGTCTCAATAAAAAAAAAAAAAAAAGCCGGGGGCGGTGGCCTGTAATCCCAGCACTTTGGGAGGCCGAGGCGGGCGGATCACGAGGTCAGGAGATTGAGACCATCCTGGCTAACACAGTGAAACCCCGTCTCTACTTAAAATACAAAAAAAAAAAATTAGCCGGGCATGGTGGTGGGCGCCCGTAGTCCCAGCTACTCGGGAGGTTGAGGCAGGAGAATGGCGTGAACCCGGGAGGCGGAGCTTGCAGTGAGCCAAGATCGCGCCACTGCACTCCAGCCTGGGTGACAGAGTGAGACTCCATCTCAAAAAAAAAAAAAAAAAAAAAAAAAAAAAAAAAAAAGACTGAGCATAAAAGATGATTGGTTTTGATTTATTTCTTTCTGGCCCACCAGATCCCTCAGTTCTGATATTCCCCACCCTGATCCTCCCTCCTCCATCTTTCCCTGATCATCCCCCACAGATCCAGAGCCCTGCGTCTAACTGCTTTTGCCAGCCTCTCTGTGGAGCTGAGCCTGAGTAACTTGGAAGAAGATGCTTACTGGGTCCAGCTGGACCTGCACTTCCCCCCGGGACTCTCCTTCCGCAAGGTGGAGATGCTGAAGGTGGGTGAGAGGACAGCGCCTGCCTGCGGGCATCTGTTCGGCAGACACTGCCCCCTTCTTTGAGCCCCAGGCAGCCAGGACAGCCTGAACACATGGGCAGCTGCGGGTGGACAGGGGTCTTAGGGTCATATCTGGGTTCCCAGCCTCGAGCTGTATGATCCGAGGTACCAGGTTTACCCTCTCAGGCTGGGTGCGGTGGCTCACAACTGTAATCCCAACACTTTGGGAGGCCAAGGCGGGCAGATCACCTGAGGTCGGGAGCTCGAGACCAGCCTGGCCAACATGGTGAAACCCTGTCTCTACTAAAAAAATACAAAAATGGGCCGGGCGTGGTGGCTCACGCCTGTAATCCCAGCACCTTGGGAGGCCGAGGCGGGCGGATCACGAGGTCAGGAGATCGAGACCATCCTGGCTAACACGGTGAAACCCCGTCTCTACTAAAAATACAAAAAATTAGCCGGGCGAGGTGGCGGGCGCCTGTAGTCCCAGCTACTCGGGAGGCTGAGGCAGGAGAATGGCATGAACCCCAGGGGGCGGAGCCTGCAGCGAGCCGAGATCGCGCCACTGCACTCCAACCTGGGCGACAGCGAAACTCCGTCTCAAAAAAAAAACAAAAAAAAAAACAAAAAAAAAACCCACAAAAATTATCCAGGCGAGGTGGTGTGCGGCTGTAATCCCAGCTACTAGGGAGGCTGAGGCAGGAGAATCGTTTGAATCTGTAAGGCAGAGGCTACTGTGAGTCAAGATTGTGCCACTGCACTCCAGCCTGGGTGATAGAGCAAGACTCCATCTCAAAAAAAAAAAAATTTAAATAGAGAGAGGGTCTCACTATGTTCCCCAGGCTAGTCTCAAACTTCTGAGCTCAAGCGATCTGCCTACCTCAGCCTCCCAAAGTGCTAGGATTACAGGTGTGAACAAGTGTGCCCGGCCAAATTTCCTTCCTTTTTAAGGTTGAATAATATTCCATTTTATGCATAGACCATATTTTACCTATTTATCTGTCAATGAACACTTGAATTATTCTTTTTATTTTTTTATTTTCTTTAAATTTATTTATTTATTTATTTTCTGAGACGGGGTCTCGCTCTGTCACCCAGGCTGGAGTGCAGTGGCGCGATCTCGGCTCACTGCAAACTCCACCTCCCGGGTTCACGCCATTCTCCTGCCTCAGCCTCCCGAGTAGCCGGGACTACAGGCGCCCACCACCACGCCCAGCTAATTTTTTGTATTTTTAGTAGAGACGGGGTTTCACTGTGTTAGCCAGGATGGTCTCGATCTCCTGACCTCATGATCCACCCGCCTCAGCCTCCCACAGTGCTGGGATTACAGGCGTGGGCCACCACGCCCGGCCTATTTTTTTTTTTTTTTTTTTTTGAGACGAAGTCTTGCTCTTGTCCCCCAGGCTAAAGTGCAATGGCGCAATCTCGGCTCACTGCAACCTCCGCCTCCCAGGTTCAAGTGATTCTCCTGCCTCAGCCTCCCGAGTAGCTGGGATACAGGCGCCTGCCACCACACCCAGCTAATTTTTATATTTTTAGTAGAGATGGGGTTTCACCATGTTGGCCAGGCTGGTCTTGAACTCCTGTCCTCAGGTGATCTACCCGCCTTGGCCTCCCAAAGTGCTGGGATTACAGGCGTGAGCCACTGCACCCAACCGAATTATTCTTATACAGCAACATTAAATGTTTCTTTGCTGGATGTGGTGGTGCGCACCTGCAATTCCAGCTACCTTGGGGGCTGAGGTGGAGAAGTGCTTAAGCCCGAGAGTTCGAGGCCGCTGTGAGCTATGATCATGCCAATGCACTCTAGCCTGGGCAACAGAACAATACTCTGTCTCTACACAAAATTAAATAATTAGCCAGGTGTGGTGGGGTGTGCCTGTAGTCCTGCTACTCAGGAGGCTGAGGTGGGTGGATCGCTGGAGTCCAGGAGTTTGAGGCTGCAGTGAGCTATGATTACAACATTGCCCTCCAGCTTGGGCGACAGAGCGAGACCTTGTCTCAGGAAAAACAAAAAACAAAAAACAAAAAAAAAACTGGGCTGGGTGTGGCGGTTCACGCCTGTAATCCCAGTACTTTGGGAGGCTGAGGTGGGCAGATCATCTGAGGTCATGAGTTCAAAACCAGACGGGGCAACATGGTGAAACCCCATCTCTACTAAAAATACAAAAATTAGCTGGGTGTGGTAGCATGTGCCTGTAATCCCAGCTGCTTGGGAGGCTGAGGCAGGAGAATCACTTGAACCCAGGAGGTGGAGGTTCAGTGAGCCAAGATCACTCTACTGCACTCTAGCCTGGGTGACAACAGCAAGACTCCATCTCAAAAAAAAAAAAAAAAGAGAGAGAGAGAGAGAAAATAACTGGAGTCAAACAGTTCTGTGTTCAAGTTCTTACGGATCCCTACTGTTACCCAGTTATGACACCTTGGGAAAGTCCCTTAGCCTCCCTGAACCTGTATTTCCTTATCTGTTTCCTTCCCAGTCTGAGACTGAAATCTGTCCTTTACAAAATTGGGATGAAGATGAATGGTTTAATAATGCTTAGCCCAGGATCAGGCTCATTTTTTAAATGGTTACTGAATGTATAGAGGTAGTGGCATTTTAAAAACTTCACGATAGTCTCTTCTTTGATTGTACCACACTTTACTGAGCCGTTGTTATCTCTTTGACCTGTTTGAGCACTTCCAGTTTTTCAGTATTATAAATAGTGTTGCAATTACCCCCCTACACCCAACTTTTATTTTTGAGATAAGGTCTCACTCTGTTGCCCAGGCTAAAGTATAGTGGCATAAGCATGGCCCACTGCAGCCTCAAA
The DNA here is from genome assembly GCF_000001405.40 of Homo sapiens. NCBI lineage: Eukaryota > Metazoa > Chordata > Mammalia > Primates > Hominidae > Homo > Homo sapiens. The sequence continues at coordinate 30,509,669 of NC_000016.10, forward strand.
CTCCTGGGCTCAAGTGATTCTCCTGCCTAATAGCTGGGACAACAGGCACGCCCCACTATGCTCAGCTCATTTTAAAAAATTTTTTGTAGGCCAGGTACAGAGGCTTACACTTATAATCCCAGCACATTGGTAGGCTGAGGCAGGCAGATCTCTTGAGCCCAGGAGTTCAAGAGCAGCCTGAGTGACATACACAGGCTCCATCTCTACTAAAAATACAAAAATTAGCTGGACATGGTGGCACATCCCTGTAGTCCCAGCTACTCGGGAGGCTGAGGCAGGAGGATCGCTTGAGCCTGCGAGTCAGAGGTTGCAGTGACCCGAGATCGCACCATTGCACTCTAGCCTGGGCAACAGAGTAAGATCCTATATTTAAAAAAAAAAAAAATTTTTTTTAATAGAGATGGGGTCTCACTCTTGCCCAGGCTGATCTCGAACTCCTGGCCTTAAGTAATCCTCCCACCTCAGCCTCCCTGAGTGCTGGGATTTCAAGTGTGAGCTACCTTACCCAGCCTTCCAGTGACTATTTTGTACTAAGCCTCTGTCTGCAGCCCTGATTCTTGGGCCCTTTCCCGCTGAGAAGGTTCCATGACAGGGACAGAGCCCCTGGGGGAGGTAGGCCAGGAGGGCTGGTGGCCTCTGGGGGAAACTTGGCCTTGCTCATTAACAAACTTGTTTCCTCCTTTCACTCCCAGCCCCATAGCCAGATACCTGTGAGCTGCGAGGAGCTTCCTGAAGAGTCCAGGCTTCTGTCCAGGGCATTATCTTGCAATGTGAGCTCTCCCATCTTCAAAGCAGGCCACTCGGTGAGTGCTTCAAGTCTCCAGGGACCAAGCAGCCTAGGGGCCCTGAGCTGGTGGAGGGCAGGGAGCTCTTGGCTCAGGAGAAGGGAGCAGGTGATTGTCAAGAAGGGTGTACCTTGCCCCTACCTAAGAGAAATGTATGTGAATCTGTTCTGTGTCATGTTTGAGAGCCTGGACTTTAGAATCAGGCAAAGCTGGGATTGGGTTATTCATTTTGTGACCTTATAGACATAACTTAACCGTCTGGAGCCTTGGTTGCCTCATCTTTGCAATGGGTAGAATCCTAGCTCAGTGCTTGGGGTGCAGTGAGCACTTGATAAGGGGTCCCTGAGATGATGGTGATTAGATGTGGGGGCCATGAGGCTGCTCCTCATGACCCTTCCATTTCCATTGCCCTCTCCTTTCCTGCCAGGTTGCTCTGCAGATGATGTTTAATACACTGGTAAACAGCTCCTGGGGGGACTCGGTTGAATTGCACGCCAATGTGACCTGGTGAGCAGGCCCCGCCCACATCCCTGCCATGGTCTCAGACCTGGCCAAGCCCTTCTCCTAACACTGGCCTCTTCCTTGCCCCAATGCAGTAACAATGAGGACTCAGACCTCCTGGAGGACAACTCAGCCACTACCATCATCCCCATCCTGTACCCCATCAACATCCTCATCCAGGAGTAAGTTCTTCCCAGCAGACAGCCAACCCTCTCCTCCCACCGCAGCCTCCCAACCCAGGGCCCCGACTTTGCTCCTGGGGCTCTCCTTCTGAACCTCCTTCCTTTCTTAGAGCCCCTTGGGGTAATTAGAACTGATTCCAGCCACAACCCCAAAAGTTTTCAACATTCCAAAATGTGAGGGCCATGGAAGAGCTCAGGGAAGGATTAGCATTTACTGATGGAAGAAAAAGCTCATTGAACACTAATTTTATGTCAGACTGAGGGCCAGCTGCACTGCGCAGTTGCTGACATTGCCTGGAGCCCTCAGCACCTCTGTGAGGCAGCTGTGCCGCTCTCCATTTTACCAATGAACAAGCTGAGGCTCAGAGAAGGCCGGCACTTACCCAAGGTCCAATAGCTGGAAGTACTAAAGCCAGGGTCTGAGCTTCAGCCTGTCTGACTCCAAAGGCCCAGCCAAGCTCCTGACTGTTTCAGTCACCCTAGATTCTCTCCCCTCCTGGGGGCCGATAATGCCAGGAGAGATAGGAGAAAAGTTATCACAATACCCCTTGCCCTCAGGGAGCTTACAGTCAAGTGGGAGAGCCCAAACTCATGCACACACAGAGTCAGTGACTCTCAGAACACAGTAGCAGGAAGGAACCATGGGGATCGCTAGTTGGGTTTGTAACTGAACTCTGGTCTGGCTGCTTGTTACTTGAAAGCCAGACTTAAGAAGCAAGAGTTGGTGGGAGGAAAGGCAGGTTTATCTGGAAAGCCAGGCAATTGAGAAGACAGTGAACTAGTGTTCTAAAGGACCATCTGTAATGTTAAGGGTAGGGGGAAGAGAAAGGGGTTAAGATCAAGAGGTAACTTAGCACAGACATCTGGGCACCAGAGAGGATACAAGGAGGTTGGGAACTTCTTGGTCCTTGGTCAGGTCACAGTGCTTCTATAAATCTTTAACAAAACATAGTTAGTTGTTTACAAACGTCCCCTTTAATGCCAGACTTAGTTTTAAAAACTACATGATAGCTGTTTTTGCATGTTATCTCAGTGCTCTAAAATTATCCTAGCCTATGGGCAGGAATGGGTAAAGGCCTCTTCAACAAAAATGGAGGGAGTTATGTCCGTTTTTTGCTATTTCAAAAAAACCTGTTACAGGTCTTCTCGCTTATAGAAAAGGAAACTTGGCCAGGTGTGGTGGCTCACACCTGTAATCCTAGTAATTTGGGAGGCCAAGGTGGGTGGATCACTTGAGGTCAGTAGTTCAAGACCAGCCTGGCCAACATGGTGAAACCTTGTCTCTACTAAAAATACAAAAATTAGCTCGGCGTTGTGGCAGGCACCTATAATCCCAGCTACTCAGGAGGCTGAGGCAGGACAATTGCTTGAACCCGGGTGGAGGAGGTTGCAGTGAGCCGAGATCATGCCACTGCCCTCCAGCCTGAGTGACAGAGTGAGACCCTGTGTGAAAAAAAAAAAAAAGGAAACTCAAAATCGAGTGGCTTTTTCCAGTTGGCTCAGTTACAGAAGGACAGAGAAGGACGGGGACAGTGTCTGAGCTCAGGTCTCTAGTGCTTTTTAAATTTTTTTTATTTTTTAAGAGACAGAGTCTCGCTCTGTTGCCCAGGCTGGAGTGCAGTTGCACAATCTCGGCTCACTGCAACCTCCTCCTCCAGGGTTCAAGCAATTCTCCTGCCTCAGCCTCCCGAGTAGCTGGGACTACAGGTGCCTGCCACCATGCCCAGCTAATTTTTGTATTCTTAGTAGAGACAGGGTTTCGCCATGTTGGCCAGGCAGGTCTTAAACTCCTGAACTCAGGTGATCTACCTGCCTCAGCCTCCTGAAGTGCTGGGATTACAGGCGTAAGCCACCGCGCCTGGCCTCCAGTGCTTTTGAACATCAATGCCACACAGTATGATACTGACATGAAATTAGAGCCAGGAAAGATGAGTGTGGGTTGGGGGAGAAATGGAAGAGTTCGTGGAGAAAGTGCGGCTTGGACTGGGGTCTGGAGGATGAGGCCATTAGGGGAAGAGCTAAAAAGGAACCTAGATGTCCTCATCAGAGACCATGGCCCAGACAAAGGCAAGGAGGGAGGAAGCAGTGGGGCATACCTGGGGGACAGGGATTGGGCAGGATTAGCCAAGGGCAGGTGTGTGCAGGGGAGCAGTGAGGAGACTGCCTGGACATGGGAGGCTTTGGACCTGACCCTCCCTCGCAGTAGGGGGCCGTTGGCCAATGCTGAGCAGGTGAGTGGCAGGACTAGAGAGTGATGTTGGGAAGGTCACCCAGCAGTGTGTGTTGGAAGGATGGGTGCGAGGGGCATCAGCAGTGGATACGATTATCTAGGAGATGAGCAGGGCCCAGAGGACAGTGGAGACACTGGTGAGGTGGCGCGCAGTGGGGAGGACATAGCCTCCACTGGACACACTTCCCTGGGCTCCAGTCCTGTCTCTCCACTGTGGAGAAGCTTTGGACAAGAGGCTGGCCCTGTCCAGGAGCCTTAGTTTCTGGGAAAGAGCAGGTTGTGGTAGGGATTGAATGAGATGGTATCTGTGCCGTTCCTAGCACAGTGGCTGGGCGCTCAGAAGCTTCCTGGAGCCCGGGTTGCTGTCACTTCGTTCTTCCATCGCTGCCCTTCTCTCTCCGCAGCCAAGAAGACTCCACACTCTATGTCAGTTTCACCCCCAAAGGCCCCAAGATCCACCAAGTCAAGCACATGTACCAGGTATGAATCCCAATGTGGAAGGTCCTTATAGGTCACACATTCATTCTTTATCCCGGGGACTGAGGATGCAGGCACCAAGTAGACACAGTACTCATCCTAGCCATCCAACTGTTCAATAATCCTTTCTCTAGAGTGTCACAGCCTCCACTTACAGGCTTCCAGCAGCAGCATATGCTAACTCCTTTCTGCCACTGGATGCATTATTTCAAGAATCACAGGACTTGAGAGCAAGGAGGATGCTGAGAGAGAACCTGCTTTTTCATAACAACACTGAATGAGCTACTATTCTTTGCTCTGTTTGTTACCCAGGCTTGAGTGCAGTGGTGCAATCTCGGCTCACTGCAAACTCTGCCTCCCAAGTTCAAGCAATTCTCCTGTCTCAGCCTCCCAAGTAGCTGAGATTACAGGCATCCACCACCATGCCCAGCTAATTTTTTTTTTTTTTTTTGAGACGGAGTCTCACTCTGTCACCCAGGCTGGAGTGCAGTGGCACGGTCTCAGCTCACTGCAACCTCCGCCTCCTGAGTTCAAGCCATTCTCCTACCTCAGCCTCCCAAGTAGCTGGGATTACAGGCATGTGCCACCATGCCCGGCTAATTTTTGTATTTTTAGTAGAGATGGGGTTTTACCATGTTGGCCAGGCTGGTCTTGAACTCCTGACCTCGTGATCTTCCCCCCTCGTGGCCTCTCAAAGTGCTGGGATTACAGGCATGAGCCACCGCACCCGGCCCTATGCCCAGCTAACTTTTGTATTTTTTGTAGAGGCGGAGTTTTGCCCTGTAGGCCAGGCTGGTCTGGAACTCCTGACTTCAAGTGATCTACCCACCTCAGCCTCCCAAAGTACTAGGACTACAGGCATGAGCCACCACACCTGGCCTATTCTAAGTTAGGTATTTAGCTAGGTGCTGGCATCCTGCCCAGTCTCCAAACCCAGGTTCTGTGCCTGGTGCTTTATTTTTACCTTTTCTTTTTTCTTTTCTTTTTTTTTTTTTTTTTGAGGTAGAGTCTTGCTCTGTCACCCAGGTTGGAGTGCAGTGGCGTAATCTCAGCTCACTGCAACCTCCGCCTCCTGGATTCAAGCAATTCTCCTGCTTCAGCCTTCTGAGTAGCTGAGATTACAGGCGCCCACCACCACGCCAGGCTAATGTTTGTATTTTTAGTAGAGAGAGGGTTTCATCATGTTGGCCAGGCTGGTCTCAAACTCCTGACCTCAGGTGATCCGCCCACCTCGGCCTCCCAAAGTGCTGAGATTACAGGCGTGAGCCACTGTGCCTGGCCTGGTCTCAACATATTCTAAACCAAATTTGCTGTCTTCCCCTAAGCCAGCATCTCCTCTGGCTTGCGTGGAATCTTTTGAAAGCACCATCTCTTTCTCAAGGAAAACTTAACGTGTCTGGGTGAATTTCTCCTTCCTCCTGCTTTGTCCCACTGCCTGCTGGAGTCTGGTTGTCTGTGTCCTTTTTCTGCTACCGCCCAGACCCAATTCCTCACCTTCTTGCAACTGGACTATTGAGAGAGGCTCCCAACATGGGCCATGACCCGCCTCTCCCAGCCTCTTTCCAGCTCATGCCTGCAGGGGATGGACCTCCCTGGAGCCACTCTCTTCCTCTGCCACCTTCTGTGACTTCCCACTGCCTCCTTGATGCTGCTCCAACTCCTCACTCTCAAGCCTTCCAGGCCCCATAGTGTGATCTTGGGCTTCCTTTCCAGCCTCAGCTCCTGTTCTCCTTCCCAGGCACCCTCCTTCCAGCCACATCCCTCTCACCTGGTGCCATCCTGGCTCCCCACATGTCTCTTCTTGGATGCCCTCTCCCACCTTCATCTGTTAAAATCCTGTCCATCTGGTCAGGCGCGGTGGCTCACACCTGTAACCCCAGCACTTTGGGAGGCCCAGGTGGGCAGATCACCTGAGGTCAGGAGTTCAAGACCAGCCTGGCCAACATGATGAAACCCCATCTCTACTAAAAATACAAAAATTAGCTAGGTGTGGTGGTGTGTGCCTGTAGTCCCAGCTACTGGGGAGGCTGAGGCAGGAGAATCGCTTGAACCTGGAAGGTGAAGGTTGCAGCGAGCTGTGATCGTGCCATCGCACTCCAGCCTGGGTGACAGAGTGATATTCTGTCTAAAAAAAAAAAAAAAATCCTGTCCATCTTTCACAGTCAAATTCAAATACTGCCCCTGACATTTGGCCTTTTTAATTTAACTGGTATTTCAAGTGTCCACAAATGTTCGTTGAATGAATAAATGATAGAATCCTTCTAATTTGATACATTTCCCTGCTTCCTGAGACATTGTTAGTGCCACTTCTGTGTCACTTTCTTACACATATCTGAGTCTCCCAGCCTTAACACAGGTAGTTCTTTTTTTAATAAAAGGTGCTCAGAAATTTTTTTTTTTTTTTGAGACGGAGTCTCACTCTGTCGCCCAGGTTGGAGTGCAGTGGCATGATCTCGGCTCACTGCAACCTTCACCTCCTGGGTTTAAGTAATTCTCCTGCCTCAGCCTCCAGAGTACCCAGCACTGTAGGATTGTGCCACCACACCTGGCTAATTTTTGTATTTTTAGTAGAGACGGGGTTTCACCATCTTGGTCAGGCTGGTCTCAAACTCCTGACCTCAAGTGATCTGCCCACCTCAGCCTCCCAAAGTGCTGGGATTACAGGTGTGAGCCACCACACTAGGCACTGTGTCAAGCAGTAGGGGATTGGAGGTGGAGTAAGAATGGCTCCTGTCCTCAGGGAGTTCATGGTCTAGTGGAGATGCAGACATCCAAGCAGATCCTTTGCCGTCCTGCTGGGGACGCAGAGCACACTGTGGGAGCCCAGGAGGGGGAGCTGCCCTGTCCTTGGGGAGTCAGCGAAGCCTTCAGAGATAATATTAGAGCAGGCCCTTGCAGGGTGTGTGAGAGTGTGCTGGGCGGAGAAAGCTGGAAGAGCATGGAAGCCACACTGCAAGGCCCTGAGGACGGAAGCTGGCCATGCCCAGTCACTGGACACTGCCTAACCGACAAGGGCCCTGGGGACTCAGCCAATGAGGACTGGAAGAGGCGTGCAAGGGCACACAGGGTCTGGGGGGCAGCTGGGGTGGCTGGCATTCAGGGCTCTGCATCCCTTGTCCTCTGTGCCAGGTGAGGATCCAGCCTTCCATCCACGACCACAACATACCCACCCTGGAGGCTGTGGTTGGGGTGCCACAGCCTCCCAGCGAGGGGCCCATCACACACCAGTGGAGCGTGCAGATGGTGAGTGCTGCCTGTAGAGGGAGGGTCTACCCTCCTCAGGTCTTGGGGGTGAGTGCATTTGAGGGTACAGAGGGCAGGGCTTGGCCAGGTGCGGTGGCTCTGCCTCCCAAATCCCAGCACTTTGGGAGGCTGAAGTGGGAGAATCCATTGAGGCCAGGATTTTGAGACCAGCATGGGCAACATAGCACAACTCCAGTCTCTACAAACAAATTTTAAAATTATCCAGGCATGCATGGTGGCCCGTGCCCGTGGTCTCAGCTACTCAGGAGGCAGAGGCGGGAGGATCACTTGAACCTAGGAGTTTGAGGCTGCAGTGAGCTATGATGGCACCACTGCACTCCAGCCTCGGTGACAGAACAAGACCCTGTCTCTAACAAAGAAAAAAAAATCAAGGGGGCAAGGCTGGGTGTATGGAGAGTAAGGATGGATGAATTCAGGTCCTGCTGGACTCAGAGATGTCTGAACTCACCCAGGGCCAGGGCCAGGGCAGGGGAAAGCTGGGATGCCAGTGTCTTATCTGGGTTGGGGAGGCTCTAACTGAAGACCTGCCGCTTGTTCCTAGGAGCCTCCCGTGCCCTGCCACTATGAGGATCTGGAGAGGCTCCCGGATGCAGCTGAGGTATGGGCGTGTGAGCTGAGAGACGGTGGGGCTGGGCGGTACACGGGTCGGAATGAAGCCGCCCTGACCCCGCTTTCCTCATCCTTGTCAGCCTTGTCTCCCCGGAGCCCTGTTCCGCTGCCCTGTTGTCTTCAGGCAGGAGATCCTCGTCCAAGTGATCGGGACTCTGGAGCTGGTGGGAGAGATCGAGGTAGTCCCCGCTCCTAAGAGATGTGGAGCTGCTGTGGGGGCCCCAATGCCTGGGGCCGTTGTGGGTGGGCTCCCACCAGATAGTCTGCCTCCATTTTTGTTTTCCATCTTGATGAAAAATCCCATTTACACAGTCACAGGTGAAAGAGAACAATGATTTCTGTGATATTTGCAATGCTGTTTCCATGGGCCTATGGATAGTTCCTGTGTGTTCTTTATAGAAAAGCTTTCCTTACAACAATGGGGAGCGACATATTAGGGTGCCACAGTAGAGGCTGGGGCGGGGCTCAAGCCTATAATCCTAGCACTTCGGGAGGCTTAGGTGGGTGGATCACTTGAGGTCGGGAGTTCTAGACCAGCCTGGCCAACATGGTGAAACCCTGTCTGTACTAAAAATACAAAACTTTAGCCGGGCGTGGTGGCACATGCCTGTAATCCCAGCTACTTGAGAGGCTGAGGCATGAGAATCCCTTAAACCCGGGAGGCAGAGGTTGCAGTGAGCCAAGATGGCACCACTGCACTCCAGCCTGGGTGACAGAGCAAGACTCCATCTCAAAAAAAAAAAAAAAATAGAAAGAAAAGAATGCCACAATAGAGAGTTGTGTAGAGATGGGTGCACCCCCCTGGAACCCCTTCTCTGCCCCTCCCCACTGTGTTGTGGTGGGGGCAAAAGCCAGTGGGTTCTGTCCTCGTTCTCCCGGGTTCTGACGCCTTTCCCCGCTCCCACAGGCCTCTTCCATGTTCAGCCTCTGCAGCTCCCTCTCCATCTCCTTCAACAGCAGCAAGCATTTCCACCTCTATGGCAGCAACGCCTCCCTGGCCCAGGTATCTCCACCTCCTTGGAAGCCCCAGGAACAGGCAACAGAGGGAGCCCAGGAGCCCCAGGGCAGACCTAGATGTGGGAGAGCTCCTGGGCTCTGTGCGAGTCAGAACTTCCCACTGCCAGAGCCATCAGCCTGGGAGAAGCTTCTTCTCCCCTTGGTGGGCACACAACCCCAGAGTTGCCTGAGATGTAGTAGACTTATGTGTCGAGTAAAGTTCAATCGAGGCCGGGCGCAGTAGCTCACACCTGTAATCCTAGCACTTTGGGAGGTCAAGGTAGGCAGATCACATGAAGTGAGGAGTTCAAGACCAGCCTGGCCAACATGGTGAAACCCCATCTCTACAAAAATACAAAAATTAGCCGGGCATGATGGTGGGCGCCTGTAATCCCAGCTGTTCGGGAGGCTGAGGTGAGAGAATCACTTGAACCTGGGAGGCAGAGGTGGCAGTGAGCTGAGATCCCACCATTGCACTCCAACCTGGGCGACAGAGTGAGACTTCATCTCAAAAGGATCTGTCAGAGGCAGGCGTGGTGGTTCACGCCTGTACTCAGTGCCTCGGGAGGCTGAGATGGGAGGATCGTTTGAGCACAGGAGTTCAAGGCTGCAGTGAGCTATGATTATGCCACTACACTCCAGCCTGGGCAACACAGTGAGACCTTATCTCAAAAAAAAAAAAAATCAATCTGATGGCAGCTTAGCAAAGGAGTTACCAAGCCAAGTCAGACAGTGAAGAAAGAGCGCTCTAAGCAGAGGCAGTGGCAAGGCCAGGGGCCTCTGTGGTGAGTGTTGGCAGGGCAGGTTTGAAGAGCAGGAAGTTCAGTGTGGCTAACAGGCAGAGGGGAGGAGGGAAGCTGCATCTAACAGGTAAGCAAAAGCTGGATTCTGGACGGCTTTGAATGCTGAGCTGCGTGCGATTCCGGGGAAGCCATTGAAGGCCTAGGGCTGCCTAAGGTGTGTGTTGGCCAACTCATGGCAGCGACTGCAATAGGTGACGTGTTAAAGGGAGAGGGTCTGCAGCTGGAGACTCCAGGCGGGTGATGCAGTCCGGATAGGAGGAGATGGGGAATGGAACCAGGTTCACAGGGACTTTCAGGGGTGGAAAAGGCATTTTCCGGCACTCCCCTCCCCCTGCTCCCAGGTTGTCATGAAGGTTGACGTGGTGTATGAGAAGCAGATGCTCTACCTCTACGTGCTGAGCGGCATCGGGGGGCTGCTGCTGCTGCTGCTCATTTTCATAGTGCTGTACAAGGTGGGTGCCTCCGGGGGTCACAGGCATTGCTGAGACAGCCAGGCTGGGGAAGGGGATCTGGTGGGAGCCAGGGAGGAGAATACCAAGCCAGAGGGCATAAGAGCCAGGGGGCCTCAGAGCCAGGGGGCCTCAGCCTACTCCCTCCTTCAACAGAGAAGGCTACTGAGGTCCAAAGAACAAGCAAGGGCCAGGTGCAGTGGCTCATACCTGTAATCCCAGCACTTTGGAGGCCGAGGCAGGTGGATCACGTGAGCCTGGGAGTTCAAGACCCGCCTGGGCAACATGGAAAGCATCCGCCTCTACAAAAAATTTTAAAAATTAGGGGGACGTGATGCTACCCAACTGTAGTCCCAGCTACTCGGGAGGTTGAGGTGGGAGGATCCCTTGAGCTCAGGAGGTCAAGGCTGCAGTGAGCCATGATGATGCCACTGCGCTCCAGCCTGGGTGACAGAGCAAGACCTTGTCTCACACACACACAAACAGCAAGAGAGACTTTTCCACGGTCATTCAGCCCATCCCTGGCAGAGCCAGGACGAGGCGTCCTGGGAGAGGAAAAGGAAGTATGCCAAATGTGGAGGTCCTTTTGGCTGCTGGGCACTGTCCCAGGCACAGGGACACAGAGGCACATGCCACAAACATGCTCCCTGCCATTGTGGCGCTCACAGTCTAAGAGAGGACACAGGCAGAAGCAAGCAGAATGAGGGCTGCAAAGGGCCTGTGTGGCCTGGGGCCTAGAACCCAGGAGCCTCACTTAGGCTGTGAGGGCCTGGCAGGCCTCCCAGGAGAGGTGGCATTTGAGGTGGGATTTGAAGGCTGAGTAGACATTACAGATGAAGGCCGGGTACGGTGGCTCACACCTGTAATCCGAGCACTTTGGGAGGCAGAGGCAGGTGGATCACCTGAGGTCGCGAGTTCGAGACCAGCCTGACCAGCATGGAGAAACCCTGTCTCTACTAGAAATACAAAATTAGCTGGGCATGGTGGCGCATGCCTGTAATCCCAGCTGCTCAGGAGGCTGAGGCAGGAGAATTTCTTGAACCTGGGAGGCGGAGCTTGCGGTGAGCCAAGATGGTGCCATTGCACTCCAGCCTGGGCAACAAGAGCAAAACTCCATCTCAAAAATAAAATAAAATAAATAAAATAAAATAAAGTGTTCTCGCTGGGCTCGGGGACTCATGCCTGTAATCCCAGCACTTTGGGAGGCCAAGGAGGGCAGATCACTTGAGGTCAGGAGTTCAAGACCAGCCTGGCCAACATGGTGAAACCCTGTCTCTACTAAAAATACAAAAATTAGCCGGGCGTGGTGGCAGATGCCTGTAATCCCAGCTACTGAGGAGGCTGAGGCAAGAGAATTGCTTAAGTCTGGGAGGCAGAGGTTGCAGTGAGCCGAGATCGCACCACTGCACTCCAGCCTGGGCAACACAGTGAGACTCCATCTCAAAAAAAAAAAAAGTGTTCTCACATTTTCTTGGGGCCAAAGTGCTCAGTGAATTCTTTGCTCGTTCAAATTTTGTCTTTGTACAGGTTGGTTTCTTCAAACGGAACCTGAAGGAGAAGATGGAGGCTGGCAGAGGTGTCCCGAATGGAATCCCTGCAGAAGACTCTGAGCAGCTGGCATCTGGGCAAGAGGCTGGGGATCCCGGCTGCCTGAAGCCCCTCCATGAGAAGGACTCTGAGAGTGGTGGTGGCAAGGACTGAGTCCAGGCCTGTGAGGTGCAGAGTGCCCAGAACTGGACTCAGGATGCCCAGGGCCACTCTGCCTCTGCCTGCATTCTGCCGTGTGCCCTCGGGCGAGTCACTGCCTCTCCCTGGCCCTCAGTTTCCCTATCTCGAACATGGAACTCATTCCTGCCTGTCTCCTTTGCAGGCTCATAGGGAAGACCTGCTGAGGGACCAGCCAAGAGGGCTGCAAAAGTGAGGGCTTGTCATTACCAGACGGTTCACCAGCCTCTCTTGGTTTCCTTCCTTGGAAGAGAATGTCTGATCTAAATGTGGAGAAACTGTAGTCTCAGGACCTAGGGATGTTCTGGCCCTCACCCCTGCCCTGGGATGTCCACAGATGCCTCCACCCCCCAGAACCTGTCCTTGCACACTCCCCTGCACTGGAGTCCAGTCTCTTCTGCTGGCAGAAAGCAAATGTGACCTGTGTCACTACGTGACTGTGGCACACGCCTTGTTCTTGGCCAAAGACCAAATTCCTTGGCATGCCTTCCAGCACCCTGCAAAATGAGACCCTCGTGGCCTTCCCCAGCCTCTTCTAGAGCCGTGATGCCTCCCTGTTGAAGCTCTGGTGACACCAGCCTTTCTCCCAGGCCAGGCTCCTTCCTGTCTTCCTGCATTCACCCAGACAGCTCCCTCTGCCTGAACCTTCCATCTCGCCACCCCTCCTTCCTTGACCAGCAGATCCCAGCTCACGTCACACTTGGTTGGGTCCTCACATCTTTCACACTTCCACCAGCCTGCACTACTCCCTCAAAGCACACGTCATGTTTCTTCATCCGGCAGCCTGGATGTTTTTTCCCTGTTTAATGATTGACGTACTTAGCAGCTATCTCTCAGTGAACTGTGAGGGTAAAGGCTATACTTGTCTTGTTCACCTTGGGATGATGCCTCATGATATGTCAGGGCGTGGGACATCTAGTAGGTGCTTGACATAATTTCACTGAATTAATGACAGAGCCAGTGGGAAGATACAGAAAAAGAGGGGCTGGGCTGGGCGCGGTGGTTCACGCCTGTAATCCCAGCACTTTGGGAGGCCAAGGAGGGTGGATCACCTGAGGTCAGGAGTTAGAGGCCAGCCTGGCGAAACCCCATCTCTACTAAAAATACAAAATCCAGGCGTGGTGGCACACACCTGTAGTCCCAGCTACTCAGGAGGTTGAGGTAGGAGAATTGCTTGAACCTGGGAGGTGGAGGTTGCAGTGAGCCAAGATTGCGCCATTGCACTCCAGCCTGGGCAACACAGCGAGACTCCGTCTCAAGGAAAAAATAAAAATAAAAAGCGGGCACGGGCCCGTGACATCCCCACCCTTGGAGGCTGTCTTCTCAGGCTCTGCCCTGCCCTAGCTCCACACCCTCTCCCAGGACCCATCACGCCTGTGCAGTGGCCCCCACAGAAAGACTGAGCTCAAGGTGGGAACCACGTCTGCTAACTTGGAGCCCCAGTGCCAAGCACAGTGCCTGCATGTATTTATCCAATAAATGTGAAATTCTGTCCAGTTTTGTGGTGGTTTTGTGCTGGTGCAATATTGCAGCCCTACTCAAGTGAACATTTCTGGCTGGGCTCTGTGGCTCACAACTGTATTCTCAGCACTTTGGAAACCCAAGGCAGGAGGATCCTTTGAGGCCAGGAGTTTGAGACCAACCTGGGCAACATAGCAAACCCTGTCTCTACAAAAAATTAAAATATAAAAACTTATTTGAGCCTGGTTGCACGTACCTGTAGTCCCAGCTACTCAGGAGGCTGAGACAGAAGGATCACGTGAGCACAGGAGGTCAAGGCTGCAGTGAGCGATGGTCGCATCACTGCAATCCAGCCTGGGCCACAGAGCAAGATACTGCCTTCAAAATTAAAAAAAAAGAAAAACAGGCCAGGCGCAGTGGCTCACACCTCTAATCCCAGCACTCTGGGAGGCTGAGGCAGGCAGATCACGTGAGGTCAGGAGTTCGAGACCAGCCTGGCCAACATGGTGAAAATTAGCCAGGTGTGGTGTCGGGCGCCTGTAATCCCAGATACTTGGGAGGCTGAGGCAGGAGAATCACTTGAACCCAGGAGGCAGAGGTTGCGGTGAGTCGAGACCACACCATTGCACTCCAGCCTGGGTGACAGCGTAAGACTCCGTCTCAAAAAAAAGAAAAAAAAAAAAAGAAACAAATAGCACTTCCAGCCAGGTGCGGTGGCCTGCTGCAACACAGCAAGACCCGCTTTCTAACAGCAGCAACAGCAAAGCACTTCCCGGATAAGGCCCTAGGCTACTACTGGTGTCTCCCACTTCCCAGGGCGCTGTGCACGCACACATTTTAAGGACAAGTCTCGTTTACCACATAAAGTTTTTATTGAACTCAAACTCAGGGGCTCCAAAGCCTGAGGAAGAAGAGGGAGGCTGGGGTTTGCACGCAGAGGCCCAGGCCCCACCCCGGGGCCCCACTCCCCACCCCACCTACCTTTTACCCGCTCCTGACTCAACGAGAGTTTCAGCAGCTACCAATCTAAGCTAACCCACTCTAATTAGGTAATCCCCTGCCCTCCCCCCTCCCTGCTCTAGCAGTTGCCAAGCCAGGCACCCACCAAGGAGCCGCGGCTGAGGCCAGCCCTCCGCTGACCTCTCTCCATTTCTCCCAGGGCCTCCCGCTGCCGGCCTGGCCTCCCTCCAACCCACTTCCCACAAGTCTCCAGGGCATGTCACTTCCTCCACCCTGGTTCTCTTCTTCCAGCATCCTCAGCTCCTCCATTCTCCTGCGGCTTCTCCACTATCCTCCCTAAAGGTTCCTCTAGCTCCCTGGCCCCTTATCTTCTGCCCACACCTCCCACCCCTGCTGGGGCCCCAGGTCAGCGCCGGCCCGCCGCGTGGGTCCGCTGGTGGCGGATGAGGTCGGAGCTCTGGGAGAAGGCCTTTCCGCAGTCATCGCACTTGTAAGGCCGCTCGCCACTGTGGACCCGGTGATGCTGCAGAAGCGTGGAGGAGCGGCAGAAGCCCTTGCCGCACACGGCGCACCTGTAGGGCCGCTCGCCCGTGTGGGAGCGCTGGTGCTGGATGAGAGTGGAGGAGCGATTGAAGGTCTTGCCGCAGTCGGGGCAGCTGTAGGTGCGGCCTGGCAGGTGGGTGCGGGCGTGGATGGCCAGCACCGAGCTCTGGCCAAAGCGCTTGCCGCACTCAGGGCACTTGAAGGGCTTCTCCCGGGCGTGGCTGCGGGCATGGGGGATAAGGGCCGACCGCTGGGAGAAGCTCTTGCCGCAGATGCCACAGCTGAAGGGCCTCTGACCGGTGTGCACCCTCTGATGGCTGCGCAGGGACGAGTTCTGGCTATAGCACTTGCCGCACTCGGTGCAGCTGTAGGGCCGCTCGTGGCTGTGGGTGCGCTGGTGTCGCAGGAGGTAGGAGCTGTCGCCGAAGGCCTTGCCACAATGTGGGCACTTGTAGGGCTTCTGGCCAGAGTGAGTGCGCTGGTGGCGAAGCAGGTAAGAGCTGTCGGCGAAGGCCTTGCCGCAACGGGGACATTTGTAGGGCCGCTCGCCAGTGTGGGTGCGCTGGTGTTTGATGAGGTCAGAGCTCTGGGAGAAGGCCTTGCTGCAGACCTCACATTTGTAGGGCTTCTCACCGGTGTGGATGCGCTGGTGCTGGATCAGGGTGGAGCCCCGCCCGAAGCTCTTCCCGCAGATGCCACAGATGTTAGGCCGAGGGCCCTGCCCACCCCTGGCCCGGCCACCCCGCCGACCTGGACCTCGAAGGGCTCCTGTGAGACCCAGGGGATTCTGAAGCATCTCAAACTGCGGTGTAGACAGCAGGGCCCCTGTGGGCATCTCAAAAGGTGGCCCTATGGGCAGGTCCCCTGTGGGCTGCTCCCCAAACCCCTGAGTGAAGGAGTCCAGGGGGTGAACTCCTACGGAGATATTCAAAGGACTCTTTTCCTCGGGGTTCAGAAGCATCTCCGCACCTTCCTGGAATTTGGAACTTTGAGCTTCAAATTCTGGGCTTTGGGTTTTGAGCTCAGTGTTCTGGGATTCATATCTAGAGCTCTCAGATTCATAGCCAGGGCTCCGGGGTTCATACCCGGGGCTCCGAGGTTCATAGCCAGGGCTTTGGGGTTCATACCTAGGGCTCTGGGATTCAAACTCAGGGCTCTGAGAATCTGATTCAGGGCTTCTGGGTGCAAACTCAGGGCTTGGGGGCACAAGCCCAGGGCTTCGGGACTCAAACCCCGGGCTTTCAGGCTCAAATCTGGGGCTTTGGGGTTCAAACTCTGGGCTTTGTGGCTCAAACCCAGGGCTCTGGGGTTCAAGCCCAAATGGTATCTCTTCGACTTCATAGTCCCCACTGCCTTCTTGCTGAGAAATTTCCTCTTCCTCATTCTCACTCATGTTGCCTGCAGGATGAGAGAATCCAGATCGTGTGAGACCTGGAAGGTCATTTGGTCCATTAGCAACCACACACCTCCCACCTCACATGCAGGGTCGCTGGCCCCTAGACAAGTGCTGAAATTCCCACGCCCCCCTCAGCTGACCCAAGACACCCCAGTCCCCGCCGGCCCCTCCTTCGAGTCCCAGGTGTCCCAGCCCCGGGCCCTCGCTCCCTCCCTGGAGCCACAGCCCCTTCTCCTGCGCGCAAGTCCACTCCTCGGACGGGCGCTCCCTCCTCACCTCTGAGGTACCCTTCGGGGCTCCTCATTTCGTCAGAACTCTGCACATCCTGGGGCTCGAGGCCCCACGGCAACGCCTCCCGCTCCATCCCCGCGGGCTCCCAGTGCAGCGGCGGCGGCGATGGCGGCCGATCCCGCGACCCGGCCTCGGTTGCCCCGAGCCGCGGGCCCCCGCCTCCCGCCCGCTCAGCGCCGCCCAGGGGACTCGGCGGCCCAGCCCGGGCCCCCGAGGCCGGACGTCTTGACCCCGCGCCTCTCCAGCGCGCCGGGCCCCTCCCCTGCCCGCGGCCCCGCCCCCTCCCAAGGTCTCGGCCTCCCCGTGGCCCTCACTGGCCCCCGCGCGTCGCGGCCTCGGGGATGAGGGGCTTCGCGACTACCCCGGCGGCCCCCGGCCCCCGCTCCCGCCCGAGCCCCCACCTTCTGGACCCCGGCCCCGGGCTGGGCTGCACTGTCCAACGGCCGCCCAGCACCCCCCCACCCTCCCCCGCACAGGAAGTGTCCGTCCGCGGCCAGGTCCCCCCGCCGGCTCGCGCCGCGGCCTCTCTAGGAGCCGCTGGAGGTGGAAACTCGTTGGCATTAACCCTGGGCTGGAGGGGCCCGGCCACGGGGTGGGTGAGGACCGGACGCCCCGGAGCCCGCGGGGCTACCGGGGCAGTGTGTGTGCCTATGTTCTAGGTCTCCGTCCCTCCAGAGGCCCGTCTGTCCATCTCCCGGGCCCCGCGTCGTCGGTGCGTGTGGCCAAGGGCGAGGCGACAAGCGAGACCAAGGTCAGCGAGAAGGAGCGACGCTTCCCGGCGCCAGCGGGGGCGGTGTCTCGCTCCCTCCCCTCCCGGGCCTCCGGGTCAGCTCCGGCAGCGCCTCGGGAACCGGGACGGACTCCCCTTGGCCTCGCCGAGGTCCTTGAGCCTGGGACCCCCTCCAGGAACTCCGCTCCCCGGCACCTGCGCGCGCCCGCTCCCGTTCCTCCGGCCCCCACCCAGCTCGGCTCCCCTGATCCTCCTCCTCCCTCCTCCCTCCTCGAGGGCTAGGATAGTTGCCAAGGAGACAGCCCCGCCCCGGCTCCCAGAGGCACAGCTTCTCCGCCCCAGGAAGCCCGGCGGTTGGCCGATGGGGCTCGTGCTCTAGCCGCCCCGCCTCCTCCAACCCCGCGGACGGCTGGGCGTTAATGGTCGCCAGGGAACGCCAGGCGCCTTCCTGATTGGCCGGGAGTGCTGTGGTCGGGTCCGCCTCCCCTGTCGGCCAGAAGCGCCTTCAGGAGGTAGTGGGAGGGAGGTGCCAGGCATCTCCCCTCCAGCCCGGCCTGTGCCATCAAAACTTTTCCCGCCCCCACTTAGCCTCCATTATGTTTTATGAAAGCCAGAAGATCTGAGGACAGACACCCTTCCTCCTCGTCAGCCTCACACCCCTTGCCTCTCCCCTCCACCTTCCCCAGCGCCTGAGTTTAACTCAATCCCTGGCAGCCTTAGTCCCTGTTGTTAGATTTCCTCACAGGGAGGCAGGATTCCTTCCAGGTGAGGGTGATACAAAGGAGAATTGGACTGAGAGAACCATCTGGCCTTCGAGGCATCTAACAACTCTCCAGTCTTGTCTGACTCGAATGGAGTCTTGCAGAGGAAGGGAACCTGAGAAACACTGCCTCGGGCGCAGCTTTGAATTGAGGAAGTGAGCCTGGACAGACAACTTAATATCATCCAGTTCTTGTCTTTTTTTTCTACGCTTCGTGCTGAAACAAGTTTGGCAGCGTTCTTGACAGTTAACGAGCCCGATGCCCCTGTGTGAGCAGGAGCCATGGATCGTGTTTTCTTGTCGCCTACCCAGACAAATGAAGGGAAGAGAATGTTTGGGAGGAAGGATGGCCTCTCCTTCCTGAAAAGAGGTGAGAACAAGAACTTGAAGAATGCCAAGTGGTAAAAAGTGGAGAGAAACTATCTAAATAAAGGCTTACAGGTGGGGCGCACTGGCTCATGTCTGTAATCCCAGCACTTTTGGGAGGCCAAGGCAGGTGGATCACGAGGTCAGGAGTTCAAGACCAGCCTGGCCAAGATGGTGAAACCCCGTCTCTACTAAAAAAATACAAAAATTAGCCAGGCACGGTGGTGGGCACCTGTAATCCCAGCTACTTGGGAGGCTGAGGCAGGAGAATCACTTGAACCCGGGAGGCGGAGGTTGCAGTAAGCCGAGATCTCGCCACTGCACTCTAGTCTGGGTGACAGAGCAAGACTCCGTCTCAAATAATAATAATAAAGGCTTACAAATAAAATCACAAGAGCTTATGCCACGAATGAAGCGGGGAAAACTTTCTGCCCTCCAGAGAAACAGCTTCCAGCCCCATAGCTCTCTCCCATCCCAATGTATGTTTGTCTTGAAACCTTTGCTAAGAATGGCTTACATGGTCCAGCACTAGAGCCCACAGTCAAACAGCCTACAAGAGGACCAGTTTTGGGAAGAGCTGGACATGGGGTACCCTCTGGTCATCCCCAAAGCACTCACACAGGTAGGAAACAAGTCTCCTTCACAAGACACTTTTCTCTGACATCCAACTTGCTGATCCACCAAAATTCACACAGGAGAGCAGCCACACCCTAAAAATGGGTGGCGAGACCTCCAGCCACAGCTCTGACACCGTACACTGCCTGCACTCTTATCATGAGCCACAAGTCCCAGGTGTAGCAGAAGCTGGGCCAAGACTTCATGCTGCCCAGGCACCCGCATTTCCAAGTGCAAATTCAGCCTCACTGGCACCTGGAGTAAGAGTGGCTCACTTCCAGCCAGCCTCCTCTAGGACCAGGGTGCCATCTATGCACAGGGACTTCACAAGGAAGCCAGCCTCCACCTGACACACAGCCACAGCAGTGAGAGGCTCCAAGCCCAGGAAAGCCTCTGATAAGGGCTGCATCTTGACCCAACACCAGCTAATCCAAGGCAGGAGAAACTTGGGGAGTCCACTGGCATTGTCCTGCCTCTGCATCCATGAGGATGAGCCCTGTGCATGTCCTGAGTCAGGTGGTCACTTTGTTCACAGCATTATCTCCTGGCATGCCCAGCACTAGGGCAGAGCCATTCAGTGTGCAGCCAAGGCTTATGGTCAGCCAACCTGGCCAACACTGCAGGCCAGAGAGCCTTCACAGACGTTCTCAGTGAGAGGAGCTTCCGTATGCACTGCTCCCTTCCCTCATGCAAAGGACAAGCCCTCTTAAAGCCCTTCCATCCGATGCTAGAGGAGATGCCCCAGTGTATTGAACATGATCCTAAGTACCCAGGAAGACAGCAGCCACGGCACAGGGCCCTTTGGAAAGAACAAAGAAATGGAGGTCTTTGTGTATGCCTGACATTGGGGACAGGCCCTGGGACCAACCACTACTCTTGCAAAACTAAGAGCAGTTTGAAAATAATGTTTTGTTCCCAGCCGTGGTTCTCTCAAACTTTCACAGCCATAAAATTCTATCCCTGGAGATTCTGATTCAATAGATGAGGAACTGGGCCCAGGGAGTAGCTAGTTTTTTTTTTTTTTTTTTTTGAGACAGAGTCTCGCTCTGTCACCCAGGCTGGAGTGCAGTGGTGCTATCTCTGCTCAGTGCAACCTCTGCCTCCTGAGTTCAAGCGATTCTCCTGCCTCACCCTCCTGAGTAGCTGGGACTATAGGCACGTGCCACCATGTCAGGCTAATTTTTTTAAAATGTATCCTTAGTAGAGACGGGGTTTCACCATGTTAGCCAGGATGGTCTCGGTCTCCTGACCTTGCGATCCGCCCGCCTCAGCCTCCCAAAATGCTGGGATTACAGGTGTGAGCCACCACGCCCGGCCGAGAATAGCTACATTTTTAAAAGATACTTAGCCTGGCCCTACCTCTAGGTGGAAATATCTGTGCCACCAACTGAGGAGCTGAGAATGGGGTGGGGCTAAGGCTTAAGGGTTTCACGACACTAAAAAAAATTGACGAAATGCTGGAAGGTTGGGTCATGAGGGCAGGAAGCAGAGGAGTTGGAGCCTGGTTTCTGGGCCATAAGTAAACTTTACAAACTTCAAAGCTCTCAGAGACCTCTAGGTAATAATCACGGCATCTTTAATTGGCAAACTCAGGGCCAAGATCTATCTGGCTGTCAGTCTGGGCTGAGAACTGGTGTTGCAAGCTGGGCTTTCCCCAGGCTGTGTTGAGGGTTAGGGGAGGGGACTGAGATGTACACTGGAAATTAAAACCTGGTACAAAGGTATCTCCTACTGCCAAGGTTCCTCTTCTCACCCCATGTGCCCCTGTGATAAAGTGACACACGAGTCAACCCGCCCCAGAAAAGCTGAGGGAGAGAGAGACCACGGTGGGATTGGATTGGAGATGAGGTTCGAATAAAGTCAGTTCATTACTTGACACCCGAACAGTGTCTTTTCTCCAAAACTTCTACCTCCTTTCAGGCTGATAAATCTGGTTCCTTCCTCCCTGGGTAGGCCAGACACAGGGCTGAGCTGGGTGACAGGTGAGGGCGCACAGGCCAGCAGAGGTCACAGGCCCTTGCTCTCCTTGGGCAGGTGTTGTCCTGACCAGAGGCAGGGCAGGGGCTGCCCGTGGCTGGACTCTGCCCACAAAGGAATTAGTGGTAGCTGGATAATGGAGTCGTGAAGTGCTGGAGGGATTCCGTGTAGAACTTGGGGATACAGATGGGTACGGTTGCCACTGGCTACAAATCTAACACCAGGTGTTCCTGGCCTAGCCCCCTCTGCCCATGATGGCACATACTTAAAGACAGCAAAGATGGTGCGTACCTAAAGACAGGAAAGATGCAAGGACTGTTTTGACACAGACATGGGTTCAAGAAATACTTCCCTTTCTTCTTTGCTGTACTTTAAGATAAACACCAAAAACACTAAAAGCAAGCCATGATGAATGGCTACTCATGCTTGGTCAGGAGCTGATGGGATGAGTGGCCGGACCACAGTAAGTTGGGAGTTCTGGCTCCGGCCCAACTCCCAACAACTGCGACTTTCTGAGAGCCTAGGTGAACTTGCGAAATCTTTGGATTTTTCAAGAGATGCCAGAAACCTGGATTTTGGTGCAAAATATCCCTTTAGATCTTCATCACTAATTCTTATCACTTAAAAACACTGCCTGGGCCCAAATCAATACAGCAACTGCAGGCGAGATCCAATACAGGGTCACTGGTTTTTTAGGTTGTGCAGCAAAAAGACAATGAAGGCCAGTGCAGTGGCTCCCCTGTAATCCCAGCACTTTGGGAGGCCAAGGTGGGCGAATTGCTTGAACCGAGGAGTTTGAGACCAGCCTGATCAACATAGTGGGAACCCCATCTCTGCAAAAAAATTTAAAAATTAGCCAGGCATAGTGTTGCCCACCTGTAGTCACAGCCATCTGAGAGGCTGGGGCAGGAGGATTCCTTGAGCCCAGCAGGTCTAGGCTGCAGTGAGCCCAGTTCACACCACTGCATTCCAGCCTGGGTGAGGAGCAAGATGCTGTCTTAATAAGTAAATAAATAAACAAAAAAAACAGACAATGGGTATTGTCTTGTGGGAAGGTCAAAGAATAAAAAAGAAAAGGCCAGGTGAGGTGGCTCACGCCTGTAATCCCAGCACTTTGGGAGGCAGAGGTGGGTGGATCACCTGAGGGCAGGAGTTCGAGACCAGCCTAGCCAACATGGTGAAACCCCATCTCTACTAAAAATACAAAAAGTTAGCCGGGCATAGTGGCAGGTGCCTGTAATTCCAGCTACTTGGGTGGCTGAGGCAGGAGAATCGCTTGACTCCAGGAGGTGGAAGTTGCAGTGAGTCGAGATCGCACCATTGCACTCCAGCCTGGGCAACAAGAGCAAAACTCCGTCTCAAAAAATTAAAAAAGTAAAAAGAAAAAGACAACAGAGAAAACAAGGTTCTTCTCTACCTCAATCCTCTTAGCATCTCTGGGAGGAGAAACAGCTTTTGCTTCCCTGTATGGAGGTCTGGGGGGTTCTCACCTCAGCCCTGCCTCAGCAAAGGGGGCCTTGGAGAGCCCAGGGCAGCGGGGAGCAAGGTGCTGGCAGAAGAGGCTGCTGAGAGCCCAAGATCAGACTGTCCGCACCCCAGGCCAGCTCTTGCGGTGGATTCTGGGACCTCCCTGCAGGCCGCTGCAGAGGTTCGGGCCCCTGAGCCCATCTCGGGCCGCCCACAATGTCTAGATGGTCACTTTTTAGGCCGTCACCCACATTCCTGGAATATCTCTGGATACAGCTGGAAGCCCACAGGCGGGTCCAGGTCCCCGCGGACAGGAGTCAGGGTCACAGACAGCCCCCCAGGGCGCCGGCCCCTACGCCCCTCGCCCCCGGGCCGATGGACCCATTGGTGCTTGGCCATGCCGGTCTTCAGGCCGAAGCAGCGGCCACACTGCGGGCAGCGGTAGGGCTTCTCGCCAGTGTGAACGCGCAGGTGAGAAGTCAGCGCCGTGCGGCGCATGAAGGCCCGACCACACTCGGGACAGCGGTGGGGCCGCTCCCCACGATGGATGGCCCGGTGTTTGCTCAGGGAGGAAGCGTGGCCGAAGCCCTTGCCGCAGTCTGCGCAGTGGAAGGGCTTCTCGCCCCTGTGGCTGTAAATGTGCTCCACCAGTGTGGAGCGCCAGGCGAAGCTCTTCCCGCACACGTAGCAGCCGTGACGCTGGTCAGCTCGGGGGACAGGGGGGTGGGCAAAAAAGCGGGGGCGACTCCGGCGCCGGGCCTTGGACAGCTGCTCCAACCCGGCAAAGGGGGCTTGGGGAGCCTTCAGCCCAGGAGACCCGGCGGCCACAGGGTCGGGCTTCTCCAGGGCTCCCGTCCCTTCCCTTTGTCTTTCCTCTTCCTTGTTTCTGGAATCTGCTGAAAGATAAGGAGGCGAGAGTTCAGGCTTGGCTCATCCTGGTCATTGAATCCCACAGCCCGCGTGGACAGGGACAGGCCTGCTGGACCCCCGACTGCTCCTAGGAGATGGAGGAGTGACACCTGTTCCTCGGCTGCAGAGCCAGACAGAGCCTGGAGGGAGGGAACAGTCCATTCCGCCTCCGGGCTGGGGAAATGTCACCGCGGGGGAAGGGCAGAGATGACGTGAACATCTGGGCCTGATCTGGAATAAGAAGCGGACACCTGGGGATATTCCAGGCAGAAGGAACAGCACCAAGAAAGGCAGAACCAGGAGGGCATGGCCAAGTTCAGTGGGGCTGGATACTCTGCAAAAGCTGAGGCAAGAACTAAAGGAAGGAAATGGGAGGGCGGGATGTGGGGGCATAGGAACCATAGTGCAGGAAAACGACTGGAGCGGGTCATGATGTGGAGGTAGAGTCAACAGAACCTAGAGGCCGGGTGCAGTGGCTCATGCCTGTAATCCCAGTGCTTTGGGAGGCCGAGATAGAGGATCGCTAGAGTTCGAGACCAGCTCGGGCAACACACCAAGACCTCTACCTCTTTAAAATTTTTTTAATTAAAAAAAAAAAAAAAAAACCAGCCAGGCGTGGTGGCGAGTGCCTTTACAGTGTTAGGTACTCTGGAGGCCCACGCGGGAGGATTGGTTGAGCCGATTGCTTGAGCCCGGGAGTTCAAGACTGCAGTGAGCTATGATGGCGCCACTGCACCTCAGCCTGGGCAACAGAGACCCTGTCTCTAAAACAAAACAAAACAAAAAAGTCCCCGGAGTGTAGTGACCACGCAGAGGTGAGGACTCAGGGGCGGGTATGGCAGGGCCAGAGCCCCCATCACAGCCCCTTTCTAGGCTGCATCCCGGAGCCAGGCAGGGGCTCAGCCTCCTGGCCGCAGTTGAGGAGGCAGTTCAGAGAGGAAACTGCTAAGCAGGTAGCTGGAGGTGGCAGAGGGTACCGGGATGGGACAGGAACAGAGAAGTCCCCATGGGACTGAGCACCCGATACTCCACCTGGGTCCGCTTCTGTCGGACACTTCGCCACCTCCGGATCCTGGGCAGCCGGATCCCACAGTTCGGCCTTCTCCTCCACCCAGGAGATGAGCGCCGGCTTGCTGCCTCCGACTCCTGGGGGAGAAGAACGCAAACCCCACGCTGCGAGGAGGCCGCCTGCCCGGCCCCGGGGCCCCCAACTCCACACGCAGCTCCCAGAGGCGCGGCAGGGCCTGTGGAGGCGCAGGGCCCAGGCAAGCAGGTGGGGCTCTCACCGAGCGCGCCCAGGTGGCCGTAGGTCTCCCGCATCACGTCCCGGTACAGGGCCCTCTGCGCGGGCCGCAGGCAGCCCCACTCCTCCCGGGAGAAGTACACGGCCACGTCGGCGAAGCTCACGGCCCCGGGCTTTCTCCACTCGGATCCCGCCCCGTTTGGGTCCCGGGGAGGGAGCGGGGCCAGAGGCGGCGCCATGGGGACTGTCAGCCCCAGCGACGGATCGGTCATCTCCCCTGGCCAGGCCTGGGCATGCGGAACCTCCCGCGCCCGAGAACACTTCCCCGGCCCGGTACCAAGGGAAGGAGGGACGTCAGTAGAGCCCCCGAAGGCCCACTAGAGGGGATGGAAACTAAGGGCCGATGGCTGCGAGTCCATGGTCAGAACTGGACGATGTCTTCAAATAAAACGGCGGCAGCGCGACCTCTCGACCTTTGCCCCTGCGCAATTGTACCCACGACGACGCCCCCCTCCCCGCGCCCCCGCTCCAGGCCCAGTTCTCTCCTTGCCCTAATCCAAAATGGCCGTTGCGGCTACAGGCGCCGGCCTTGAAAACCAGCCGCGCATGCTCCGGCCCCGCCAGGTGAGGCGGCGCAGCTCAGAGCTTCCGCCCGGGTTTGCGGGAACAAAGCAGCGCCCTGCGG
The DNA here is from genome assembly GCF_000001405.40 of Homo sapiens. Lineage (NCBI taxonomy): Eukaryota > Metazoa > Chordata > Mammalia > Primates > Hominidae > Homo > Homo sapiens. The sequence continues at coordinate 30,535,093 of NC_000016.10, forward strand.
AAGGCAGCCCTCGTGAACTCAGAAGTTAGTTTTCGTCTCTGGACCTTTTTATAATCGGACTTCAGCCCATCACTGTCTCGTTTTGTCCTCAGAAACGGCGACAGCAGCCTCTTCCCAATGTTGAGAGCAAAAAGTGTGAACCCAGAAATTCCGAGACAGATCTCAATTACTTGCCAAGGTTGAGGACGCGCGCGTGACAGCCTCAGGAAGTCCTCACGACATGTGCCCAAGGTGGTCTGGGCATAGCTTAGTTTTATACATTTTATGGAGACATGAGACATCAATAAATGTATGTAAGAAGTACATTGGTTCTGTTTGGAAAGGCGGGGCAACTTGAAGCAAAGGCAGGAAGACGTGAAGCAGGAAGGGGGCTTCCAAGAAACAGAAGGTGAGGCACAAACGGTTGCATTCTTTTGAGATTCTGATTAGCGTTTCCAAAGGAGGCAATCAGATATGCATCTGTGTCAGCCAGCAAAGGGGTGACTTTGAATAGACTGGGAGGCAGGTTGGCCCTAAGCAATTCCCAGCTTGACTTTTTCCTTTAGCGTAGTGATTTGGGGGGGTCCCAAGATTTATTTTCCTTTCACAAAAGCCATGGAGTGGATACAGGAGAACCTCCTCTATTGTAGGCTTTTTGGAGCTTGAAATTCTGGGAGCTTCTAGATGGCGGAAGCAGCGGGGAGAATAGGGTAAGGCTGAGAAAGTCAGAGGGCCCTCTCTTCTAGGAGCTTCTCCCATGTGCTGTGCAGGACGCCTCCCGACCGCCTGTCTCCCTCTAGCTGCAGCCAGGCTCTTGGCTTCCCTGACGTCCTGCCCCTGCGCGGATGGCCCAAGGCTCCTAGGCTCAAACCCAGCTCATCCCTTTCTTACCCCAACCTGCTTCCCCTGGGGTCTTTATCTCAGTAAAAGTCGCCAGCTCTCCCCTGAGACCTCCTTCTCACACTTCCTGATGGCCTACTCTGTGCTCCACGTGACTTCATACATGTCCTGTGTACTGGAGTCAGAGTCACCTCCAACGCGCCTTTTAGCTCTTAGTGGGTTCTTTAGTTGAATCTAGGCCCAGATTGAGAATCGCCTGTAATCCTGGCGCCTGGGAGGTCGGGGCAAGAGGATTCCTTGAGTCCAAGAGAATGAGATCAGCCTGCTCAACTTAGGAGACCCTATCTCAAAAATAAATAAGAAAAAATGAATCGACAGCAGACAGACTAACAGGAGGAAAGAATACAAATTGTACCTGTTTTACATGTACTCAGGCATCTTCACAAGAGAGAGCAGTCAGAAAAAGTGGCTGAAGCCAGGTGCTTTTATATTTCTTTTCTTTTTTTTTTTTTTGCAGAGACAAGTGAACATTTATTTTTATGTCTTTCTTCCTATGTGTATTTCAAGTCTTTTTCAAAACAAGGCCCCAGGACTCTCCAGATTCAATTATGTCCTTGGGCTTGGTCGACTGCTGCAGGAGTCTTAAGGAGCCTTGTGCAAATGCTAGAGTGACTCATTTACCAACATTAAACCCTAGGATAGATGCAACAGAGAAGTACTACTTCCTCCATGGAATGTGCTGATTTCAGGCGACGTGGCACCCAATGTAGAAAACGCTGGAATTTTTCCTTGGAACTGGACTGTGATGAGAGGTGCTTGCCATGAACATAAGCTACTGTCTTTTTTTTCTTTTTTTGAGACGGACTTTCACTTTTTTTGCCCAGGCTGGAGTGTAATGGCGCGATCTTGGCTCACCGCAACCTCCGCCTCCCAGGTTTGAGTGATTCTCCTACCTTAGCCTCCTGAGTAGCTGGGATTACAGGCGTGCGCCACCATTCCCAGCTAATTTTTGTATTTTTAGTAGACACAGTGTTTCTCCATGTTGGTCAGGCTGGTCTCAAACTCCTGACCTCAGGTGATACGCCCGCCTCAGCCTCCCAAAGTGTTGGGATTACTGGCGTGAGGCATCGTGCCCAGCAAGCTACTGTCTTTTCTTTGACCCTTTCCAGTTTTTGAAGATAAAGCAGGAAATAATCTTCTCTGAAAGTACTTGATAAAAATTCCCAAAACAACAAAAACACATGCTTCCACTTCATTGATAAAAATTTACTGCGGTTTGGCACCTGGGTCTAGTTCAGCTGGCAGATGAGCTGATTGATGCGTTAACCCCCACAGCCAGGTGTGCCCATCTCCTTGAGGAAGCCCACTCTATTTTTGGTAGCATGACGGGCCACTGAAAGGTGGAAAGGGCGCAAGAACCATGAGATCTCCTGGAAATGCTTCCCTGGGAAGGCAATTTCATGAATGAGGTCTTCCAAGCAAATGACGCCAAACTTCCCCAGGTCCTCCTCAATCACTGTGTTGTCTGTCAGAGGGATGGTCTTATTCTTTTTTTTTTTTTTTTTTTGAGACAGAGTTTCGCTCTGTCGCCCAGGCTAGAGCGCAGTGGTGCAATCTCGGCGCACTGCAAGCTCCACCTCCCAGGTTCACGCCATTCTCCTGCCTCAGCCGCCCAAGTAGCTGGGACTACAGGCGCCCACCACCGCGCCGGACTAATTTTTTGTATTTTTAGTAGAGACGGGGTTTCACTGTGTTAGCCAGGATGGTCTCGATCTCCTGACCTCATGATCCACCCATCTTTGGCCTCCCAAAGTGCTGGGATTACAGGCGTGAGCCACTGCGTCTGGCCGATGGTCTTATTCTTGACCTTGGCTTGTCCATGTTTCAAAATGAATTCCCAGACAGACTTCAGATTTGGAAATCCTCAGGTCACATAAGGTTCCACTATACGCAGCATTTTTAAAAAGACACCACTAAAAATTTTCTTCAGGCAAAGTCTTGCAATGGTTCTCTGCACCAGTAAACTCCCGCCATCAATCCTTTTGATGCGTACAACAAAGGCCAAGGAACATTTATCCGGCAATTCCAAGGCGTGAGGTTGCACTTCTAGTTGTCTTGAGATGCACCTTGTCACGTTTCTCCTGCCAGGAATCATGTAGGAATGATTCCAGTCACTTAAACCTGAGCCCTTTTCCTTTCCTCTGCTCCTTTGCCAAAAATGCCTGCTTTGCCTGGGTGGCTTTGAGGGCTTGATAAGCCTTCCTATTTTTCAGGAGATTTTCTGGAACCAAAGGAATTTTTCTGTGCTCTTGCTCTGCCATCTTTCTAGTGGTGCAGCTACTGATCATTATATTTCTTTCTTTTTTTATTTTGAGACGGAGTCTCACTTTGTCACCCAGGCTGGAGTGCAGTGGCGCGATCTCAGCTCACTGCAAGCTCTGTCTCCCGGGTTCACGCCATTCTCCTGCCTCAGCCTCCCGAGTAGCTGGGACTACAGACGCCCACCACCACGCCTGGCTAATTTTTCTGTATTTCTAGTAGAGACGGGGTTTCACCGTGTTAGCCAGGATGGTCTCAATCTCCTGACCTCGTGATCCGCTCATCTCTGCTTCCCAAAGTGCTGGGATTACAAGTGTGAGCCACCACGCCCGGCCTGTATTTCTTAAATAACCATAATTTTTTTTTTTTTTTTGAGATGGAGTTTTGCTCTTATTGCCCAGGCTGGCGTGCAATGGCGCAATCTCTGCTCACTGCAACCTCTGCCTCCCGGGTTCAAGCGATTCTTCTGCCTCAGCACCCCGGGTAGTTGGGACTACAGGCATGCACCACCACACCCGGCTAATTTTGGATTTTTAGTAGAGATAGGGTTTCACCATGTTGGTCAGGCTGGTCTTGAACTCCTGACCTCAGGTGATCCACCCACCTTGGCCTCCCAAAGTGCTGGGATTACAGGCGTGAGCCACTGCACCTGGCCAAGAACAATAAATTTTAAAAGAAATGACAGGACGAAGAAAATCTGGCTAGGGCAGTAAAATTTTCAAGGGGAGATCTGTGTGGGTTGGGGGGGCATCAAACAGGTGGAAGATATGGATTACTTTGTTAAGTGTGTTTATTCTGGTCCCTTGGGGCCTCTAAGGGCTATTTTCTCACCCTGGGGAGAGGAGGCAAAAAGTTTGGGAGGGGCATAAGGATTCATTGTTGCCCAGGGGGTGTGTTCCCAGCCCTAGGTCTCCCAGGCTCTCAGACCTCGGAAGGACACAAGAGAAAACTGAAAACTTCCCTTAAAAGCAATGACATTTTGTCTCTTGCAGTGCCCACCCCTCAGTGTGGTGCCCATTACCCACAGTCTGGAAGAGCTCTGGGAGATCCTAGAAGCTCCCTTGGGGGTCTGGACCCTCCTGGGAAAGAACCAGGGGCAGAGTTCACAATCCTGGAGGTCAGCCTCTGAGGTCCATGTCACCAGGCCAGTCGATCCACTGAAGGGCCCCTGGCTCAAGCATTGCCAGCAGTGGGGACAGGTGAAGGAACACAGGCCCGCTGGGCAACAGGAAGCAGGGGTGGGCCTCGTTGTGGGAGAAGTGGGTGCTATACCAGCTGCGGGCAAAGGGTCACTCCCCGGAGTACCTGAGGCCTGGCTGAAGGTACTGGCGAAGTGTGGCTGCACTGGGGACAGGAATGAGGTGCTGAGTGAGTGCCAGATGTTGAGGCCGGGCAGAGACTGCAGATTTGGGGAAGGTCTGGCTACAGGGAGCCTTGGCCAAAGGCTCAGAGACCAGGTCAGTGTTTCTGACACCAAGGGCTTATGACAGCTCCCAAATAGACTCCTGCTGGTCCCTTCCAAATGTGTCATTTTTCTGAGTGGCCATTGGGAAACTGCTGATTCATAACTTACCTCTGGCCCTGTCAACTCCTCAAGGCCTACTCATATTCAGGTGACAGAATCAACCTTCACAACAGCAGCATTCAGATGGGTACCCCTGGGAGCCACCCTCATCCCCCACCCCCAGACAGTGCTGGCCAACTGAGGAGCTCACCAGGCAGTGACATTCCCACACACCTCAAGGCCAACCAGAGGAGCCACCATCAACTACACAGGCAGCTGTTCCAGGGCCTGGGGGCCTGGAGACAGAAAGGTGAACTTTCTTCATCCTAAATTTGAATTCACACACTGCCACTGAATGGGCCGATTCATAGCACAGCCTGACTGTAGTCCCATGGGATGTCACCAGTCAAATTAAGTGCTGGGCGCGGTGCCTCACGCCTGTAATCCCAGCACTTTGGGAGGCCAAGGAGGGCAGATCACCTGAGATCAGGAGTTCAAGAGCAGCCTGACCAACATGGTGAAACCCCATCTCTACAAAAAATACAAAAATTAGCTGGGTGTGGTGGCACATGCCTGCAATCCCAGCTACTCCAGAGGCTGAGGAAGGAGAATGGTGCGAACCCGGAAGGCGGAGGTTGCAGTGAGCCGAGATCACACCACTGCACCCGAGCCTTGGTGACAGAGTGAGACTCTATCTTTAAAAAAAAAAAAAGGCCGGGCACAGTGGCTCACACCTGTAATCTCAGCACTTTGGGAGGCTGAGGCGGGCCGATCAACTGAGGTCGGGAGTTTGAGACCAGCCTGACCAACATGGAGAAACCCCATCTCTACTAAAAATACAAAATTAGCCAGTCGTGGTGGCGCATGCCTGTAATCCCAGCTACTCAGGAGGCTGAGGCAGGAGAATCACTTGAACCCGGGAGGCAGAGGTTGCGGTGAGCCAAGATCGCACCATTGCACTCTAGCCTCGGCAACAAGAGCAAAACGCCATCTCAAAAAAAAAAAAAAGAAAGAAAGAAAGAAAAGAAGCCCAGTCTCGGTCAGGTGTGGTGCCTCACACCTGTAACCCCAGCACTTTGTGAGCCTGACGGGGGCAGATCACTTGAGGTCAGGAGTTCATTACCAGCCTGGCCAACATGGTGAAACCCCGTCTCTACTAAAAAACAATTAAAAATTAGCCGGGTGTGGTGGCAGGTGCCTGTAATCCCAGCTACTCAGGAGGCTGAGGCAGGAGACTCACTTGAACCTGGGAGGTGGAGGCTGCAGTGAGCAGAGATCACACCACTGCCCTCTAGCCTGGGCAACAGAGCAAGACTCCGTCTCAAAAAAAAAATTGTAGCAGGACGAGCCGCAGACAAGAACCCCTCAGACACCAAGTTGTGAAAGGCAAGGGCTTTATTCAGCTGGGAGCATCGGCGGATTCATGTCTCCAAAAACCGAGCTCCCCGAGTGAGCAATTCCTGTCCTTTTTAAGGGCTCACATCTCTGAGGGGGTAATGATTGATTGAACAAACAGTGGGTACGTGACTGGGGGCTGCATGCACAGGTAATCAGAACGGAACAGAACAGGACTGGGATTTTCACAATGCTTTTCTATACAATGTCTGGCAATCTATAGATAACACAAGCAGTTAGGTCAGGGGTTGATTTTTAACCAGGGTGCAGTGCTGGGCTATCTGCCTGTGGATTCCATTTCTGCCTTTTAGTTTTTACTTCTTCTTTCTTTGGAGGCAGAAATTGGGCATAAGACAATATGAGGGGTGGTCTCCTCCCTTAAAGTGAGAAAGAGAAGGTCAAGATGCCAGGCTCCAGGGAATGTCATAAATTCAGGTCAGCAAAAATGAGTCACACCAGGAGTAAGGAACATATAAATAGCATTCCTTCCTCAACAAAATATCCTCTTCCAGCTGGGACGGAGACGTCATCCCCTCTTCTCCCCTTTCTGCCTTTCTCTTAGGCTTCCTCCTTCCTGGGGATCCTGGGCATTTTGACTCACAGCTGGGCCTCCTCCTACTCCCAGGAGATGAGGGTGTAAGGTCAGCTGAGAGAAAGGAAAAATAGACCTAAAGTTAGGCAGGCAACTTTTTATTAATCTGCCAGCTGCTCCCCTAATAGAGAGGAAGCAGCCCCAAGCTTACAGAATGAGGGGTTTATATTGGGGAGGGGAGTTTGAGGGAGTTCTTTGGTATGGCCGCATCTCGGGGTTGTTTGCTGGTTAATTTTTCTACATATTACCTTGTGACGTTTATTACAGGAGGGTGTAGGTAAAGTTTGTTTATGTTTCCCACAACCTCCCCCTGTGCGGTGTGGATGATTTGTACCTGGGGTTTGCTTATTGCAGCAAGGTCTGATAAGTGAAGTCTGCTGGCTTCACCGCGGCACCTAGATAAGGGCTTAGAAATGTAAAGAGGCTTGGGGGAAGGGTGGGCAGCACCAAGAAGCTTTCTTGGGCAGTTTGTCCCTAACATTCCAGCCCTTTAATAGGTAATAGAAGAGGGGTGCCATTGTCTGGCTGCTTCTTGCTGGGAAGGGGCGACGGTTGTGGGGGAAGGCTGGACAGTAGGGACTACAGTTTTTGGAGCCATTGGTATTCCTGGAGCAGCATTATATCTTGTATTGTCGCATAGGTGAAGGCTCTGATACGGTCCTGTAAAAACTGGGTGAGATGGTGTAGGAGACAAGGGCCGAATGCTAGGAAAAGAAAAATGGTTATGGCCGGGCCTAGAAGGGGCATTAGCTATGGAAACTAGGTATTAAAAGACCAGGAGGGCCACGCTGGCCATCAAGGGATGTTTTCTTTAATTTTTTGTGCTCGGTCCTTTAGTCTTTTTACAGCATGTTGTACTAAGCCAGACTGGTTAAGATAAAAGCAACACTTTTCATCTAGAAAAAGGCAGAGTCCTCCTTTTTCGGCTGTGAGTAGGTCTAAGTCTCTGTGGTTTTGAAGAACCATTGCTGCTAAATAATTTATTTGTGATTGGAGAGTTGTAATGGATTTGGCTATTTTTTCCAAGCTATTTGTGAGGTCTTTGGAGAGGGATTGGTAATAGGAAACGGAGGTGGTTAATCCCGCAATCCCAGTTCCAACTCCTGTAGTTATTCCGAGGTCTACTAATAGAGGTATGAGTTGTATAGCACGGCGGTGTCAGATAGGGGTATTAACGGGGATTGGTAGGGGTTGGTCTCCTGGGGCAACGTTGATTTTTGGACTGAGGAAAACCAGGGTGTGCAGGCGCCCATCCAGTTAGAGGGGAGGCAAATATAAGTTGAGGTACTGCATAGGAAAAGTATGCCTTGGTTTGTTAGAGAGAACTGGTGTGTATGCTAAAAAGATATACATTTTGTTATTTTCATGCATTTATACTTCTGGGGTCCCGGCTAGGGCTGCTGCTGTAAGTGGTTGTAAAGGGGTGTTTGGTTTAGGCTGGGAGGCTTTTGGGTTCTTTTTTTTGCCAGTGTAAGAGGAAGCGTTTTGTTTCCACTAAGATGCATGTGGGAGTGTTGTTGAATGTTGGGAGAAGGAGACAGTCCCGGGTGGTGGGTGTAGGGTAAGGATGGTGCATGGAGAGGGGAGTCAAGGGAAGAGGGATAAACAGGGGAGGTGTTGGCCATTACAGTACCCTTAATTTTTGTTAAGGAGGTGGAGGCTAGAGAAATAAAGCCTGTCTTTTTTGTTGGCGGCTTTGAGAGTAGTATGTTCGGTGGGAGGTTTGAGTTGTAGGGTAAAGTTGCAGTTTGGAATTCAGGTGGCTGAGGGGAATGCCAGAGGGTAGATGTCATTGGATGCACAGCAGTGCTGGATAGGATAAGATTTTGTGGGTTGTTATGGCTCCTAATACGGGTTTATCACAGCTGTGGTAGGGGGATAGGTTGCGTAAATAGGGATGTAAGGTTGTAACAGCTGGACCCAACTCATTAGCTAACTGAGGGGAGATTTCTGTTAATGCCTGCATGTCGAGTTCGAGGGGGCTGTTAATGAGGATTTCGGGATGGTAGGTTACTTGGGTGGAAGTCCAGTTACAGGCTGAGGCAGGGATTGCATTGTATATTGTGGAGAGGAGGGATAGAGGAGGTTCCTGGAGGTAGGGGTTTAGCTTCAATTACTCGGCCAAGGAAAACAACTGCATACCCAGCAATTTTGGGGGAGCCAGTGGGTACGGAAGAGGAGCTATCTATAAATAGCTGGTCATTGGGGTTGGTGAGAGGCTGGGAGGAAATGTTTAGAAAGTGTGGCTGCAGGTGATCTAGGATGTTAGTATAAGAATGAGTAGAAGGGGAAGAAGATACAGGGAGTAAGGATGCTGGGTTGAGGGGAGCACTTTTGAAAAGACTGAATTTGGGATTTTCGATAAAGAAGGCATGGAGTAAGCCGGGCGCGGTGGTTGACGCCTGTAATCCTAGCACTTTGGGAGGCTGAGGCGGGTGGATCACCTGAGGTCAAGAGTTCGGGACCAGCCTGGCCAACATGGTGAAACCCCCTCTCTACTAAAAATACAAAAATTAGCCAGGCGTGGTGGCACACGCCTGTAATCCCAGCTATGCAAGACACTGAGGCAAGAGCGAAACTCCATCTCAAAAAAAAAAAAAAAAAAGGCATGGAGTGATTGAATCCATGAAGGAGAAAGGGAGCCTAATGCTCAGGAGGAGAGGAGATCTTGTAGATTATGAGGACTGCAGACGGTGGTATTCTGGCTGAAAGTTAGTTTCCTGCTTTTTAGAGCTAAAATGGCCACCACTGCTAGTGCTTTAAGGCAGGTTGGCCACCCTTTGACTGTGTCATCTAGTTGTTTAGAGAGGTAAGTTACAGGGGCAAAAGAAGGAGGATTTTTTTCCTGTTGTCCTAAGACATCGAGGGTTATTCCTCAGTTTTTGGAAGTATGGAGAGTGAAAGGTTGGGAGATAATAGGTAAGGACAGAGTTGGTGCAGTGACGAGCGGTTTTGAGTTTGTAGAAGCTGGGGAGTATGTTATGTGAGGGTTTTAGGGGTTCATCGAGAGGGTGTTTGGCCGCTTTATAGAGGGGGCAAGCTAGGAGGGTAAAGTTGAGAATCCATATTCTAAAGAAGCCTGCTAACCCTGGGAAGGAAAGGATTTCTCGTTTGGAAGAGCGCGGGGGGTAGATTATTAATGCTGCTCAGGCTGGGGTCACAGTCCAGGCCCCAGGGGAAGTTGAATTTCTAAGTAGGTTACCATGGAGGTGGAGAATAGTGTGGAGTTTTGAAAAGGGTATCTCTGCCCAGGAGCGGAGTTGGACATGAGGGCAGGACTAAGGAAGAGTGAGTGAAGGAAAAACTGTGCAGGGAGCAGAAGAGTGGAGGGGTGGCTCGGGGTTTGGTGACTTGTCCATCAATTCCTACAACAGAGACCTGGGAGGACTGGGTGGGTCCTGAAAAATTAGGTAAAGCAGAGTAGTTTGTCCCGGTATTAATTTAAAAAATATATATACTGGCCCATTTGCCACCATTAGGGTTATTTTGGCTTGAATGAAGAGATGGTAGTTGCTGGGGGCGTTCATTCCAGGGCACCGTCAAGTCTTCAGTGGCAAGGCCGATGAAATCCGAGTAGGAGGTTTTGGCTGGCTCAGGAGGGGATGGGGGCAGTCCTTGCTGGGGCCACTCACAGTCTGACTTCCAGTGGGGTCCTCCACAGAGGGGGCATGGCCTGGTGGGCTTTCCTGGGTTTGGGCATTGTCTGGACCAGTGGCCTTTATTGCCACACTTGGAACAGGTGCCAGGTGGAAGTGAATTGTTAGGAGGCTTCCATGTGGAGCTGCGGTCCCGTGGGCCTGCAGGGCCTCTAATGGCAAAGGCAAGCATTTGAAACTTTGCCTGTTTTTGCCTTTTATTTTCCTCATTATGATTGTTAAAGATTTTGAAGGCTAAATTAAGAAGGTCTCATTGTGGGGTTTGAGGGCCATTGTCAAGCTTCTGAAACTTGCATCAAATATTGGGAGTGGATTGGGAGATGAACTGAAGGTTTAAAATATTGGGAGACAAACTGAAGGTTTAAAATAGTGTTTCTTTTTGGGCTGGCTGGGTCTGGGTTGGTATATTTTCTCATGGCTTCAGTTAAATCAGAGAGAAAAAGGGCTGGGTTTTCGTTAGGAACCTTGGGTGATTTCTGAAAGTTTTTTATAGTTTACCGCTTTATAGGCAAACTTTTGGAGTCCTGTAAAGAGACATACAATCATGTGGTCTCAATGGTGGCGTCCAGAGGCCCCGTCTTGATAATCCTAGGGTGGTCCTGGTTGGGGACTGCCTTTGCACCAGTAGGCTGGGCAGGAGCCTGGTGATGAATGGTATCAGCATGTGCCTGATCTAGGGTCCAGTTATGGTCTCGGTCTTCTGGGGTGAGGGTAGAAGAGAGGATGATGTAGGGGTTATGCTAGGTTAGTTCATAAGACTGGGTAAGGTACTGAAACTTCCTAATATAAGAGGTAGGGTCTTCTGGAAATGAACCAAGTCTTTTGTTAATTACAGAGAGATCAGTGAGGGAGAAGGGAACATAAACTCTAACAATACTTTCAGCTCCTGCTGCTTCCTGAAGGGGAAGTAAGGGAGCTGGTTGCTGAACATGTTGGGCCCAAGAGCGGGTGAGGGGTGGAGACGGAGAGGAACCAGAGTCAGAAGCGGGGTGGTTTGAGAGACGGGGAGAAGGGTAGAGCTGGAACGGGGACATACAGTGGAGGATTAGGATGCTCCTGTGGAGGATCGTGATGCTGTCGGGGAGGGGGAAAATTGGCAGAGTCAAAGGAAGAGGAATCGTCCTAAGCTGGGGCTGTGGGGAGGAGGATAGGAGGCGAGTCAGATTTGGAGCGGACAAGGAGGATTTAGAAAGTAGAACAAGACTGACAGAGGGAATGGCAGTTACAGAGAGTGAAGATGTAGCAGGACAACCTGCAGACAAAACCCTTCAGACACCGAGTTAAAGAAGGAAGGGCTTTATTCGGCCAGGTGCTTCAGCAAGACTCACTTCTCCAACAACCAAGCTCCCCGAGTGAGCAATTCCTATCCCTTTTAAGGGCTCACAACTCTAAGGGGGTCCACGTGAGAGGGTTGTGATCTATTGAGCAAGCACGGGGCACATGACTGGGGGCTGCATGCACCGGTAATTAGATCGGAACAGAACAGGACAGGGATTTTCTTTTTTTTTGAGACAGAGTCTCGCTGTGTCACCCAGGCTGGAGTGCAGTGGCGCGATCTCTGCTCACTGCAAGCTCCGTCTCCCAGGCTCACACCATTCTCCTGCCTCAGCCTCCCAAGTAGCTGGGACTACAGGCGCCCGCCATCACGCCCGGCTAATTTTTTGTACATTTAGTAGAGACGGGGTTTCACCATGTTAGCCAGGATGGTCTCAATCTCCTGCCCTTGTGATCCACCCGCCTCGGCCTCCCAAAGTGCTGGGATTACAGGCGTGAGCCACCGCGCCCAGCCCAGGACAGGGATTTTCACAGTGCTTTTCTATACAATGTCTGTAATCTATAGATAAGATAACCGATTAGGTCAGGGGTCGATCTTTAACTACCGGGCCCAGTGTGTGGCACTGGGCTGTCTGCTTGTGGATTTCATTTCTGCCTTTTACTTCTTCTTTCTTTGGAGGCAGAAATTGGGCATAAAACAATATGAGGGGTGGTCTCCTCCCTTAAAGAAAACCTGAACATAAGGAATCTCAGACCATTTCCCACTGTGATGGCAAAAGTTGTAAAGTGCTATTTTTGGGCCATTGGGAGCCACTGTCCAGTTGGTATTGAGGCCATGTGGTATTGCAGTAAAAGATAAGCCTCTTAGAACAGACCTCTGGGCCGGGTGTGGTGGCTCACGCCTGTAATCTCAGCACTTTGGGAGGCCGAGGCGGGCGGATCATGAGGTCAGGAGATCGAGACCATCCTGGCTAACACGGTAAAACCCCGTCTCTACTAAAAATACAAAAAATTAGCCGAGCGTGGTGGCGGGCACCTGTAGTCCCAGCTACTCGGGAGGCTGAGGCAGGAGAATGGCGTGAACCCAGGAGGCGGAGCTTGCAGTGAGCCGAGATCATGCCACTACACTCCAGCATGGGCAACAGAGCGAGACTCCGTCTCAAAAAAAAAAAAAAAGAACGGACCTCTGAATGGAGCCCGAGAGCATTGAGATTGCGGAATGGAGGAGGTAGGGGTAGAGGAAGAAGAGACTGCTGCTGACAAGGACGGTGGGAGAGGGCGTCCCCTTTCTTGCGGAACTTGTCCGGAATAGAGGAGGTAACTGCCGTGTCAGGCATCCCTAAAATGGAGGAACCAGAGGCCCACAGGCCGGAGGAAGCCCTTGGCCCAGCGCTGGGTCTTTCAGAAATGGAGAGATGGATGGTCAAGGGTTCTGAGGAACGGCAACAGTCTCTTTTTACTCACCCTGGTGGAGGTGGTGGATGAAGTCGTCAGCAATGGGAGAGTCTAGGAGATTCTCTGGGTCTTTGGCAGGTTCAGGGAAGGGGAGATTGGCTGGAAGAGGGGTGATAGGGTAGGGAGTAGGGAGGGAGACAGACAGAGAGAGTGAGTGAGTGAGTGAGTCCTGGCCAGAGGCTATCCCCTTCCCGGGTTTTGGCACCAGAATGTAAGGTCAGCCAAGAGAAAGGAAAAACAGACCCAAAGTTAGGCAGGTAACTTTTTATTAACCTGCTGGCTGCTCCCTTAACAGTCAGAGAGGAAGTAGCCCCAAGCTTACAGAATGAGGGGTTTATATTGGGGAGGGGAGTTTGATGGAGTTCTTTCGTATGGCCGCATCCTGGGGTTGTTTGCTGGTTAATTTTGCTACATATTACCTTGTGACGTTTATTACAGGAGGGTGTAGGTAAAGTTTGTTTATGTTTCCCATGACCTCCCCCTGTGCAGTGTGGGTGGTTTGTAATTGGGGTTTGCTTATTGCAGCAAGGTCTGATAAGCAAAGTCTGCTGGCTTCACCGTGGTGCCTAGGTAAGGGCTTAGAAATGTAAAGAGGCTTGGGGGATGGGTGGACAGCACCAAGAAGGTTTCTTGGGCAGTTTGTCCCTAACAGAGGGCTGGTTTGGAGTCAGGGAATCCTGGGGAAGAACACTGACCACTCAGGAAACATATCAAAAAACAGACACATATCCTAAGTCTACATTCATTTCATAAAAATGTATTGGCCCCCTCTTGTGTGCCAAGCATTATTCTTGGGTGGCGAAGACATTGGTGAGGCAAGATAAAGTCCCTGCACTAAGTTTACACTAAGCTGGGGGAGAGAGATACCAGGTATGAATTCAGCTGACACGAGTTTGGGGAAGACCTTCTAGGCAGATTGTGTCCAGGATAAAAACACAGAGGCACAGTTCTGAGGCTTCTAGCATGGGACAGACAGACTCCTGGAGGAATTTCTTAGAGATAGCATTGAAGGTCATTGACAGAGGAATTTGATTTGCAAGTGTAGCCTATATAGAACAGAGTAGCTAGAACAAAGGCTCATTAAGATAGAGGCATGGGCTCTATTAGCTGGGCGTGGTGGCAAGTGCGTGTGGTCCCAGGTACTTGGGAGGCTGAGGTGGGAGGATCACTTGAGTCCAGGAGGTTGAGGCTGCAGTGGGCCCAGATCACGCCACTACACTCCAGCCTGGGCGACAGAGCGAGACCCTGTCTCAAAAAAGTGTTCATAGCCAGTACCCCCATGACCTTCCAGGCCCATGGCAAACCAACCTTCTCAAAGTCAAACCCCCATCTTTCCCTACAGGCAAACGATCCCACTTAGCTCCAGCTAAATGGATGGAATCTTTGTTCTCTGAACGTGCCTGTTTTTTTCTGGAGACAGAGTCAGTCTTCTTCTGTCACTCAGCAAAGTGCTGAGATTACAGGCATGAGTCACTGCCTGGCCTGACATGCCTTTATCTCTCTCTCTTTTTTTTTTTTTTGAGATGGAGTCTCACTCTGTCGACCAGGCTGGAGTGCAGTGGCGTGATCTCGGCTCACTGCAACCTCCGCCTCCTGGGTTCAAGTGATTCTCCTGCCTCAGCCTCCTGAGTAGCTGAGACTACAGGCGCCTGCAATCACACCCAGCTAATTTTTGTGTTTTTAGTAGAAATGGGGTTTCACCATGTTGGCCAGGCTGGTCTTGATCTCTTGACCTCGTGATCCACCCACCTCGGCCTCCCAAAGTGCTGAGATTACATGTGTGAGCCACCGCGCCTAGCTAATTGTTGTAGAGATGGGTTTTCGCCATGTTGCCCAGACTGGTCTTAAACTTCTGGGGCTCAAGTGATCTGCTCCCATTGGGCTCCCAAAGTGCTGGGATTATAGGCATGAGCCACTGCGCCTGGCAACCTACATTTTTAAAAGACACTCAGCCAGGCACAGTGGTTCACACCTGTAATCCCAGCACTTTGGGAGGCTGAGATGGGAGGATCACTCAAGGTCAGGAGTTTGAGACCAGCCTGGGCTCCTGAGACAGGTTCCAAAAATAAAAACCCATAACAACAAAAGAAAGACCAGCCTGGGTGACAGAGTGAGAACTTTTCTCTAAAAAATTTTTTTTTTTTAATTAGCCAGGTATAATGGTGCACACTTGTAGTCCCAGCTATGCAGGACTGAGGCGGGAGGATGGCTTGAGCCCAGGAATTCAAGGCTGCAGTGAGCTAAGATCACACCACTGCATTCTAACCTGGGTGACACAGACAGACCGTCTCAAAATAATAATAATGATAATAATAATAAAAGATAACCTCGTGATTCTGCATCAGGGAGGCCTTATTTGAAAATACTAGCCTAGTATTAACTTCTTTGGGTCATATACATCTTTGCATGCCTACATGCCTATTCCTAGAGACACACACATACACAAACATTCCAAGGAGTTTTAGGGGTCTTGGAGCTCAGATCAACACCTAGCCTTATTTTATTATTATTATTTTTTGAGACGGAGTTTCACTCTTTTTTTTTTTTTTTTTTTTTGAGACAGAGTCTCGCTTTGTCATCCAGGCTGGAGTGTGCAGTGGTGCAATCTCAGCTCACTGCAACCTCCGCCTCCTGGGTTCACGCCATTCTCCTGCCTCAGCCTCCTGAGTAGCTGGGACTACAGGCGCCCACCACCTTGCCCGGCTAATTTTTTTTGTATTTTTAGTAGAGACAGGGTTTCACCATGTTAGCCAGGATGGTCTCAATCTCCTGACCTCATGATCCGCCCGCCTCAGCCTGCCAACGTGCTGGGATTACAGGTGTGAGCCACCGCGCCTGGCCCGAGACGGAGTTTCACTCTGGTCACCCAGGCTACAGTGCAATGGCGCAATCTTGGCTCACTGTAACCTCCACCTCCCTGGTTCAAGCAATTCTCATGCCTCAGCCTCCTGAGTAGCTGGGATTATAGGCACCCGCCACCACACCCGGCTAACTTTTGTATTTTCAATAGAGACGGGATTTCACCATGTTGGCTAGGCTGGTCTTGAACTACTGACCTCAGGTGATCTGCCCACCTCGGCCTCCCAAAGTGCTGGGATTACAGGCGTGAGCCACTGCACCCGGTCTCCCACCCTTAAATGGCCTGGACAGACGAGGGATGGGCATGTGGCCATGGCCTTTACTTCTCACTCTGGCTGGCCACTTGGATGTGGCTTATTCTGTTGATGCAGACAAGCATATCCTCAATGCACAGTGAAGCCTGGGAAAGCCCCTTCCTGACTTCAATTGCTTCTGGGGCTGACCCTCAAAGACCTGTGGTAGCAGAGAGAAAAGGAGGCCCTACCTCTGGTGGAAATATCTGTGCCAAGAAACAAGGAGCTGGCTGGGCACAGTGGCTTACGCCTGTAATCCCAGCACTTTGGAAGGCTGAGGCTCAGGGCGGATCACCTGAGTTCAGGAAATGGAGACCAGCCTGACCAACATGGTGAAACCCCATCTCTACTAAAAATACAAAAAATAGCCAGGCGTGGTGGCGCATGCCTGTAATCCCAGTTACTCGGGAGGCTGAGGCAGGAGAATTGCTTGAACCCGGGAGGCGGAGGATGCAGTGAGCCGAGATTGTGCCATTGCACTCCAGCCTGGGCAACAATAGCGAAACTCCGTCTCAAAAAAAAAAAAAAAAAAGAAAAAAGAAAAAAGAAATGAGGAGCTGAGAATGGGGTGGGGCTGAGGCTGAAGGGTTTCATGACACTAAAAAAAATTGATGAGATGCTGGAAAGTTGGGTCATGAGGGCAGGAAGCAGAGGAGTCAGGTCTGGTTTCTAGGCCCTAAATAAGCTTTACAAACTTCAAAGCACTCAGAGATCTCTAGATAATAATCATAGCACCTTTAAGTGGCAAGCTGAGGGCCAAGATCTGGCTGTCAGTCTGGGCTGAGAACTGGTGTTGCAAGCTGGGCCTCCCGGAGGCTGTGCTGAGGGTTAGGGGAGGGAACTAGGTTGTACACTAGGAATTAAAACCTGGTACAAAAGCCGGGTGCAGTGGCTTACGCCTGTAATGCCAGCACTTTGGAAGGCTGAGGCGGGCGGATCATGTGAGGTCAGGAAATGGAGACCAGCCTGACCAACATGGTGAAACCCCATCTCTACTAAAAATACAAAAAATAGCCAGGTGCAGTGGCTCATGCCTGTAATCCCAGCACTTTGGGAGGTCAAGGCAGGCAGATCACTTGGGGTCAGGAGTTCAAGACCAGCCTGGCCAACATGGTGAAACCTCATCTCTATTAAAAATACAAAAACTGGTCAGGTGTGGTGGCGCACACCTGTAATCCCAGCTACTCGGGAGGCCGAGACAGGAGAATCACTTGAACCCAGGAGGCAGAGGTTGCAGTGAGCCAAGATCGTGCCACTGCACTCCAGCCTGGGCATCAGAGAGAGACTCCATCTCAAAAACAAAACATTAAAAAAAAAAAAAACTGGTACAAAGGTATCTTCTACTGCCAAGGTTCCTCTTCTGACCCCAATATGCCCCTGTGATAAGGTGGCGCACGAGTCAACCCGCCCCAGAAAAGCTGAAGGAGAGAGAGACCTTGGTGGGGTCGGATTGGAGATGAGGTTGGAATAAAGTCAGTTCATTACTTCACTTGACACCGGAACAGTGTCTTTTCTCCAAAACTTCTACCTCCTTCCAGGTTGATTAATCTGGTTTCTTCCTTCCTGGGTAGGCCAGACACAGGGCTGAGCTGGGTGACTCTGCATAGGCCAGCAGAGGTCACAGGCCCTTGCTCTCCTCAGGGAGATGTTGTCCTAACCAGGAGCAGGGCAGGGGCTGCCCATGGCTAGACTCTGCCCACAAAGGAATTAGTGGTAGATGGATAATGGGGGTGGGGATTCTGTGCAGAGCTTGGGGATACAGATGGGTAGTCACCCCTGGCTACAAATCTAATCTAACACCAGGTGTTCCTGGCCTACCCCGCTCTGCCCATGATGGTACAGAGGAAAAATGCAAGGTCTGTGCGCCTTGGGACTCTCCTCGTTGCCTGGATTCTGAGTTGACCTGATCTGTCACATGGCCACTTTGTCAGAACTCATCTGGTACGTGGGCTTCACTGATGCTGGGCTAGTCTGACCCCATCCAGGTCAGGGCTGGGTGTTATCACAGGGAGGGGCAGATGCCTGCAAAACCCTGGCTGAGACACCAGTGAAGGCCTCAGGAGTGATGGGTAAAGTCAGCAGTCAGCTAAGAACCCTGGGGTCTCTGTGTGACCCTGGACAGGCTGCTTAGCCCTCCTTGGTCTCAGTGTCTCCAACTGTAAAAGCCTAGGAAAGTGAAGATCTCTTCTAGTTCAAAACTGTGATAAGGCCCTCCTGGCAGGGTCTAGGAGGGCTAAGAAGTCCTGAGGCATGTGGCTATCTCAGGGAGGCCCAAAGAAGACTGGAGGGAGCTCTCAAAACCTTCCCATTCAAAAACAGGAACTGCCTGTTGGCTGATGGCGGACACACCCCTTGGTTTGGGATGAAAGGCAGTCCTGACTGCCTCTTCCTGACCAGGCTGTCCTCTTCAACCAAGGGGTTTCTCTCAGCACTTATGAAGGTGAAATGATTCAATGGAAGAGACAGTACTTTGTAAACCATAAAATGCAATACAAGCAAAGATCTAAAATAAAACCAACTTTTACTTCTCTCTTGCCACCCTTTCTCTCCAACTCCAGAAAACCTGAGTGCTACAGACCACTGTTTGCAAACTCAAATGACCATAGGAACTCAGCAAGTCATATAAATGAGCGGGAAATGCCAGATGGAAAGGCCTATTTGGACAGAGACATGGGTCTAAGAAATACTTCCCTTTCTTCTTCGCTGTACTTTAAGATAAACACCAAAAACACTAAAAGCAAGCCATGATGAATGGCACGTGGTGCTTGGTCAGGAGCCCACGGGAGTGGTGGGGATGGGTGGCCGGGCCACGGTGAATTGTGAGTTCTGGCTCCGGCTCAGCTCCCAACAACTGTGGTTTTGTCGGAGCCTAGGTCGAGTTGCCAAATCTTTGGATTTTTCAAAAGACACCAGAAAACCTGTATTTGGTTGTAAAATATCCTTTTCAATTTTCACTACTAACTCATATCACTTAAAAACACTGCCTGGACTCAGATCAATAAATATGACAACCGCAGGCCAGATCCAGTACACAGTCACAGGATTTTAACTTGGGCAGTAAAAAGACAATGGAGGTGGTGGGTGCCTGTAGTCCCAGCTACTTGGGAGGCTGAGGAAGGAGAATTGCTTGAACTCTGGAGGCAGAGGTTGCAGTGAGCTGAGATTGCGCTATTGCACTCCAGCCTGGGCAACAAGAGCAAAACCCCATCACACACACACACACACAAAGACAATGGAAGCCAGGCATGGTGGTAGCTCACGCCTGTAATCCCAGCACTTGCGGAAGCCGAGACGACAGGATCACTTCAGCCAAGGAGTTTGAGACCAGCCTGGACAACAGTGAGAACCTCATCTCTATGTAAAATTTAAAAATTAGCTGGCCGTAGTGTTGCCCGCCTGTAGTCTCAGATATTTGGAAGGCTGATGGGAGAGGATTCCTTGAGCACTGCAGGTTGAGGCTGCAGTTAGCCCTGTTCACACCACTGCACTCCAGCCTGGGTGACAGAGCAGGAAGCTGTCTCAGAAATAAATAAATAAATAAATAAAAAGACAATGAGTATTGTGTTCTGGGAGGGTCACAAGAATAAAAATAATGATAAAAAATTTAAAAAGACAATGGGTAAAACAAGGTTCTCCTCTACCTCAGTCCTCTTAGCACCTCTGGGCTGAGAAACAGCTTTTGGTTCCCCTTATGTAGGTCTGGGGGTTCTCAACTCAGCCCTGCCTCAGTAGAGGGGGCCTTGGAGAGCCCTGGGCAGTGGGGAGCAAGGTGCTGGCAGAGGAGGCTGCTAAGGGCCCAAGATCAGACTGTCCGCACCCCAGGGCCAGCTCTTGCCCTAGATTCTGGGACCTCCCTGCAGGCCGCCGCAGAGGTTCGGGCCCCTGAGCCCATCTCGGGCCTCCCGTAATGTCTAGATAGTCACTTTTAAGGCCGTCACCCACACTCCTGGAATATCTCCGGGTACAGCTGGAAGCCCACGGGCGGGTCCAGGTCTCCGTGGCCAGGGGTCAGGGTCACAGACAGACGCCCGGCGACCCGGCCCCTGTGGCCCCCGGCCCCGGGCCGATGAACCCACTGGTGTTTGGCCACGGCTGACTTCTGGCCAAAGCGGCGGCCGCACTGCGGGCAGGGGTAGGGCTTCTCGCCGCTGTGGGTGCGCCTGTGGGCTGCCATCTCCGAGCTCTGGCGGAAGCAGCGCCCGCAGTCCGGGCACGGGTAGGGCTTCTCGCCGGTGTGGGTGCGCACGTGGCGCCGCAGGTCCGAGGGGTAGGCGAAGGCGCGGCCACAGTCCGGGCAGGGGAAGGGGGTCTCGCCGCTGTGCACGCGCCGGTGCTGGTAGAGGGCAGAGCTCTGGCTGAAGCGGCGGCCACAGTCGGCGCAGCCATAGGGTTTCTCGCCGGTGTGGACGCGCAGGTGCGAAGTCAGCGCCGAGCGCTGCGTGAAGGCCCGGCCACACTCCAGACAGCGGTGGGGCCGCTCCCCACGATGGATGGCCCGGTGTTTGCTCAGGGAGGAAGCGTGGCCGAAGCCCTTGCCGCAGTCAGTGCAGTGGAAGGGCTTCTCGCCAGTGTGACTGTAGACGTGCTCCACCAGTGTGGAGCGCCAGGCAAAGCTCTTCCCGCACACGTAGCAGCCATGACGCTGGTCAGCTCGGGGGACAGGGGGGTGGGCACAGAGGGAGGGGCGTCCCCGGTGCGGTGCCTTGGACAGCTGCTCCCAACCATAAGGGGGCCCGGCCGAGGGGGCTTGGGGAGACTTCAGCCCAGGAGACCCGGCGGCCACAGGGTCGGGCTTCTCCAGGGCTCCCGTCCCTTCCCTTTGTCTTTCCTTTTTCTTGTTTCTGGAATCTGCTGAGAGATAAAGAGGGGAGAGTTCAGGCTCGGCTCATCCTGGTCCTTGAATCCCACAGCCCGCGTGGACAGGGACAGGCCTGCTGGATCCCCGGCTGCTCCTGGGAGATGGAGGAGTGACACCTGTTCCTCGGCTGCAGAGCCAGACAGAGCCGGGAGGGAGAGAACAGCCCATTCCGCCTCGGGGCTGGGGAAATGTCACGGTGGGGGAAGGGCAGAGATGACATGAACATCTGGGCCTGATCCAGAAGGAGGAACGGACACCTGAGGATGTTCCAGGCAGCAGGAACAGCACCAAGAAAGGCAGAACCAGGAGGGCATGGCCAAGTTCAGTGGGGCTGGATACTCTGCAAAGGCTGAGGGCAAGAAATGAAAGAAAAAAAGGGGGGCGGACGGGGAGAAAGGAACCAGCCTGCAGGTGAACGGCAGGGGTGGGTCCTGAGGTGGAGGTAGAGTCAACAGAGTTTAAGAGACTGGGCGTGGGGGCTCAAGGCGGTAATCCCAGCGCTTTGGGAGGTAGAGAAGGAGGATCAGCCTAGGATTTCAGGACCAGCCTGGGCAACACACCGAGAGCCAAGACCCCCTCTATAAAATATATATATTACATAACAATTTAAAACAATTAGGCCAGACGCAGTGGGTCACTTTGGAAGGCCGAAGCAGGCGAATCGCTTAGCTCCAGGAGTTAAAGACCAGCCTGGGCGACATAGTGAAACCCTGTCTCTACTAAAAATACAAAAAATTGGCTGGGCGCGGTGGCTCACGCCTGTAATCCCAGCACTTTGGGAGGCCGAGGCGGGCAGATCACAAAGTCAGAAGTTCGAGACCAGCCTGGCTAACATGGTGAAACCCCATCTCTACTAAAAACACAAAAACAAAATTAGCCGGGCGTGGTGGCGGGCGCCTGTAGTCCCAGCTACTGGGGAGGCTGAGGCGGGAGAATGGCGTCAACCAGGGAGGCGGAGCTTGCACTGAGCCGAGATGGCGCCACTGCACTCCAGCCTGCGCGACAGAGGAAGACTCTGTCTCAAAAAAAAAAAAAAAAATTAAGCAGGCTTGGTGGCGGGCGCCTGTAATCCCAGCTACTTGGGAGGTTGATACAGGAGAATTACTTGAACCTGGGAGTGGGAGGTTGCAGTGAACTGAGATGGCACCACTGCACTCCAGCCTGGGCAACGGAGTAAAACTCTGTCTAAAAAAAAAAATTACCCAGGCTTCGTGGCGAGCACCTGTACAGTCTTAGCTACTCTGGAGGCCCAGGTGGAAGGACTGCTTAAGCCCGGGAGTTCCAGGCTACAGTGAGCTATGATGCCGCCACTGCACTCAGCCTAGACAACAAAGCGAGACCCTGTCTCTAAAACAAAAACACCAAAAAAAGCCCCCAGAGTGTAGTGACCACGCAGAGGTGAGGACTCAGAGGCGGGTATGGCAGGGCCAGAGCCCCCATCACAGCTCCTTTCTAGGCTGCATCTGGGAGCCACGCAGGGGCTCAGCCTCGTCGTCGCAGTTGAGAAGGCAGTTCAGAGAGGAAACTGCTAAGCAGGTAGCTGGAGGTGGCAGAGGGTACCGGGATGGGACAGGAACAGAGAAGTCCCCATGGGACTGAGCACCCGATACTCCACCTGGGTCCGTTTGTGTCTGACATTTCGCCACCTCCGGATCCTGGGCAGCCGGACCCCACAGTTCGGCCTCCTCCTCCACCCAGGAGATGAGAGCTGGCTTGTTGCCTCCGATTCCTAGGGAAGAAGAACGCAAACCCCACGCTGCGGGGAGGCCACCTGCCCGGCCCCGGGGCCCCCAACTTCACGCGCAGCTCCCAGAGGCGCGGCAGGGCCTGTGGGGGCGCAGGGCTCAGGCGAGCAGGTGGGGCTCTCACCGAGAGCGCTCAGGTGGCCGTAGGTCTCCCGCATCACGTCCCGGTACAGGGCCCTCTGCGCTGGCCGCAAGCAGCCCCACTCCTCCCGGCAGAAGTACACGGCCACGTCCGCGAAGCTCACAGCCCCCGGCTCCCTCCACTCGGGTCCGGCCCCGTTTGGGTCCCGGGGAGGGAGCGGGGCCAGAGGCGGCGCCATGGTAACTGTCAACCCCGACGACGGATCGGCTGCCTCCCCTGGCCTGGCCTGGGCCTGCGGAACCTCCTGCGCCCGAGAAAGCCTCCCCGGCCCGGGCCCAAGGGAAGGAGGGAGGTTACTAGGGCCCCCGAGGGCGCACTAGAGGGCGTGGAAACTAACGGTGCCGATGGCAGCGGGTGTATAATCAGAAATGGAATATGCCCTCATAAAAAATGGCGGCGGCGCGGGTACTCGACCTTTGCCCCTACGCAGTCGTGCCCAAGACAACGCCCCCGGTATCTCCAGTCCGCGTTCTCTCCGTACCCTCATCCAAAATGGCCGCGGTGACTAATACAGAGGCCGGCCTTGAAAACTAGCCGCGCATGTTTAGTCCCCGGCCCGGCGAGGCGGTGCAGCAGAGAGCTCCGCCCCGGCCCGGCGAGGCGGTGCAGCAGAGAGCTCCGCCCCGGTTTGCACGAACAAAAGAGCGCCTCGCGGGAGTGAGCTGGCCTCCCGGCCTTACTGAACTCAGGCATTAGTTTTCGTTTGTGGACCGTTTTATAATCGGGCTCCAGCTCATCACTCTCTCGTTTTGTCCTTGTTATCTCAGAAACAGGGCAACAGCAGTCTCTTCCCAATGTTGAGTGTAAAAAAACCAATGGAGTGGGCGTGGCGCAGTGGCTCACGCTTGTAATCAGCAGTTTGGGAGGCCGAGGCCAGCGGAACAACTGAGGTCAGA
Organism: Homo sapiens; assembly: GCF_000001405.40. NCBI lineage: Eukaryota > Metazoa > Chordata > Mammalia > Primates > Hominidae > Homo > Homo sapiens. The sequence continues at coordinate 30,558,901 of NC_000016.10, forward strand.
AGTTCGAGACCAGCCTCACCAACATGGTGAAACCCCGTCTCCACTAAAAACACACAAAAAAACAGCCAGGTGTGGTGGCGTGCACCTGTAATCCCAGCTACTGGGGAGGCTGAGGCAGGAGTATCGCTTGAACGCGCGAGGCGGAGTTTGCAGTGAGCCGAGATTGCCTCACCGCACTCCAGCCTGGGCGACAGAGCGAAACTCTGTCTCAAAAATAAAAAAGAAAGAAAGAAAGAAAAAGGAGTGGATACAGGAGAACCTCCTCCATCGTAGGCTTGTTGGGGCCTGAAATTCTGGAAGTTTCTAGATGGCGGAGGCAGTGGGGAGAGTAGGGTAAGGTTGAGAAAGTCAGAGGGTCCTCTCTTCTAGGAGCTTCTCCCATGTGCTGCTCAGGACGCCTCCCAATTGCCAGTCTCCCTGTAGCTGCAGCCGGGCTCTCACCTCCCCTCACATCCTGCCCCTGGACAGATGGCCCAAGGCTCCTCTACTCAAATCCAACTCATCCCTTTCTTGCCCCAATCTGCTTCCCCTAGGGTCTTTATCTAGTAAATGTCACCAACTCTCCCCCAGACCTCTCTCTCACTTTCTGATGGTCTATTCTGTGCTCCACGTGACTTCATACATGTCCTGTTGTAGCAGGACAAGCCACAGACAAAACCCCTCAGACACCGAGTTGAAGGAAGGGTTTTATTCGGCTGGGAGCATCGGCAAGACTCACATCTCAAAAACCGACTCCCCGAGTGAGCAATCCCTGTCCCTTTTAAGGGCTCACAACTCTAAGGGGGTCCCCGTGAGAGGGTCGTGATCCATTGAACAAGCAGGGGATATGTGACTGGGTGCTGCAGGCACTGGTAATTAGAACAGGACAGGACAGGACAGGGATTTTCACAGTGCTTTTCTATACAATGTCTGTAATCTATAAATAACAAAACTGATTAGGTCAGAGGTCGATCTTTACCAGGCCCAGGGTGTGGCGCCAGGCTGTCTGCCTGTGGATTCCATTTCTGCCTTTGAGTTTTTACTTCTTCTTTCTTTGGAGGCAGAAATTGGGCGTAAGACAATATGAGGGATGGTCTCCTCCCTTACTGTGTATGGGAGTCAGAGTTGCCTCCAACTGCCTTTTAGCTCTTGGTGGGCTCTTTAGTTGAATGTAGGCCCAGATTGAGAATCGCCTGTAATGCTAACTACTGGGAGGCAAAGGCAGGAGGATCCCTTGAGCCCAAGAGTATGAGATCAGCCTGGGCAAGTTAGTGAAACCCTATCTTCAAAAAATAAAAATAAAAATAAACTAAAGTAAAATAAGAACAAATGAATTGACAGTGGACAAACGAGAAAATTATACCAATTGTATTAGTTTTACATGTACATGGGGATCTTCACAAGAGAGGGAAGTCAGAAAAAGTGCCCAAAGCCAGGTGCTTTTATATTTTTTAGACAAAGAACAATAAAATTTCAGTGGGCAGACGCGGTGGCTCATGCCTGTAATCCCAGCACTTTGGGAGGCCGAGGTGGGCAGATCACTTGAGGTCAGGAAACCCCGTCCTTACTAAAAATTAAAAAAAAAAAGGTAGCTGGGGGTGGTGGTGGGTTCCTGTAATCCCAGCTACTCAGGAGGCTGAGGCAGGAGACTCACTTGAACCTGGGAGGCAGAGGTGGCAGTGAGCCAAGATTGAGCCACTACACTCCAGCCTGGGCGGGAGAGAGACTTCGTTTAAAAAAAAAAGAAGAAGAGGGCCGGCCCGGTGGCTCATGCCTGTAATCCCAGCACTTTGGGAGGCTGAGGTGGCCGGATCACGAGGTCAAGAGATCGAGACCATCCTGGCCAACATGGTGAAACCCCGTCTCTACTGAAAATACAAAAATGAGCCAGGCATGGTGGTGCGTGCCTGTAGTCCCAACTACTTGGGAGGCTGAGGCAGGAGAATAGCTTGAACCCGGGAGGCAGAGGTTGTAGTGAGCCGAGATTGCGCCACTGCACTCCAGCCTGGGCGACAGAGCAAGACTCGGTCTCAAAAATAAAAAATAAAAAATAAAAGAAAGAAAGAATAAAAGAAAAAAGAAATGACAGGACAAAGAAAATTTGGCTAGGGCAGTGAGTAACTAGAATATGTATCAGGGGGTTGTCAAACAGGTACAAGATACAGATGACTTTGTTACGTATGTTTATTCTGGTCCCTTGTGGCTTCTCAGGGCTGTTTTCTTGCCCTGGTACAGAAGGATACTCCCCCAGAGTAAGGTTTCTGGCATGCTCCATGCAGAAGAAACAGGTCGGATTGCTCCTTCTGAAACTACAATTTCTCTGTTTTTAACTCAGAATATATCAGTATACCAGGCTGTGAATGTTTTACAGGAGGTCCAGGGGAGCCCCTGTGGAGGAGCCTGGAGGGAACTTCAGGGAGGGTGATCTGGCGGGAATCTCAGGAAACAGCTCAACCTGCCGCATAAGTGAGGAGAGCCACTTCTTTCCCTTTTCGGGGATCCGGGTGGGGCGGGCGCCGCTGAGCGCGTCTAGGTGGCCGCAGGTCGCGGCATCGCGTCCCGGATCAGGACGCGAACATCCCTATACCGCAGACACCCCCACTGCGCCAGGAAGCGGCAGTCGGCCGTTTCCGCGGAGCTCTCGGTCCTCAGACACTTTCCCAGTCTCCGTCCCTTCCACCTTCCCTGGTTCATTGGCTTGGAGCCATGAGCGCGGCCAGTGGCTCCGCGGCTCCCGGAGGGACGCTGGGGGTTTGCCCTGGGAGTAGGGTGCAGGAGGTTCCACGGACGCCTCGACGACCGGTAGTAGCTTCGGGTGGGGCCTAGAGAGGACGGCGAGCAACTCTGTGGTTCCGGAGTCCAGAAAAATGAAAGCGCTCTTAGAAAAGATGGCTGGCGGCTGGGCACGGTGGCTCACGCCTGTAATCCCAGCACTTTGGGAGGCCGAGGCGGGTGGATCACTTGAGGTGAGGAACTCAAGACCAGCCTGACCAACGTGGTGAAACTCCGTCTCTACTAAAAATACAAAAATTAGCCGGGCATAGTGGCACACGCCTGTAATCCCAGCTACTTGGGAGGCTGAGGCAGGAGAAGCGTGTGAACCCGGGAGGCAGAGGTTGAAGTGAGCTGAGGTCGTGCCACTGCACTCCAGCCTGGGTGACAGAGTGAGATTCTTGTCTCAAAAAAAAAAGAAGAAGAAAAGATGGCTGGCGACAGTCCAGCTTCTCTTCATTTTAGAGAAAGGCATTGAACAGCTTGAATATCGATCCGGTGTTGCTGACCTAGTTTGTTCCTGCTGGAAAAGTCTTCTCTTGCTGTTCCTCCCAGGCGGCCTTGGCAGCGCCTCTTGCCCGTAGTTAAGATGGGTGCGGCCGCTTTGACCTGGGCTCAGGCAGGTGGCAGCAAAGGCTGCAGGGGAGGGGAAACCGGTCCAAGATTCTCGACCGAGGGCCTGACGTCCCCTTCCCAGTCCCTTAGAGGAGGCCCTTCGAGGAGGCCCACTCAGTGACGGAGTCTTTTTTTTTTTTTTTTTTTTGAGACAGAGTCTCACTTTGTCGCCAGGCTAGAGTGCAGTGGCGCGATCTCCGTTCACTGCAACTTCTGCCTCCCTGGTTCAAGCAATTCTCCTGCTTCAGCCTCCCGAGTAGCTGGGATTACGGGCACGCGCCACCACGTCCAGCTAATTTTTGTATTTTTAGTAGAGACGGGGTTTCACCATGTTGGCCAGGATGGTCGCGATCTCCTGACCTCGTGATCCCCCCGCCTTGGCCTCCCAAAGTGCTGGGATTACAGGCATGAGCCACAGCGCCCGGCGCCAAGTCTTTATTTTATTATTTTATTTTAGTTCTTTTTAAATTGTTTTCTATTCTATTCTATTCCACTTTACACACTCTCTCTCTCCTTTTTTTGAGACGTAGTTTCGCTCTTGTTGTCCAGGCTGGAGTACAATGGTGCAATCTCGGCTCACTGCAACCTCCGCCTCCCAGGTTCAAGCGATTCTCCTGCCTCAGCCTCCTGAGTAGCTGGGAATACAGGTGCCTGCCACCACGCCCGGCTAATTTTTTGTATCTTTAGTAGAGAGGGGGTTTCACCATGTTGGCGAAGCTGGTCTTGAACTCCTGACCTCAGGAAATCCACCCGCCTGGGTCTCCCAGAGTGCTGGGATTACAGGCGTGAGCCACTGCACCCGGCCTCTACTCTCTACTCTTGAGAGGGAGTTTTGCTCTTGTCCCCCAGGCCGGAGTGCAATGGCATGATCTTGGCTCACTGACCCCAGAAGCCAGGCTGGAATGCCTCAAATTATTGAAGGCAAAACCTTAGCAACTAGAGAGAGGTGGGATTTTAGGCTAGGTTACTACACTGCCATGTAAATGTAAAGAGGAAAAATATACAGTTTGAGAGGCTGAGGCAGGCAGATAACTTGAGGTCAGGAGTTCGAGACCAGTCTGGCCAACATGATGAAATCCTGTCTCTACTAAAAATACAAAAATTAGATGGGCATGGTGGCATGTGCCTGTAGTACCAGCTACTCAGAACACTGAGGCAGGAGAATCGCTTGAACCTGGAGGTGGAGGTTGCAGTGACCAGAGATCACACACTGCACTCCAGCCTGGCCCACAGAGCGAGACTCCATCTCAAAAAACAATAATAATAAATAAGGCCAGGCACGGTAGGTCATGCCTGTAATCCCAGCACTTTGGGAGGCCGAGGCTGGTGGATCACCTGAGGTCAGGAGTTTGAGACCACCTTGAGAAATATGATGAAACCCCATCTCTATGAAAAATACAAAAATTAGCGGGGCATGGTGGCATGCACTTGTAATCCCAGCCACCCAGGAGGCTGAGACAGGAGAATCGCTTGAACCTGGGAGGCGGAGGTTGCAGTGAACCAAGATCGTGCCATTGCACTCCAGCCTGGGCAACAAGAGCGAAACTCCATCTCAAAATAAATAAATAAATAAATGTAAAGAAAAATATAAATGACAGACTATGATAAGTACTAAAAATAAGAGGGTTGTTTAGGGGTCATGTAATGGGGGGTTGTTCAGATATCTAGGAAGTGTGTGAAATTGCCCAGGATGGGTGACAAACGCTTCACAAAGGGTCCCCTGTAGCATCTCTCACCGCTGTCCCCTCTTGCTCAGGCCCTTGCTGAGTTAGGCCAGGGGCCTCCTAGCTGGCCTCTGGGCCTCCAGCCTTTTGCCTTTGCCGTCCATCTGTCACTGCAGCCTGGTGTAGTGAAAACAGGAAGAGCAGTGCCTGGGAAATAGGAGATTTGGGTTCCAGGTCTACTTCTGCCACTGACTCAGCTTCATGATCTTAATTATGTCCCCTCCTTGGGTCAGGTGCTGTGGCTCATGCCTGTAATCCCAGCACTTTGGGAGGCTGAGGTGGGTGGACCACGAGGTCAGAAGTTCAAGACCAGCATGGCCAACATGGTGAAACCTCGTCTCTACTAAAAATACAAAAATTAGCTGGGTGTGGTGGTGTGCATTTGTGATCCCAGCTACTCTGGAGGCTGAGGCAGGAGAATCACTTCAACCCAGGAGGCGGAGGTTGCAGTGAGCCAAGATCACACCACTGCACTCCGGCATGGGCGACAGAACAAGACTCTGTCTTGGAAAAAAAGAAAAAAATTATGTCCCCTCATCTCTCTGGCTTCAGCATTCTCAGAGTGTATTCTGCAGAACAGTATTCCCATGAGAAGCTCTATGGAAAAAAAACAAACAAACAGCCTTCTCCATTCCCCTTGACAGTCCCCTTTGGCAAATTTAAGGTTCAGGGCAGCCTTCAATAAAGAAATGTAGTCCGCCGGGGGGCATGGTAGCACATGTCTGTACCACATGTCTGTAGTCCCAGTGCTTTGGGAGGCTGAGGCAGGAGGATTGCCTGAGCCCAGGTGTTTGAGGCTGCAGTGAGCTACAATCATGCCACTGCACTCCAGCCTGGGCGACAGTGAGACCCCATCTCTAAAAAAATTTTTTCACATTAAAAAAAACTTTCCAGGCCAGACGCTGTGCCTCATGCCTGTAATCCCAGCACTTTGGGAGGCTGAGGCAGGTGGATCATGAGGTCAGGAGTTCGAGACCGGCCTGGCAAACATGGTGAAACCCTGTCTCTACTAGAAATGCAAAAATTAGCTGGGCGTGGTGGCACGCACCTGTAATCCCAGCTACTCAGGAGGCTGAGGCAGGAGAATTGCTTGAACCCAGGAGGCAGAGGCTGCAGTGACCTGAGATCCCAACACTGCATTCCAGCCTAGATGACAGAGTGAGACTCCTCTGTCTCAAAAAAGAAAAAAAAAATTGGAGATGGAGGGCTGTGATGGTTCTACAATAGTACTATTACACATTTTGCCACTGAACTGTACTGTACACTCAAAAATAGTCTAAATGATAAATTGTATATTATGTATATTTACCACAAAACAAAAACAAAGACAACCCAGTGATGTCCCAACATACTGAGAATCATGGAGCTGGGTGCAGTGGCTCACACCTGTAATCCCAGCACTTTGCGAGGCTGAGGCAGGGGGACTTCTTGAGCCTAGGAGTTTGAAACCAGCCTGGGCAACATAGTGAGACCCTGTCTGGAAAAAAAATTAGCTGAGTGCGGTGGTGTGCACCTGGGATCCCAGCTACTTGGGAGGCTGAAGTGGGAGGATGACTTGAGCCTGGGAGATCAAGCCTGCAGTGAACCATGATTGCACCATTGCACTCCAGCCCAGGAGAGAAAGCGAGACCCTGTCACAAAGAAAGAAGACGTGGTGTCGGGGTGGGGGTTAGAAAGAGAAGGAAGAAAAGATACTTAGCATCATGGGAAGCGAGAGCCTTGTGGGAGCGCCTCCCCCTCCCTAAGCCCATCTGTTAATCTTCTCCACCTGGTGTCTCAGCACAGCTACAGATGTCCTTTCTGCACCTTGTGGGAACTCATCCCTAGCTTGGAACATCCCACTTGCTGTTCCCTTTCTTTGGAAACGTCTCTACCCCCTACTCTCCCCGACCCCAGCCCCAAGCCTTTGAACCCTGCCCTTCCCCACTCCCTGTCCCCTAACCCTGTTCCCTGTGGCTCTTTCTCAACATGGCGCAGCCTCAGTATCGGTCTGCAGCAGGCTCTTTCTGCACATCGCTGTTCGAGCTCCTTCATAAGCCTTAGTATTTGCATTCGCAGTCCCTTCCTTCATTCGTGTTCTGGTTTATCACCTGTCTCTCCCTCGTAGAAAGTAAGCTCCAAGAGGGTTCCTGTGTCTGTTTCCCCTGCTATGTTCTGGCATGGAGAATAACAGCTAGTGCATGGTAAACGCTTAGCAGCTATTTGTTAAATGCGCCAATGAGAAAGAGAAATAGCAGACAGCACTTGCCCTGTGTCCAGCACCAGAGCTGGGGCTGCCCAGAGCAGCTTTATGCTTGACACACTTCACCTGGTTCTGCTCCTCCCTCACTGGCAGGGCCTCCTCTCTCCAGCTGCACCTTCTCCTTGGCCTCCCTGCTCCCCAGAACGGATCACCCTTGGCCTTCACACCCTCCTACTCCTGATCACCCCTTGGTGGGCATCAGGTCCCCTGGCTCCGGCTCTCCATACTGGAACCTCTGGGTCTTACTGGCTCATATTGGCAGTCACCGAGCTGCAGATTCTATGTCAGAAGCCTCTCGTGTCTTTCTTCCTAATTCCAAGGTCACCACCTTGGTCCCAGCTCCCAGTGACCCTCACTTAGGAAAAAATGCCCAACAGATCTCTAGTGTCTAGCTCTGTCCCCCAACCAGGTCACACCCACACTGCTTTGCAAAGATATCTTCTGATAGCACCTGGCAAACAGCACTGCACTTGCTCAAGAACTTTCTGTGGCTCCTCAGTGCCACAGAATGTATCTCAAGCTGCTCTGGTGGCCTCTGTGGCCCTCCCAGATTTGACCCCACTTCTCGGCTGCATCTGTCTCCCATTCTTCCTTATCTAGTTTTTTTGTTTTGTTTTGTTTTTGTTTTTGAGACAGAATGTCTCACTCTGTCGCCCAGGCTGCAGTGCAGTGGCACGATCTCGGCTCACTGCAACCTCCACCTCCCGGGTTCAAGCGATTCTCCTGCCTCAATCTCCCGAGTAGCTGGGATTACAGGTGCCCACCACCATGCCCAACTAATTTTTGTATTTTTAGTAGAGACAGGGTTTCACCATGTTGGCTGGGCTGGTCTTGAACTCCTGACCTCAGGTGATCTGCCCGCCTCAGCCTCCCAAAGTGTCTTTTATTCTTTCTATGAAGCAAGACTCCTTTGCTGTTTCCTCTGCCTGAAAATCTCCCCCAACACCAATTCATAGGCTATGGGAAGCACAGCCATCTCCTCCCAGGAACATTTCCTGGCATATCACCAACCAGCCTAGGTGAGGTGGTGCCTCTGGGCTTCCTCTGTCATAGCGCCAATTAATCTCTTCCCACGTCGAACGTGGGCCCTGACTCAGCTGTATCACTGGAGCCCAGCACAAAAACCCACAGAGGCTTCAGGAGGGTGTTTGCTGAATGAATGAATGAATGGGGTCAGCTTTCGTCATCGTGGAATTCCCCTATTACCTAGCACAGTCCCTTCAACAGAAGGCACTCAACACACAGTCACTAAGTGCCAATTGTACCTTCTTTTTTGTTTTTCTTTTTGAGACAGAGTCTCACTCTGTCGCCCAAGTTGGAGTGCAGTGGCGCAATCATGGGTCACTGCAGCCTCAGTCTCCCTGGCTCAAGTGATCCTCCTGCCATAGCCTCTCAAGTAGCTGAGACTACAGGCACGCGCCACCACACCTGGCTGATTTTTGTTTTTGTAGAGATGGGGGCCTCACTATGTTGCCCAGGCTGTTCTCAAACGCCTGAGCTCAAGAGATCCTTCCATCTCGGCCTCCCAAAGTGTTGGGATTACAGGTGTGAGCCACCACGCCCAGCATGACTGTGCCTTCTAAGTAAAAACTGGCCAGGCGAGGTGCCTCACACCTGTAATCCCAGCACTTTAGGAGGCAAAGGTGGGAGGATCTCTTGAGCTCAGGAGGTCAAGGCTATAGAGAGCCATGTTAACACCACTGCACTCCAGCCTGGGTGACAGAGTGATACTCTATCTCAAAAAAATAAAAGAGAAAAGGAAAGGATAAGAAAAGGGGCACTTACTGGGACTCTTAGTTTTCTGCTCACACTCCCCAAGCAGGCTGGGCTGGGACCTGCATCCTGAGTTCCCAGCCCGTGTTTTCTGTCCAGATCTGACTTCTCAAAGGAAGTGGTAGAGACATCTGGGCTCTGTGTTCATTTCCACCCATGCTGCCACATGGGAGTGAAATCTTGAGAGCATCACGTTATCTCTCTGAGTCTCAGTTTACTTATCTGCAAACATGGTTATTGATATCCATGCCCTGGCTCCCTGGCAGGCTTCTTTACACTTTCTAAAGTGTAGACCATCCACAGTAATTCACTCTTTCAACAAATGTGTATTGCACAATTACTATGTCATACATCTTGTTAAAATGTCAGTCTCCACGGTAACCCTTTGAGGTAGATATTATTCATCTTCATTTTACAGAGGAGGCACTGAGACTCAGGAAGTTCACATGACTTACCAGCTGTGCCTGGGGTAAGTTGCAGAGACTAGTTTTTGTTTTGTTTTGTTTGTTTGAGACAGAGTCTCACGCAGCTGCCCAGGCTGGAGTGCAGTGGCGCAATCTCGGTTCACAGCAACCACTGTCTCCTGGGTTCAAGCAATTCTCCCATCTCAGCCTCCTGAGTAGCTAAGATTACAGGCACCCACCATCATACCCAGCTAATTTTTGTATTTTAGTAGAGATGGGGTTTCACCATGTTGGCCACTGGTCTTAAACTCCTGACCTCAGGTGATCTGCCCACCTCGGCCTCCCAAAGTGCTAGGATTACAGGCATGAGCCATGGCGCCAGCTTTTTTTTTTTTTTTTTTCTTCTAAGAAATGGAGTCTTGGCCAGGCGCAGTGGCACATGCCTGTAATCCCAGCACTTTGGAAGGCCAAGGTGGGTGGATCACCTGAGGTCAGGAGTTTGAGACCAGCCTGGCTAACATGTGAAACCCCGTCTCTACTGAAAATGCAAAAATTAGTAGGGCATGGTGGCGTGCACCTGTAATCCCAGCTACTCAGGAGGCTGAGGCAGGAGAATTGCTTGAACCTGGGAGGCAGAGGTTGCAGTGAGCTGAGATGGCGCCACTGTACTCCACCCTTAGTGACAGAGTGAGACCCTGTCTCAAAAAAAATAAAAGAAAGAAATGAAGTCTTGCTCTGTTGCCCAGACTGTAGTACAGTGGCACAATCATAGCTCACTGTAGCCTTGAACTCCTGGGCTCAAGCAGTCCTCCCACCTCAGCCTCCCAAGTGGCTGGGACCACAGGCACGATGTGCCACTATGCCTGGTTCATTTTTTTTTTTTTTTTTTGTAGAGATAGGATTTCACTATCTCTAGATAGTGATATCCTAGATATCTAGATATCGCTAGATAGCCTGTTGCTCAGGCTGGTCTGAACTCCTGGACTCAAACGATCCTCCCTCCTTGGTCTCCCAACAGAGGCTGGATTTGTGCCACCTGCATCTATTCTACTCCCATCCACTCCAGTGTCTGGGTCCCCTGCTGATGACAATTAGCCAGGGTTTGACCACGCCCTCCATGTAGGTCCCCTCCCCAGGCCCTGGTCCCCCTCAGCATCTGCATCTGAAATAGATAAGGAGTGGCTAGTTCCTGAGATGATATAAAGGTCTCTGTTGCACCTGATCTTCAGATAACACTTTGAAATGAGTCCAGGGTCTCACTCTCTTCTTTTTTTTTTTTTTTTTTTTTTTTTTTGTTAAACAAAAGACTGGGGAGATGGGTGGCAAGTCTAATCTATTCGAATCTTTACAGGCACTTTTCTTTTTACAAGTTGGAAACTTGAGGGATCCTTGAGGAAAGCCCAGGGCATGAATTTCAGTTCCGGAGTCCCCGACTCAGTGGCCCACCTCAGGGATCCGTCAGTCCTTCGTGCCAAGGTCAGGCTCAACTCCAGCCTGCGGTGCCGCTCAGCCGCACTCCTCGAAGATGTCTGGGTAGTGCCGGAAGAGCACAGGCGGGTCCCGGTCACCTCGGACGGGGGCCCGAGGCACAGCCCGGATCCCAGGCCTCCGGCCCCGCCGCCCCCCGGAGCAGGAGCGGTGGATCCACTGGTGCGCTTCCACTGCGAACTTCCTCTTGAAGCGCATGCCACACTCGGGGCAGGGGAAAGGCCGCTCCCCCGAGTGCATGCGCCTGTGGCTGACCAGCAGTGAGGGGTAGGTGAAGCGGCGGCCGCAGTCCGTGCACACGTGGCGCCGCTGGCCGGCCTGAGCATCCATGCTGGGTATGGGTGCCGGGGGCTGTGCTCCTGTGGTCGGGTCCCAGGCAGCATTTTTGGGTGGCTGTGCCCGTGCCGGGGCCACGCTAATAGCTGGGTCAGGGTTGCGTTCCACCAGCACTTCAGGACTCTCCTTCACAGGAGCCTTTCTAGGCCCTTTGGCTCTTGGGACTTCCTCCGGTTCCTCTTCCTTCCTGTTTGGGACATCTCCTGGGAAACCGGAATTAAGTTACACTTACAAACACTTTTGCACAGACTGTCTCAGGTTATAGAATGCTTTTCACTTAAGGCAGTGAGGGAAGTTCTGTCCAGTGATTAACACACAGGCTTTAGAACAAGGTAAACAGGATTCAGATCTCCTAAAAGTGCCTTATCTGAGCCTTGGTTCCTTATGCATCAAATGGGAATAATAATGGCTTTTGACTTCACAGCGTTACTGGTTTAGCTGAGTAGATGCATGTTAAGCACTTAGGAAGTGCTCAGGAAGCAGGGGCTATTATTTATTTATTTATTTATTTATTTATTTATTTATTTATTTATTTTTGAGACGGAGTCTCACTCTGTCACCCAGGCTGGAGTGCCTGGTTGGACTGGGCTCCCAGTCCTCACAGGACCGCTGTCCCATGTTCTGAAAACTTTGTACCAGGTCTGCCTTCTTTACTCCTCTAGTACCCAACACAGTTGAATTTCTTTAGGGATGCTGGAAGTGGGGGCCTGAAAAGAAACTCTGCTAGACAGGAAGCCCTGGAAAACCAAGTGGGGGGACCCGGGACTATCCCTCACCTCTCCGAGCTCCTCCCAGTCTTTCCCCCTTCTCAGGATCCTGGGCGGCGGGGCTCCAAGCCTCACTCTCCTGTTCCATCCAAGAGATGAGGGCTGGTTTGGGGCCTGGGAATCCTGGGAGAGAACAGGGATCACAGCGCGGGCCTGAGAGGCCATCGTGGGAAGATGGCATTCCCCTCCAGGCTGAGGGCACCCCCTCGGAGCTTATACTCAACCTGGAAGGGGCTGCAGTGCTGCTGCCTGAATGAAATGGATGCGGGTGAAAACACTCCCGAGGGGGTACCTGAAGCCCTGGGAACGGGAGGTGGCTGCTGGTGTTGGTGCAAGAGTGCGGGATTAGGGCTCACAGTCCTCTCGGCCCTTCTACATCATCTCCCCTGTGAACCCGGTGAAGGAGGAGGGGGCTCGGACCCGGGGCTCTCACCGAGCGCGCCCAGGTGGCCGTAGGTCTCCTGCATCACGTCCCGGTACAGAGCCCTCTGCGCGGGCCGCAGACAGCCCCACTCCTCCGGGGAGAAGTACACGGCCACGTCCGCGAAGCTCACAGTCCCGGGCTTCCTGCAACCAGGCCGGGTCTCCCCGGGCCTCGGCGCCAGGAGCGGGGCTGGGGGCGGCGCCATGGGGCCTCGCAGCCCCGATCGGCGGCCGCCAGGTCCCTGGAGCCGCCGCCTCCCCGCTCCCGGCCTCAGCTGTCGTTGTCCACAGGAAGGGCGGCCCCGCCCAGCCGTGGCGTCCGAACGCAGCCGAGGCAACCGAAGTAGCAGGGACTGGCTGCTAGGGATTCGAGGATTCTGATAGGGACAAATATAATTCCTCAGTGTTTATTCACTTCATGGCCGCTTGGACATAGACACCCGGGTTAAGGGACCCGGAAGGTGCCTTCTGAAAATATGGCGACCACCCTTCAATTGTCACAGGCTGCTCTTAAGGGCGCCATTATTTGACCATATCAAATATGGAGCCTTTCTGACTTCTCTGGCCTCATCGTCCCACTTGCCCTTAAATAAAGCCGCTTCGGCTGCTTTTTCTAGTGGGGGAGGCGGGGTGTCTGGGAAGTAGAGGAGAGGCTTCTTGCCTTCAAGAAAGATGTAAGGGCCCGAAGCTTCACTTACCCCTCTGTACCCGCAATACGCAACGGCCGATGATTGGCGACGATCCCGGAAGAAGCTGCGCGGTGATTGGCCTGGGACTGGCGGGGCATTTGAAGGGACCCCGCGGTCCTGAAGCCTCTGTTGACAGACTGGAGCGCAGCGGAGACCTCGGCATCTGCGGTGCTCGGGATTGTGTCCCCTACGGTCTCTTACCGTGCCTCCCGATGGCGGGAGCTGGAATTTGGTCCCCAGACCCCTTGGGAAGACGCGCACACCCTGGCAAACCATGTGTACACCCGCGGTAGAAGCAGGTGCGTGTTTTACAGTAGCTTAGCTGCGGAGTCCACCCAGCCCCTGGCATCCGCAGCTCGGCTCGCTCAGGCTCTAGACCGAAGCTGCAGGCGAAGGAACGTGCTTGGTGAGGATGGAATCGGAATGGGGAAGTTTTAAATTAAATAGTAATTGTTGCTAACATACATGAATTTATTTTTTGTTTGTTTTGAGACAGGGTCTTGCTCTGTGGCCCAGCAGTGCGATCCTAGCTCACTGCAGACTCGACCTCCCGGGCTGAAGCGATCTTCTCACCTCAGCCTCCCGAGTAGCTGGGACCACAGGCGCACACCCAATGCTTGGCTAATTTTTAAATTTTAAAACAGAGACAGGGTCTTGCTATGTTGCCCAGGCTGGTCTGGAACTCCTGGCCTCAAGCAATTCTCCTGCCTCGGCCTCCCAAAGTGCTGTGATTACAGGCATGCGCCACGGTTCCCAGCCATTTCTACTTTTTCTTTGAGAAGGAGTTTTACTCTTGTTGCCCAGGCTGGAGTGCAATGGCGCTATCTCGGCTTGCCCAGGCTGGAGTGCAATGGCGCTATCTAGGCTCACCGCAACCTTCGCCTCCCAGGTTCAAGCGATTCTCCTGCCTCAGCCTCCCAAGTAGCTGGGATTACAGGCATGAGCCACCATGCCCGTCTAATTTTGTATTTTTAGTAGAGACGGGGTTTCTCCATATTAAGTCAGGCTGGTCTCGAACTCCCGACCTCAGGTGATCCTCCCGCCTCAGCCTCCCAAAGTGCTGGGATTACAGGCGTGAGCCACGGCGCCCGGCCCTGCCATTTCTACTTATTTACGTTGTTCCAAATTATCAAAGATAGCATCAACTTTCAAATCCTAATTTTTTTTTTCCTGGGAAACCTTCCTCCTTTAGCCTTCAGTCTCCTCTCTAAACTGGGTTGGGCCTCAGTTCTTCTCATACCGGGTCTCCCCTTCCTGCTGTCCTGGGTTGTATCTTCCGCTTCCTAGATTTAAGGTCTTTATTTTTCAGCCAAGATGGGTCATCCTCATGGCTGGTGGCATTGGACTGTAAATACTAGTTGCCTTCATCCCCACATTTGGAATATACCTGCAATCATACAGGATGCAGAATACTGTTTGCTAAGCGTGGGGCTGGTTGCTGGAGATAACAAGCAAGGCCTACCAGGTCCCTGCTGTCATTCTGGCTCTGGATCTACTTGCTTGGCTCCCCTGCCAGCCCTAGTATATCGAGCCTTCCTTTTTATTCAATAGTGTTTTTTATTGCTGACTTTTCAGTCAAGATTTCTTTGTGTTTTCTGGCCTACCCTTGCTGTTTTTCACCTGAAATGCTTTTTGGCTTTTAGTGTGACTCCTGCTGATCTCATATGCATATGTTATTAATTGATTAATTATTAATTGTTAATAATTAAATATTATTAATATGCTTACATTATTACCTTGAGTTCTGGAACTGCCTCACTGCACTCCATGTGGTGAATACTGTAGAAATTATATAAGGAAAAATATATCCTTAGAAATGAGTATTTTTTAAATTTTGAAAATATTTAATTTAGGCCCAGCCCAGTTGCTCACACCTGTAATCTCAGCACTTTGGGAGGCTGAGGTGGGCAGATTGCTTTAGGCCAGAAGTTAGAAACCAGCATGGGCAACATGCTGAAACTCCATCTCTACTAAAAATACAAAAATTGGCCAGGTCTGGTGGTGCACACCTGTAGTCCCAGCTACTCAGGAGGCTGAGGCACAAGAATTCCTTGAACCCAGGAAGCAGAGGTTGCAGTGAGCAAGATCATGCCACTGCACTTCAACCTGCGTGACAGAGTGAGACCCCGTCTCAAAAAGAAAAAAAAATTGGGCTGGGCACAGTGGCTTGTGCCTGTAATCCCAACACTTTGGGAGGCCAAGGCGGGAGGATCACCTGAGGTCAGGAGTTCGAGACCAGCCTGGCCAACATGGCAAAACCCCGTCTGTACTAAAAATACAAAAATTAGCTGGGTGTGGAGTCGGACGCCTGTAGTCCCAGCTACTCAGGAGGCTGAGGCACAAGAATGGCTTGAACTCAGGAGGCAGAGGTTGCAGTGAGCCAAGATCACACCATTGCACTCCAGCCTGTGTGACAGAGCAAGACTCCATCTAAAAAAAAAAAAAACAAACAAAACAAAAAATATATTGATACACAAAATTTTTACATATTTATGGAGTTCATGTGATATTTTGCTTTTCTTCATACATAGAATGTACAATAATCAAGTCAGGATATTTAAGGTATCAATCACTTTGAGTATTTAACATTTCTATGTGTTGGGAAAATTTCAAGTCCTCTCTTCTAGCTATGGAAATTTACAGTACTTTGTTAACTACAGTCACCCTACTCTGCTATTGAACATTACAAGTTATCCCTTCTTCCTAAGTGTATGTTTGTACCCATTACCCAACTTCTCTTCATCCACCTCTCCCACCCACGTACACCCTTCCAATCTCTGGTATCATTCTACTCTCTACCTCCATGAGATCAACTTTTCTAGCTCCCACATGTAAGTGAGGACATGTGATATTTGCCTTTCTGTGTCTGGCTTATTCACTTAACATAATGACCTCCAGTTCCATCCATGCTGTAAACATGATTTCATTTTTTATGGCTTAAGTCCACTGTGTATATATATCATATTTTCTTTATTCATTTGTCCCCTGATCAACACTTAGGTTGATTCCATATCTTTGCTATTGTAAACACGGCTCTACAGTAAACACGGAGATGCAGGTTATCTTTTTTATATACTGATTTCTTTTCCTTTGGATAAATTCCAGGTAGTGGGATTGCTGGATCACATGGTAGTTCTTTTTTTTTTTTTTTGAGACGGAGTTTTGCTTTTGTTGTCTAGGTTGGAGTGCAATGCCCTGGTCTCGGCTCATTGCAGCCTCTGCCTCCCAGGTTCAAGTGATTTTCCTGCCTCAGCCTCACAAGTAGCTGGGATTACAGGCACCCTCCATCACACCCAGCTAAATTTTGTATTTTTAGTAGAGAAGGGGTTTTGCCATGTTGGCTAGGCTATTGTGAACTTCTGACCTCTGGTGATCGACCAGCCTTGGCCTCCCAAAGTGCTGGGATTACAGGTGTGAGTCACCATGCCCAGCCCACATGGTAGTTCTGTTTTTGTTTTTTTCAGACATCTCCATATTGTTTTCAGTAGTGGCTGTACTAACTTACGTTCCCACCAACAGTGTGTAGGAGTTCCCTTCTCTTTTTTTTTCTTTTTTTTTTTGGAGAAGGAGTTTCACTCTTGTTGCCCAGGCTGGAGTGCAATGGCACAATCTTGGCTCACCACAACTTCTGCCACCAGGGTTCAAGCGATTCTCCTGCCTCAGCCTCCCAAGTAGCTGGGATTACAGGCGCGTGCCACCACTCCTGACTAATTTTGCATTTTTAGTAGAGATGAGGTTTCTCCATGTTGGTCAGGCTGATCTTGAACTCCCGACCTCAGGTGATCCACCCACCTCAGCCTCCCAAAATGCTGGGATTACAGGCGTGAGCCACTGCGCCCAGTCAAGAGTTGCCTTCTCTTAGCATCCTTGCCAATACCTGTCATGTTTTGTCTTCTTAATAACAGCCATTCTAACTAAGGTACGATAATATCTCATTGTGTGCTTTTTTGTTTTTGAGTCAGTCTCGCTCTGCAGCCTAGGCTGGAGTGCAGTGGCGCAACCTCAGCTCACTGCAACCTCCCCCTCCTGGGTTCAACCGATTCTCCTGCCTCAGCCTCCTGAGTAGCTGGGATTACATACGTGCACCACCATGCCCAGCTAATTTTTTTGTTTGTTTGAGATGGAGTCTCGCTCTGTTGCCCAGGCTGGAGTGCAGTGGCGCGATCTTGGCTCACTGCAAGCTCCGCTTCCCGGGCTAACGCCATTCTCCCGCCTCAGCCTCTGGAGTAGCTGGCACTACAGGTGCCCGCCACCACGCCGGCTAATTTTTTGTATTTTTAGAAGAGATGGGGTTTCATTGTGTTAGCCAGGATGATCTCGATCTCCTGACCTCATGATCCACCCACCTCGGCCTCCCAAAGTGCTGGGATTACAGGCGTGAGCCACCGCGCCCAGCCACCCAGCTAATTTTTGTATTTTTAGTAGAGATGGAGTTTCACCATGTTGGGAAGGCTGATCTCAAACTCCTGACCTCAGGTGATCCGCCCACCTCGGCCTCCTAAGCTGCTGGGATTATAGGCGTGAGCCACCAGGCCGGCTTCATTGTAGTTCTGATTTGCATTTCCCTGATGATTAGTGGTGTTGAGCATTTTTTCATGTACCTGTTGACCATCTGCATGTTTTATTTTGATTCTCCTTCTATTATGATTATTATTATTAATTATCATTATTATTGAGACAGGTTCTCACTCTGTCACACAGGCTGGAGTGCAGTGGTATGATCACAGCTCACTGCAGCCTCAACCTCCCTGGGTTCAGGTGATCCTCCCACCTCAGCCTTCAAGTCGTTGGAACTAGAAGTGTGCAACACCATGCCTGGCTAATTTTCGTTTTTGTAGAGATGGGGTCTCTCCATGATACCCAGGCTGGTCTGGAACTCCTGGGCTCAAGTGATCCTCCCACCTCAGCCTCCCAAAGTGCTAGGATTACAGGTGTGGACCACCATGCCCAGCCTATTATTGTCATTTTGAAACAGAGTCTCACTCTGTCACCCAGGTTGGGGTGCAGTGGCAAGATCAAAGCTCACTGCAGCCTGGAACTCTTGGGCTCAAGTGATCTATGCTCCCACTTCCACCTCCTGAGTAGCTAAGACTACAGGTGAGTGGCTATTTGGATTCTCCTTTTAAACAGAGTAGCAACTTGAACCAAAAATACTTTTGTTTCTTCAGATCCTATGTTGTAAATCACTTCTCTTTGAACTAAGTATGCAGAAGACTTAAGAAGATGAAGCTGAACAATAAAAATATTAACTAAACAGATTGAAAGAAACTTTTTTTTTTTTTTTTTTAGATGGAGTCTCGCTCTGTCGCCAGGCTGGAGTGCAGTAGTGGGATCTTGGCTCACTGCAACCTCCAACTCCCTGGTTCAAGCGATTCTCTTGCCTCAGCCTCCTGAGTAGCTGGGATTACAGGCACGCATCACCACACCCAGTTTTTGTATTTTTAGCAGAGACAGGGTTTCACCATGTTGGCCAGGATGCTCTTGATCTCCTGACCTCGTGATCCGCCTGCCTTGGCCTCCCAAAGTGCTGGAATTACAGACATGAGCCACTGCACACTGTACCCGGCCTGTGGTTTTTTTTTTTTTTTAAGACAGAGTCTCACTCTGTGGCCAAGGCTGGAGTGCAGTGGTACAATCTCGGCTCACTGCAACCTCTGCCTCCCGAGTTCAAGCAATTCTCGTGCCTCAGCCTCCCAAGTAGCTGAAAACAGCACAACCTGCTAATTTTTGTATTTTTAGTAGAGATGGGGTTTTGCCATGTTGGCCAGGCTGGTCTCAAACTCCTGGCTTCAAGTGATCCACCGTCCTCGGCCTCCCAAAGTGCTGGGATTACAGGTATGAGCCATAGCGCCAGGCCTGAAACAAACTTTCAAGTAAGACTAAAACTGTTCCGTGTAGCTGATGAGTTGTTTTTCCTGCCACTCATTATAAAAATACAAAAATTGGCCGGGCACAGTGGCTAACACCTGTAATCCTACCACTTTGGGAGGCTCAGATAGACAGATCACTTGAGCCCATGAGTTCAAGACCAGCCTGGGCAAAACCCCATCTGTACAAAAAATACAAAAATTAGCTGGGCATAGTGGCATATGCCTGTAGTCCCAGTTACTCAAGAGGCTGAGATGAGAACGAGAAACACCTGAGCCCAGGAGGTCGAGGCTGCAGTGAGCCGTGACTGTGCCACTGCATTCCAGCCTAGGCTATAGTGAGACCCTGTCTCAAGAAATAACAAGAACAACAAAATGCTCTTGCTTTCAAATTATTTTATTGCCCATCAAATTGTAAATGTTTCTTCAAGACTCTTGATCAGATAATTATGAGAAGTCACACAACATACAGGAGATGACTGGGCTTCAATCGACTTTACTTGTCAATAACAGAGTACAACTGAACTTTAAGTGGGAGCTGAATTTCTTTCTTTCTTTTTTGAAACAGAGTTCCACTCTTGTTGCCCAGGCTGGAGTGCAATGGCACGATCTTGGCTCACTGCAACCTCCGCCTCCTGGGGTCAAACGATTCTCCTGCCTCAGCCTCCCGAGTAGCTGTGATTACAGGCATGTGCCACCATGCCTGGCTAATTTTGTATTTCTTTTTTTTTAGTAGAGACAGGGTTTCTCCATGTTCGTCAGGCTGGTCTCAAACTCCTGACCTCAGGTGATCTGCCCACCTTGGCCTACCAAAGTGCTGGGATTACAGGTGTGAGCCACTGCGCCTGGCTCTTTTTTTTTTTTAATAGTGTCTTGCTGTTACTCAGACTGAAGTGGCGCCATCATAGCTCACTATAGCCTCAAACTCCTGGGCTCAAGCTATCCTCCTTCTTCACCCTCCCCCACCATGCTCGGCTAATTTTTAAAATTTTTAGTAGAAATGAGGTCTTGCTGTTTTCCAGGCTCGTCTCAAACTCCCAATCTCATGCAATCCTCCTGCCTCAGCCTCCCAAAGTGCTGGGATTACAGGTGTGAGCCACTGTACCCAGCTGAGAGCTTAAGTTTCTTGCATAAAACTCAGCTGTATGCTGAAGTGTTTAGAAGTGAAATGTAATGATGTCTGCAACTTACTTTGAAATACATTAATAAAATGGATAAATGAATGGATAGAGGGATGGATAGGCAGATTGACATGTGTAAAACAAATAGAGAAAAATGTTATTTGTAGAATCTAGGTGATGCTAAAGGCCACACAGCCAGTGGGGACTGAGCCAAGCTAGGAATCCAGGTCCACCAATTCAGGAGAGGCTATGTGGTGAAGTAAAGATAACACCCCGTTCCCAGTTTTTGTATCTGTTTTTGTTTTGAGACAGAGTCCTGCTTTGTAGCCCAGGCTGGAGTGCAATGGAGCCATCTCAGCTTACTGCAACCTCTGTCTCCCAGGCTCAAGTGATCCTCTTGCCTTAGCCTCCTGAGTAGCTGGGACTACAGGCATGTGCCACCACGCCTGGCTAATTTTTTGGTAGAGATGGGGTTTCACTATATTGCCCAGCTGGTCTCAAACTCCTGACCTCAAGTGATTAACCAGCCTCAGCCTCCCACAGTGCTGGGATCACAGGTGTGAGCCACCGTGCCCGGCACCAGTTCCCATTAATTATCTTGGAACCCAAGGATTCAAAGAAGCAGTCTTTTCAAAGAGATATTTGAGTCACTGACCACCAGTCCTGGAATGCAGAAATGCTTAGTCCCACCTACCTCTTTTGTTCATTCCTTCAAAAGTTTCCTCTTCAAAAGTAGGGCTAGCAGATCTAAATGGGCCAGAAAGAACTCTCTTAACTGTTGTTTTTTGTTTTGTTTTGTTTTTTGAGACTGGAGTCTCACTTTGTCGCCCAGGCTGGAGTGCAGTGGCGCGATCTCAGCTCACTGCAAGCTCCGCCTCCCGGGTTCATGCCATTCTCCTGCCTCAGCCTCCCCAGTAGCTGGGACTACAGACGCCCGCCACCATGCCCGGATAATTTTTTGTATTTTTAGTAGAGATGGGGTTTCACTGTGTGAGCCAGGATGGTCTTGATCTCCTGACCTCGTGATCCACCCACCTCAGCCTCCCAAAGTGCTGGGATTACAGGCGTGAGCCACCACACCAGGCCTTTTTTTTTTTTTTTTTTTGAGATAGAGTCTTGCTCTGTTGCCCAGGCTGGAGTGCAGTGGCGCTATGTTGGCTCACTGCAACCTCCACCTCCTGGGTTCAAGCCATTCTTCTGCCTCAGCCTCCCAAGAAGCTGGGATTACAGGTGCACGCCACCAGGCCTGGCTAATTTTTTTTTTTTTTTTTTGAGACGGAGTCTCGCTCTGTCACCCAGGCTGGAGTGCAGTGGCGCAGTCTCGGCTCACTGCAAGCTCCGCCTCCCGGGTTCACGCCATTCTCCTGCCTCAGCCTCCCAAGTAGCTGGGACTACAGGCACCTGCCACCACTCCTGGCTAATTTTTTTGTATTTTTAGTACAGACGGGGTTTCACCATGTTAGCCAGGATGGTCTCGATCTTCTGACCTCGTGATCTGCCCGCCTCGGCTTCCCAAAGTGCTGGGATTACAGGTGTGAGCCAACGTGCCTGGCCGTTTTTTTTTTTTTTTTTGGTATTTTTAGTAGAGATGGGGTTTCACCATATTGGCCAGGCTGGTCTTGAACTCTTGACCTTAAGTGATCCACCCTCCTCAGCCTCCCAAACTGCTAGGATTACAGGCGTGAGCCACCGCGCCTGGCCTTCATAACTGTTGACATACAAGCATTACAGTAAAAATTAGACTGGAAAGACTATGCCTTGATTTCAACTTTAATCACAATTAATTTATTCTTTCTTTAAAAAAAAAATGTAATCCCAGAACTTTGGGAGGCCAAGTCGGGTGGATCACCTGAGGTCAGGAATTGGAGACCAGCCTGGCCAACATGGTGAAACCTGTCTCTAGTAAAAATGCAATTAGCCAGGCATGGTCGTGGGTGCCTGTAATCCCAGCTACTCAAGAGGCTGGGGCAGGAGAATCGCTTGAACCTAGGAGGCGGAGGTTGCAGTGAGCCAAGATCATGCCATTGCACTCTAGCCTGGGCAACAAGAGCGAAACTCCATCTCAAAAAAAAAAAGAGGCTGGGTGCAGTGGCTCACGCCTGTAATCCCAGCACTTTGGGAGGCCGAGGCGGGAGGATCACGAAGTCAGGAGATCGAGACCATCCTGGCTAACACGGTGAAACCCCCGTCTCTACTAAAAATACAAAATATTAGTTGGGCGTGGTGGCGGGTGCTTGTAATTCCAGCTACTCGGGAGACTGAAGCAGGAGAATGGTGTGAACCCAGGAGGTGGAGCTTGCAGTGAGCGTAGCTTGGGCCACTGCACTCCAGCCCAGGCAATAGAGACAGACTCTGTCTCAAAAAAAAAAAAAAAAAAAAGAATCCTCCGGCATTATATCTCCAGCTACTGTGGCCCAAGAATATATCTTTATCAAAAAATACAAAATCCAGGGAACATGCAAATATCTGAAGAAGAAAAAAACACTGCAATCACTAATGCATACAGTGAAGAGTTGGCCCAGTTCCAGAGTCCGCTATGTTTGATAGTTTGTGCACTTGCAGAATGAGAGTGGGGGGGGAGTTCCCCACCTGAGGCCACTGTCCTCTCTATGGCCACCTCTAGGTCTTCAAGACCAAGGAACACCTACACTCCAGGTGTCTCCTTGCCAGATGTTTCACCTGCATTGGTAAAAGGCAGAATCCTCGGCAGGGGTCGGTGGCTCACGCTTGTAATCCCAGCACTTTGAGACGCCGAGGCGGGTGGATCACGAGGTCAGGAATTCAAGACCAGCCTGGCCAAGATGGTGGAACCCCGTCTCTACTAACAGCACAAAAATTAGCTGGGCCTGGTGGCGCATGCCTGTAATCCCAGCTAATGGGAAGGCTGAGGCAGAGAATGGCTTGAACCCAGGAGGCAGAGGTTGCAGTGAGCCGAGATCACGCCACTGCACTCCAGCCTGGGCGACAGAGCATGACTCCATCTCAAAAAAAAGAAAAGAATCCTGGGATGAGCTCCGCCCCCCCCACCAGCCGAGGGACAGGCCTGAGGTATCCCCTCTATTCTGGGGGGTCCAGAGTGGGTGCAGGCTCCTTTAATAGGCACTGGAATGTAGGGGACCCCATCTCAGAGGAGTAGGAGAGATACAGGCCAAAAAGCAGAGAGCTACAAGGGAGAGAACAATCATGAAGGAAAAGCCAGTTAGGTGAATGGTTTTCAGTGAAGGATGGGACGTGAACACGGGGCCCTGTGTGCTGGAGCTTCAGAAAATGGGGTCAACCCCCAGGCACCTTTTCAGATTCCTGCCTCCTCCCCACAGCCCTCTGTGCCCCTACCTCTGCTTTTTACCTAAGGCAGAACTTTGTTTTCCTCAAACGCCCACTTCCTTTCCTTATCCCCCAAATACACAAACCTTGCCTCTTCCTCTCCAGGGAAACGCTGACCAGTTTGTGTGAACGCCATCACCCACACTCTTGAAATATATCTGGAAAGTGCCGGAAGTGAACTGGGGGATCCTTGCCTCCCAAAACAGGGATGGGCTCTGAACGCCCCACCACGGCCTGCTGCCACGCGCGCCTCTCGCTGCAGGAGCGGTGGATCCACCGATGGGCTTCCAGGGCGGTCTTGCGCTTGAAGCCTTTCCCACACTCCACGCAGGGGAAGGGCCGGCTGTCGGAGTGAATGCGCCGGTGACTGAGGAGGAGGGAAGAATAGGTGAAGCGGCGGCCGCAGTCAGGACAGGGGTAGGGCTTCTCGCCGGTGTGTATGCGCCTGTGGATGGCCAGCAGGGAGGTGTAGGCGAAACGGAGGCTGCAATCGGGGCAGCTGTAGGGCTTCTCGCCCGTGTGCTTGCGCTGGTGGATGGCCAGCAGGTAGGGGTAAGTGAAGCGACTCTTGCAGTCTGAGCACGCGTAAGGCTTCTCCCCGGTGTGAGCCCGCCTGTGGATAGCCAGGGAACCCCTCTGGCGGAAGCGGCGCCCGCAGTCGGGGCAGGGGTAGGGCTTCTCGCCGGTGTGGATGAACTGATGCTGGAGCAGGTACCTGCGCTGGGAGAAACGCGCCTGACACTGGCCGCAGGAGAAGGGCCGCTCCCCGGAGTGGACCCGCTGGTGGCTGGCCAGGAGGGAAGGGTAGCTGAAGTTGCGGCCACAGTCTGGGCAAGAGTGGGGCAGTCTTCGGGTCAGAGTGTCCTTGAGCCAGGGATTCATGGGGCTCTGCCTAGGGTTGCAGAACTCTGGGCAGGCGACGCTGGGCCACCACTCCTTGACAGCCACTTCATGCGCCACCTCTTTTTGTTTTGGACACTTCTTCAGCCTTTCCTTCTCCTCATTCCCATCCCTGGATCCTGAAACAGGGAAGATGATAAAATCAGAAACTCATCCCTGGATCCTGAGACAGGAAAGATGATAAAGTCAAAACCAGCATATTCCGGGACCATGTCCTGCCTTGGAAGGCAGCAGGAATGGTTCAGAATATGGCGCCCAGGGAGCACGGCTTAATGATAGGGGCCTCATGAAGCCCTGAAAGCCAGCCTGGAGTAAAAGCAAATGCCATGGTCTGCAGGTTAACACAAGAAGGCCCTGAGCACTGGAGATAATGAAAGAGGAGTCGGGCCGGGTGCCATGGCTCACACCTGTTATCCAAGCACTTCAGGAGGCTGAGGTGGGAGGATCGCTTGAGGCCAGAAATTCAAGGGACAGTGAGCTGTGATCGGGCCACTGCACTCCAGCCTGGGCAACTCTCTAATAAAAAAAAAAAAAAATGCTGGGCGTGGTGGCCCATGCCTGTAATCCCAGCACCACTCTGGGAGGCTGGGGTGGGCAGATCACCTGAGGTCAGGAGTTCGAGACCTGCCTGGCCAACATGGGGAAACCTTGTCTGTACTAAATTACAAAAATTAGCCAGGCGAGGTGGTGGGCGCCTGTAATCCCAGCTACTTGGGAGGCTGAGGCAGGAGAATCCCTGGAACTGGGGAGGTGGAGGTTGCAGTGAGCCAACCTCGTGCCACTGCACTCCAGCATGGGCGACACAGCAAGACTCAGTCTCAAAAAAATAAAAAAAGAAAAAGGAGTGAACAATATTGAACGCTTAACTCTGTGTCAGGCTTTGAGGACACAGTGATGGTCCCAGTCCTCATGGCACTTACCATCCTGAACCTGTTTATGATCCCTTTACAAAACAGCCATTCAATGACCTTCTTTGGTACCAGCTCAAATTCTTTTGGCACCTTTCCTCTCTGCTCTTACCATCACCAAAAAGTCTACACTTGCTGGTGGGGCACAGTGACTTACGCCTGTAATCCCAGCACTTTGGGAGGCAGAGGCAGGTGGATCACGAGATCAGGAGTTCAAGACCAGCCTGGCCAAGATGGTGAAAGCCCGTCTCTACTAAAAATACAAAAATTAGCTGGGCATGATGGCGGGTACCTGTAATCCCAGCTACTCAGGAGGCTGAGGCAGGAGAATTGCTTGAGCCTGGGAGGCGGAGGTTGCAGTGAGCCTAGACCATGCCACTGTACTCCAGCCTGGGCAACAGAGCGAGACTGTCTCAAAAAATAAGTCTACACTTGGACTGCCTCACTAGGTTCCACGGGAAGACCTTCTGGGAACAAGCATTTATTCTGGTATCAGGGCTGCAGGAAAAACATTTCTCTTCATTTAAAAATCTAATTAATGGTGTTATTTACTACACGTGGTTCACATCATTAATATCCAAGAGGAACATCTGTCTTCATTTTATCCCACAACAAAAATCAAATTACAGGTTTCCCCTTTCCCTTGACCTCCTAGGAAGCTCAAGCTCTATTTTGCATTAAACTGAGGTTTTCCAGTATGGTTAATCGGTTCCATAGATCCCAATTTCGCTGTTCCATCGGGCCATTTTGCAGTGAGATGAGGACGTTTCTGGGGTAGGGTGCAGGGAGACAGGATGGGACTTTGGAGGGGGCAGCCTGCGCTGAGGATGTGAGTGAGTTGGGGGCGGGGGTTGGGGCTTCTCCACGGCTACTTATCCAAATGAAGTACCTGCTTCCTGTCCTTGGCCCCTGCTGAAAGCTGCAGAGCTCTCACCGTCGGGATCCTGGGCCTCCGGGCTCCACGCCTCCACTTCTCCTTCCACCCACGAGATAAAAGCGGGTTTGGGAACTGAAAATCCTGCGAAGGAGAAACAATGGGCTCGGCTGAGCGCACGGGAGGGGAGAATGAGACTGCTCCCTCGGCGCCCCGCTTCCAGCCCACTAGCCTCTGGGGACACCGATCACCGCTTCCCACCGACGGACTGGGGGTCCCGGCCGGAGGGCCCGGCCTCACCCAGCGCGCCCAGGTGGCCGAAGGTCTCCCGCATCACGTCCCGGTACAGGGCCCTCTGCGCTGGCCGCAGGCATTCCCACTCCTCGGGAGAGAAGTACACGGCCACGTCCGCGAAGCTCACGGCGCCCGGCCTGCTTTCCCTCGTCCTCCGGGGCCCGGCCTCCCCGGGTACGTGGGCCGGGCGCGGCGCCAGGGGCGGCCCCATGGGAAACCCTTTCTGCCTGGCAAAGGGAGGCTTCCGGGGAAGGTGGAGATGCTGGCGCTTTCCTGTCTTTCCTCAGACAAGTCCGTAAGGGACTCCTGCCCTTAACCAAGATGGAACCTTCCTGGCGTCAACACCCCTCGCCTTTCCTCTCTGCCTTTACACACCACGAGGGAAACCAGCGGGAAGGGTGGCCCCGCAACACCACTAACCGATAGATGGCGTACGTTGATTGGACAGTGCCGGAAGGCCAGGAGAAGAAGGAAGGCTGTGATTGGGCTTTTTTTTGGAGTGGCCTGTTTGAAAGGCTGAGGGTGAAGGAGCGACAGATCTGAAAATAGCCGGAGCTGAGGGGCCTCAGGGTCTACCCTGACTCGCTTTTCCCGGACGGTCTCCTAGGAGAGAGGCTGTGGCCAGCTGACGCGACTTCCTTCTGCTACTGAGGTGAGAAGTCTTAGGGCAGATGCGGATGTCCAGGGCTTCGAGGTGAGTAAAGGTGAAGCGCAAAGCCTTAGGCGGCGTGCACTGAGTGGGTAAGGGACTGCAGATCCCAGCTTTGAGCTCTGAGTACTCCTGGCAGTGCCAGCCCGAGGGGCAGCGGGAACAGGATCCTACCCAGGATCTAATTTGACCTTTGCCCCGAGGTCACAGATGTCTTCCCTTATAGAGATGCAGAAGGCCAGGCGCAGAGCCCGGATTCAAAGTCAGCTCCTAGCCGGGCGCGATGGAGCGCGCCGGTGGTCCCAGCTCCTCGAGGGGCTGAGGCAGGAAGATCGCCTGAACTCGGGAGGTGGAGGCTGCTGTGAGTCGAGATCGCGCCCCCACACTCCAGGCTGGCGACAGAGCCAGGCGCCCATCTCTAAAAACAAACAAAAGTCATCTTCTCGCTTCCGGGTTCGGTTAAGGACTTAGGGTAGGGCCCTGCACAAAGTACTATTATAATAGATATGAATTTATAGTGTTGTAGTTTTTTTTTTTTTTTTTTTTTTTTGAGATGGAGTCTTGCTCTGTCGCCCAGGCTGGAGTGCAGTGGCGCGATCTCGGCTCACTGCAAGCTCCGCCTCCCGGGTTCACGCCATTCTCCTGCCTCAGCCTCCCGAGTAGCTGGGACTACAGGCGCCCGCCACCATGCCCGCCTAATTTTTTGTATTTTTAGTAGAGACAGGGCTTCACCGTGTTAGCCAGGATGGTCTCGATCTCCTGACCTCGTGATCCGCCCGCCTCGGCCTCCCAAAGTGCTGGGATTACAGGCGTGAGCCACCGTGCCCGGATGTGTTGTAGTAATGTTTAATACCATCTGAGTCTTGTCTCAATCAGAAAAC
The DNA here is from genome assembly GCF_000001405.40 of Homo sapiens. Taxonomy (NCBI): domain Eukaryota; kingdom Metazoa; phylum Chordata; class Mammalia; order Primates; family Hominidae; genus Homo; species Homo sapiens. The sequence goes on from NC_000016.10 coordinate 30,586,931, forward strand.
GTGCTCAAATTACAGCTGATATGTGAGTAATAAAACTGGGAAACGAATCAGATAATCTCTTAAGACCGTTTTTCAGCCCTTTCCAACCGAGTATTCATAGAAACAGAAGAGGAACGTTCTAGATGTATAACAAAAAGCTGCCCATCCCCACAGTGAAACCACTTTGAAGACATCACTTTAAAATTCATGTGAATTCGGCCGGGTGTGGAGGCTCACACCTGTAATCCCAGCACTTTGGGAGGCTGAGGTGTGTGGATCACTTAAAGTCAGGAGTTTGAGACCAGGCAACATGGTGAAACCCCATCTCTACTAAAACAGAAAAATTAGCCAGGTGTGGTAGTGCACCCCTGTAATTCCAGCTACTTGGGGGGCTGAGGCATGAGAATCACTTGAACCCGAGAGACGGAGCTTGCAGTGAGCCGCAGTCGCGCCACTGCACTCCATACTGGGTGACAGAGTGAGACTCCGTCTCAGAAAAGAAAAAAAAAAATGTGAATTCAGTTGGGTGTAGTGGCTCAGGCCTCAGGCCTGTAATCCCAGCACTTTGGGAGGTCAAGGTGGGAGGATCACGAGGCCAGGAGTTCGAGACCAGACTAAACAACATAGCAAGACCTCATCTCTAAAAAAATAAATAAATAAAAAACAAAAACTTGTGTGAATTTGCATTCTATTTTATAATATAACCAAATGATCTCGGCCTTCACACCATCTTCTTGGAAACCTCTGCACCATGAGAGCCTAGTGGAGGAAGCGAATGCGCAGGCTGAAGCGCAAAAGAAGAAAGATGAGGCAGAGGTCCAAGTAAACCACAAGCTTATGCACCCATGGAGGCTACAGGAGCAGAAACATGGAATCCAGAGGCTGGGGATGCTGGTACAGTTATTGGGCTGCATGCTACTGTCTAGAGCTTGTTTCAGTGCATCTAGAACTTCATCTCCATCTGGTCGCCAAGACCACCTCTGAGACTCACCTTGCTCATAACCAAAACTGCATGTTGGTCCTTTGCTCCGGACCTGTGATATTCTGGACTATTTCTGTGTTCACTGGTGGCCGAGTGTAACAACCATATAATAAATCACCTCTTCTGCTGTCTTAGCTGAATATATATAACCAAATTCAAAAGAATATATAGTCAAAAGCAAGTTTATCAAGTGTTATCCTCTTTTACACTACTGGTGGAGTGTGAATTGGTGCAGCCGCTTTTGAAAACTGGCAGTACCTACTAAAGCTGAATAGATGTCATACCCTATGACCCAGTGATTCCACTTGTAGGTGTATACCCAACAGATATGCATACATATGTTTACTCAAAGGCATTTACTCAAATGTTCTCCACACTTCTTATAATAGGTAAAAACTAGACCAGATGCGGTGGCTCATGCCTGTAATCCCGGCACTTCGGGAGGCCGAGGTCAGCGGATCACCTGAGGTCAGGAATTTGAAACTAGCCTGGCCAACATGGCAAAACCCCATCTAAAAACACAAAAATTATCTGGGCGAGGTGGCAGGCGCCTGTAGGCCCGGCTACTCGGGAGGCTGAGACAGGAGAATCACTTGAACCCAGGAGGTGGAGGTTGCAGTGAGCCAAGATCACACCACTGCACTCTAGCCTGGGTGACAGAGCAAGACTCCATCTCAAAAAAAAAAAAAAAAAAAAAAAGATTCCGTTTCTATAGTTTTTCTTTTTAAAAGACTCTGCATGTAGGCTAGGCTGGTGGCTGAGGCCTGTAATATCAGTACTTTGGGAGGCTGAGGCTGGATGATCACTTGAGCTTAAGAATTTGAGACCAGCCTGGGCAATATAGTGAGACACCATCTCTACAAAAGCAATTTTTTTTAATAAGCCAGGCATGGTGGTGTGCACTTGTGGTCCCAGCTACTCAGGAGGCTGAGATGGGAGAACTGCTTGAGCCCAGAGGTCAAGGGTGCAATAAGCCATTATCATCATGCCACTGCACTCCAGCCTGGGCAACAGAGCAAGACCCTATCTCTAAAATTAAAAAACATATGTATAAAAACAGACAAAATGTGGCCGGGCACGGTGGCTTATGCCTGTAATCCCAGAACTTTGGGAGGCCAAGGGGAGTGGATCATGAGGTCAGGGATTCAGGACCAGCCTGGCCAAGATGGTGAAACCCCATCTCTAGTAAAAATACAAAAAATTAGCGGGGTATGATGGCGGGCGCCTGTAATCCCAGCTACTCAGGCAGCTGAGGCAGAGAATTGCTTGAACCCAGGAGGTAGAGGTTGCAGTGAGCCAAGATCGCGCCACTGCACTCCAGCCTGAGCTAGACTCCATCTCAAAAACAAAACAAAACAAAACAACAACAACAAAAAAACAGCAAACTTAATCCATGCTATCAAAAATCAGAGCCAGGTACGATAATAGATGCTTCTAGGATGCTGATAATATTCTCTTTTTTTCTTTTTTTTTTTTAGATGGAATCTCCCTGTGTCACCCAGACTGGAGTGCAGCAGTGCAATCTCAGGTCACTGCAACCTCCACCTCCTGGGTTCAGGAGATTCTCGTGCCTCAGCCTCTGGAGTACCTGGGATTACAGGCAGGTGCCACCATGCCTGGCTAAGTTTTTTGTATTTTTGGTAGAGACGGGGTCTCACATGTTGCCCAGGCTGGTCTCGAACTCCTGGCCTCCTCTGATCCACTGGCCTTGGCCTCCCAAAATTCTGGGATTACAGGCATGAGAATTGCTTGAGCCTGGGAGGCAGAGGTTGCAGTGAGCCGAGATTGTGCCACTGCACTCCAGCCTGGGTAACAGAGTGAGACTCTGTCTCAAAAAAAAAAAAAGTTCACACTCCAGTGATTTGCATATCATAGTAAAAAGTAATCTCTTGGGTCTCATTTTTCATTGTGTTTAGCGCAGTACCATAAACCTTAAATAACACCATAGGACCCATACAAAGTGCCACTAGTGATGCTGGAAGTGCTCCCAAGAAGCAAAGAAAAGTCATGACATTTCAAGAAAAAGTTGAATTGCTTGGTATGTACCATAGATTGAGGTCTGCAGCTGCAGTTGCCCACCATTTCCAGATAAATTGATCCAGTATAAGAACCACTGTAGTGGCCTGTAGTCCCAGCTACTCGGGAGGCTGAGGCAGGAGAATGGCGTGAACCCGGGAGGCGGAGCTTGCAGTGAGCCGAGATGGCGCCACTGCACTCCAGCCTGGGCCACAGAGCGAGACTCTGTCTCAAAAAAAAAAAAAAAAAAAAAAAAAACCACTGTAGCTGGGCGCGGTGGCTCACGCCTGTAATCCCAGCACTTTGGGAGGCCGAGGCTGGTGGATCACCTGAGGTTTTCCAGTATGGTTCATCGGTTCCATAGATCCCCTGTAATTCCAGTTACTGGAGAGGGTGAGGCAGGGGAATCGCTTGAACTCAGGAGGCAGAGGCTGCGGTGAGCCGAGATGGCGCCATGGGACTGGGCAACAAAAGTGAAACTCCATCTAAGAAAAAAAAAAAAAGGCACAAAGGACATTTAGTAGTAAGGAAGAGAAGCAAGCACCAGGATTTACAACAGGAAGGGATAAGCTAACTCCACTGTTTTGTGCAGATGCAGTCAGGTTTATTATCAGTACGTCCCTTATCTATAAAGGTGCTTATCCTTGAGCCTTGAAGGGAAAAGAGAAATACTAGCTTGCAGTCTTCTGGGTGTACAACAAAAAAGGCCTGAACAACAATAATCTTTTTCTGGATGGGGTACATCTGTGCTTTGTCCCTGAAGTCAGGAAGTACCTGGCCGGTAAAGGCCTGCCTTTCTCCATTGGCCTTTACCATCTTATTTTATTTTTATTTATTTTGTTTGTTTACTTATTTATTTATTTTTGAGATGGAGTCTCACTCTGTCACTAGGCTGGAGTGCAGTGGTGCAATCTCAGCTCACTGCAACCTCCACCTCCCGGGTTCAAGCGATTCTCCTGCCTCAGCCTCCCGAGTACCTGGGATTAGAGACATGCACCACCAGGCCCAGCTAATTTTGTGCTTTTAGTAGAGACAGGGTTTCAGCATGTTGGCCACGATAGTCTCGATCTCTTGACCTCGTGATACACCCGCCTCAGCCTCCCAAAGTGCTGAGATTACAGGCGTGAGCCACCGCACCAGGCCTTTACTTATTTATTTATTTATTTATTTATTTATTTATTTATTTATTTGAGATGGAGTCTCACTCTGTTGCCCAGGCTGGAGTGCAGTGGCACAATCTCAGCTCACTGCAACCTCTGCCTCTGGGGGTTCAAGCAATTCTCCTGCCTCAGTCTCCCGAGTAGCTGGGACTCAAGCACACACCACCATGCCCAGCTAATTTTTGTGTTTTTATTCGAGACGAGGTTTCACCATATTGGCCAGGCTGGTCTCGAACTCCTGAGCTCGTGATACGCCCGCTTCGGCCTCCCAAAATGCTGGGATTACAGGTGTGAACCGCTGCACCCAGCCCACCATCTCATTTTATTAAAGGGAAATTAAAGCACAAGGAAATACAGACCATGACTGACAGGTTAGAGCCACTAGATTTCTGTCTGCAGCCACAGATCTTCCTTCCCAGGCATCCACTGCCTGCAGCTAGAGAGTCTAGTCTGTGTTCCTCACAACACCATTATCAGATGGGGTCCCTCAGATGGTGAGATGCACAAGCCACTGGCATGTCACTTAGACTCTGCCCAATTTGGACAAATTTTATCAAACTCTGGTTGTGTTTCATTTGCTGGTTCATTATAAGGATATTACAAAGGATATAGATGAAGAGATGTAGTGGGTGAGATATGGGGGAAAGGGAGCAGAGATTCCATGCCCTCCCTAGGTATGCATGCTACCCCTCTAGGAACCTCCACATGTTCACCTATCTGGAAGCTTTTATTTTTTTTTTTTGAGACGGAGTTTCGCTCTTGTTGCGAGGCTGGAGTGCAATGGCATAATCTCGGCTCACTGTAACCTCCACCTCCTGGGTTCAAGCAATTCTTCGGCCTCAGCCTCCCGTGTAGCTAGGATTACAGGCGCACGCCACCATGCCTAGCTAATTTTTGTACTTTTAGTATAGACAGGATTTCACCATGTTGGCCAGGCTGGTCTTGAACTCCTGACCTCAGGTGTGCCACCCTCCTTGGCCTCCCAAACTGCTAGGATTACAGGCGTGAGCCACCGTGCCCGGCCGGGACTGCCTTTTAAAGTTATTTTGATATTGGACAATGCCCCTGGCCACCCAGAACCCCATGAATTCAACACCTTTGGTGGTGAAGTGGCCTACTTACCCCCAAACACAACACTTCCAATTCAGCCTATAGATCAAGTTGTCATAAAGATCTTTAAGGCTCATTACACATGGTACTCTATGGAAAGGATGGTCAACCCTATGGAAGAGAACCCCATCATGAAAGTCTGGAAGGATTACACCACTGAAGACACCATCGTTGTTATAGAAAAAGCTGTGAAAGCCATCAAACCTGAAACAGATTCCTACAGGAGAAAACTGTATCCAATAGTGCGACTACTAGAGAAAACTATGCCCAGATACTAGGTGTTACTTCATAGGAAATTATGACAAGAGCCAATCAAGGAAATCACGAAAGAGACTGTGAATATGGCAAAAAAAAAAAAAAAAAAAAAAAAAAAAAAAATTTAGGGGGTGAAGGATTTCAAGACATGGATTTTGGAGAAACTGAAGAGCTAATAGACACCATACCAGAGGAATTAGAATACAACTTGGTAGAGATGAGTGCTTCTGAACCAGTGCCAGATGATAAGGAAGATGGAAAGGGGCAGTGCCAGAAAACAAATTGACATTAGACAATCTGGCAGGAGGGTTTCCGTCATTTAAGACTGCTTTTGACTTCTTTTATGACTTAGACCCTTCTAAGATATGGGCACTGAAACTAAAGCAAACAGTAGAAGAAGGATTGGTACTGTATAGAAATATGTCTAGAGAAATGAAAAAGCAAAAAAAGTCATTTTTTGATGTACTTATGATGTATTATGAAATTATGATGTATTTCCAGAAATTATGATGTATTTCCATAAAGTTGCACCAGTGTGCCTGCCTCTTCTGCTCCCCCTTCGCCCTTCTCCACCTCTTCTGCCTCTGCCACCCTTGAAACAGCAAGACCAACCCTTCCTCCTCTTCTTCCTCAGACTGCTCAACATGAAGATGATGATGATGAAGAGTTTTATGATGATCCACTTCCACTTAATGAATAGTAAATATATTTTCTCTTCCTTATGATTTTCTTAATAACATTTTCTTTTCTCTAGCTTACTTTATGATAAGAATACACTACATAAGCCAGGCGTGGTGGCATGCGCCTGTAGTCCCGGCTACTCAGGAGGCTGAGGCAGGAAGATCACTTGAGCTGAGGAGTTTCGGGCTGCAGTTGAGCTATGATCACGTCACTGCACTCCAACCTTCGTGACAGAGCAAGACCCATCTCTAAATTAAAAAAAGAAAAAAGGTGGGGGGAGAGAGTACAGTATATGATATATATGACATACAAAATATGTTTTTGTTTTTTTCTTTTTGAGACAGGGTCTGGCTCTGTCACCCAGGCTGGAGTGCAGTGGCTACCATCCTGGCAACCTCTGCCTCCTGAGCTCAAGCCATCCTCCTACATTAGCCTCCCAAGTAGCTGGGAATACAGGTACATGCCACCATGCTTGGCTAATTTTTTAATTTTTTGTAGAAGCGGGGTTTCACCTTGTTGTCCAGGCTGGTCTCGAACTCCTGAGCTCAAGCAGTCCTCTCGCCTCAGCCTCCCAAAGTGCTGGGATTACAGGCGTAAGCCCAAAAAAGTATATATGTATTTAAATATTTACTATCTGATTTTTTTTTTTTAGGACAAGGTCTGGCTCTGTCACCCAGGCTGGAGTGCAGTGGTGAGATCTCGGCTCACTGCAACCTCCACCTCCCAAGCTCAAGCAATCCTCCTGGCTCAGCCTCAGCTGGGATTACAGGCATGCGCCATGGCACCCAACCCCAAAACATGTTTTAATTGACTATTTATGTTATTGGTAAGGCTTCCAGTCAACAGTAGTTAAGTTTTGGGGAGTCAAAAGTTAGTGGAGGCCGGGTATGGTGGCTAATGCCTGTAATCCTAGCACTTTGGGAGGCCGAGGTGGATGGATCACCTGAGGTCAGGAGTTCGAGACCAGCCTGGCCGGTATGGTAAAACCCTGTCTCTACTAAAAATACAAAAATTAGCCAGGCTTGGTGGCACATGCCTGTAATCCCAGCTACTCGGCAGGCTGAGGCACAGGAATTGCCTGAACGCAGGTGTAAGAGATTGCAGTCAGCCGAGATTGTGCCACTTCACTCCAGCCAGGGCCAAACAGCAAAACTCCATCTCAAAAAAAAAAAAAAAAAAAGGCAGAATAGATGTTACTAGAGGCTAGAAAGGGAAGGGTAGGGGCAAGGGTGGGATAGGGAAAAATTTGTTAATGGACATAAAATTATTAGCTATATTGGAGGAATAAGTTCTAGTGTTTTATAGCACCGTAGGATGACTATAGTTAACAATAATATACTATATATTTTCAAATAGCTAGAAGAGAAGATATTGAATGTTCCTAACACAAAGAAATAATAAATGTTTTAAATGATGGGTATGTTAATTGCCCCGATTTGATCACTACACATCATATGTATAGAAACATCACCACATACCCCATATTTATGTATAGTTATTATGTATGAATTAAGAAGAATAATGGACCCCAAAGATTTCACATCCTAATCTGCAAAACCTTTGATTGTGTTACCTTATATTAGCAAATAGGACTTCGCAGATGTGATTAAACTAAGGATTTTGAGTTAGGAACACTAACCTGTTGAGTCTAATGTAATCACAATGGTCCTTATAAAAGGGAGGCAAGAGGGTAAAAGTCTGAGAAGGATATGTGACAACAAAAGCAGAGGTGGAGTGATGCAGTTGCTGGAGAGGGGCCACTAGCCAAGGAATGCAGGCAGCCTCTAGAAGCTGGAAAAGGCAAGAAACAGATTCTCCCTAGAGCCTCTAGAAAAGGAATGCAGCCCTGCCAACACCTTGATTGTCCCATAAGACCTATTTTCAGACTTTAGACCTGAAGAACTATAAGACGATAAATTTGTGTTGTTTTCAGCCACCAGTTTCTAGTAATTTCTTACAGTAACAAATGAACACAGATAACATTGTTGAGGAGCATTTCTGAGTTTGTCAACTACTCTATTGATGTGGGAGCACTCTCCCAGCTCTGAACTCAAGAAAGTCTAAAAAGAAGTAGGACTCAGAGACATTATGCTGAATAAAAGAAGCTTTAGACAAAAAAAAAAAAAAAAAAAAATACACACTGTATGATTCCAATTATATGAAGTTTTATAACAGGGAACACTAATTAGAATAGTAGTTGTCTCTGGTGGGGTGGGAATGGGAATTGACTAGGAAGGGGCATAAGGCAACTTTCTTTCTTTTCTTTTCTTTTTTTTTTTTTGAGACAGAATCTCACTCTGTCGCCAGGCTGGAGTACAGCGGCAGAATCTCAGCTCACTGCAATCTTTGACTCCCTGGTTCAAGCGCTTCTCCTGCCTGAGCCTCCCTAGTAGCTGGGATTATGGGCACATGCCACCATGCCCAGCTAATTTTTGTATTTTTAGTAGAGACGGGGTTTCACCATATTGGCCAGGATGGTCTCGAACTCCTGACCTCGTGATCTGCCTGCCTCAGCCTCCCAAACTACTGGGATTACAGGCATGAGCCACTGTACCCAGCCACATGAGGCAACTTTCTAGGATGATGGTAATGTTATGTATTTGGATAGGGGTTTCAGTTACAGATGTATACGTCTTTGTCAACACTCAGCAAATATACACTTAAAGTTTGTGCATTTTATGTACTTTTAACTCAAAAAATATATAAAACAAACGTGGAGCTCTAGTTAATGATATGCATGTTGAAATGTTTACGGGTGAAGTGTACTGATTTCAGCAATTTTTTTTACATGCACCCAAAAACAAAGTGTACTGGTAGAGTAACTGATAGTTACATGATAAAGCAGATACACTAAATGTTAGTGATAGAATCTAGGTGGTGAGTATATGGGTATTCTCTGTAAAAGTCCTTCAACTTTACTGTGTCTTTCAAAACTTTTAAAATGAATGGTGGCTGGGTGCAGTGGCTCACACCTGTACTCCTAGCACTTTGGGAGTCTGAGGCAGGTGGATCGCCTAAGGTCAGGAGTTTGAGACCAGCCTGGCCAACATTGTGAAACTCCATCTCTACTAAAAATACAAAAATTAGCTGGGCATGGTAGCTCATGCCTGTAATCCCAGCTACTCTGGGAGGCTGAGGCCCGAGAATCGCTTGAACCTGGGAAGTGAAGGTTGTAGTGAGCCAAGATCGCACCATTGCACTCCAGCCTGGGCAATGGAGTGAGACTTCATCTCAAAAGAAAAAAAAAAGCAAAACCACTATTGAGAATGAAAAGACACTCCACAGAATGGGAGAAAATATTTGTAAATCATGTGTCTAATAAGGGATTAATATTCAGAATTTATAAATAACTCCGGTAACTCAACAACCACTAAAAAATAAAAACCCAATTTAAAAGCAGGCAAAGAGGCTGGGCACGGTGGCTCACACTGTCATCCCAGCACTTTGGGAGGCCAAGACAGGCAGATCACTTGAGGCCAGAAATTCGAGACCAGCCTAGCCAACAGAGATGATGAAACTCCATTTCTGCTAAAAATACAAAAATTAGCCGGCATTGTGGCACAGACCTGTAATCCCAGCTACTCAGGAGGCTAAGGCATGAAAATCACTTGAGCCTGGGAGGTGGAGGGTGCAGTGAGCCAAAATGGCACCACAGCATTCCAACCTGGGCAACAGAGCAAGACACCACTCAAAAAAAGAATTAAAAAAAAAAAAGATGAAAGCAGGCATAGGATTTATATAGACATTTCTCCAAAGAAGATATACAGATGAGCTGGGCGTGGTGACTCACGCCTGTAATCCCAGCACTTTGGGAGGCTGAGGCAGGTGAATCACCTGAGATCAGGAGTTCAAGACCAGCCTGGCCAACATGGTGAAACCCCATCTCTACTAAAAATACAAAAAAAAAAAAAAATTAGCCGGGCGTGGTGGCGCACGCCTGTAATCCTAGCTACTTGGGAGGCTGAGGCAGGAGAATTGCTTGAACCTAGGAGACAGAGGTTGCAGTGAGCCGAGATCTTGCCGTTGCACTCCAGCCTGGGCAACAGAGTAAGACTCTATCTCAAAAATAATAAATGAATAAACACACAAACAAACAAATAATAAATAATTATCACTTTTTTGCATTTTCCCAATTTCTTTACTGATTATTTTTGGGATTTGGAAAAAACATAAGGCCGGGCGAGGTGGCCCACACCTGTAATCCCAGCACTCTAGGAAGCCAAGGCAGGAGGATTGCTTGAGCCCAGGAGTTCGAGACCAGCCTGGGCAACATGGAGAAACCTCATCCCTACAAAGAATACAAAAAAATTAGTTGGGTGTGGTGGCACATGCCTGTGGTCCCAACTACTCAGGAGGCTGAAGCAGGAGGATCACTTGAGCTCAGGGAAGTAGAAGCTGCAGTGAGCCATGATCACACAACTGCACTCCAGCCTGGGCCACAGAGCAAGACTCTTTCTTGCTGGGAAGGAATTCTCACATGTACGCACTAGCAGAAGCCACAAGCGGCACCAGGAAGACTAGAAGAATGCGGGGCATGAAAGCTAAGTTACAAGAGAGCTTAAGTAGGAAAACTAAGGTATGTAAGATAAAAATTGAAGCACTGATTTGTTAACTAGGTCATCAGTTATCTTAAAGGACAGTCTTAGAATAATTGCATGGCAGCTGACTTTACAGTCACCCAGATATGTGATCCTGGACAAGTTATTTATTTTTTTTTAAATTTTTTGAGATGGAGTTTTGCTCTTGTTGCCCAGGCTGGAGTGCAATGGCGCAATCTCGGCTCATTGCAACCTTTGCCTCCCGGGTTCAAGTGATTCTCCTGCCTCAGCCTCCCAAGTAGTTGAGATTACAGGCATGTGCCACCATGCCTGGCTATGTTTTTGCATTTAGTAGAGACGGGATTTCACCATGTTGGTCAGACCGGTCTCGAACTCCTGACCTCAGGTGATCCACCCGCCTCGGCCTCCCAAAGTGCTGGGATTATAGGCGTGCACCCTGTGCCCGGTCGACAAGCTATTTAATGTCACTGTGCCTCTGTTTCCTCATCTGGTCAAGGAAAACAATACCTACAGTCAGATCTGGAATTTGAGGCTGCCCTACTTATAGGTTAATAAATGGGTCTGTTATTGTTTCATGGATGCTGTCAGAAAACAGAGACAAAAGACCTTACTGTTCAGGGCACAACAAGCAGCATGAGCATGCCTGCATTGGTTCCCTTCTGCCCCCTGCAGGGGCAATGTGGGATGTGCCCAGATGGATGCTAGACACACAGTGAGTTGCATCATAGGGGAGGAACAGGAAGCTCCTGCTGTTTTTTTCCTTTTTAAAGATGGGATTTGGCTGGGAGCGGTGGCTCACGCCTGTAATCCCAGCACTTTGGGAGGCCAAGGCAGGCAGATCACCTGAGGTCAGGAGTTCGAGACCAGCCTGACCAACATGGTGAAACCCTGTCTCTACAAAAATACTAAAATTAGCTGGGCATGGTGGCAGGTGAGTGTAATCCCAGCTACTTGGGAGGCTGAGGCAGGAAAGTTGCTTGAACCCAGGAGGTGGAGGTTGCAGTGAGCCAAGATCACGCCACTGCACTCCAGCCTGGGTGACAAGAGTGAGACTCCTTCTCTAAATAAATACATAAATAAATAAGATGGGGTCTTGCTATGTTGGCCAGGGTAGTCTCAAACTCCTGGCCTCAAGCAATCCTCCTGCCTTGGCCACCAAAAGTTCTGGGATTACAGTTGTGAGCCACCATGCCCAGCCATCTGCTGTTTTATAGTAAGCAGTAAGGAAGCTGCTCTTTGTCCTGGATGCAGACATTACCTCTCCCTCAAGGTTTGCTTGCTGCCAACACTCCTGAGAATTGTTCTGGGTAATGAGTGGCAAGGGCTTTGCTTATTTATTTTTATTTATTGGTTATACTTACATTTATGGTTTATTAAAGCAAAACGACACAGATTTAAAATCATCAAAGGGATAAGGTACATGGGACAAAATCCGGATGCAACCGGGCACAAACTTTCAGGTGTCTACTCCCAGTGGGGTATCACAGGGACGTGCTTTTTTCTCCCTGCAATGATTTTTGACAACAGGTGCTGATTGTTCCCAAACAGAGAAGTTCACCCAAGCTTTAGGGTGCAGGGTTTTTTTGTTTGTTTGTTTTGGTTTTTTGTTTGTTTGTTTGTTTGTTTAGATAGTCTTACTTTTGTTGCCCAGGCTGGAGAGCAATGGTGCGATCTCAGCTTACTGCAACCTCCACCTCCCAGGTTCAAGCAATTCTCCTGCCTCAGCCTCCCAAGTAGCTGGGATTACAGGTGTGTGCCACCACCTGGCTAATTTTGTATTTTTAGTAGAGACGGGGTTTCACCACGTTGGCCAGGCTGGTCTCAAACTCCTGACCACAGGTGATCCACCCACCTCGCGCTCCCAAAGTGCTGGGATTACAGACGTGAGCCACCGCGCCCGGCCATGTGTGGGGTTTTTATTGGGGATTAGTCACATAGGCTTGGAGTGTCCATACTACTGATCTCTGCTACTCAGACCCCAGAGCAAAAAACAATGTTCACTATAAATCACACTTAGGATAAACTTATTTGTTCAGACTGGTACAGCATGATGGCATGCTGTATGCCAAGACCTCTGGCATACAAAAACACTAATCAAATAAAATATTCCACGGGCTCAGAAGTTATTTCCCAGGAGCAGACCAAATGCCAGTTCTAAAGATGAGCTTTCTTTGGAATGTGCAGGGTTTGAACAACCTACACCTCCTGAGTTAACCCATTCCTACACACACCTGATCCCATGAGTCCATTGTACCTGGTAAACTAAATTTTGTATCTCTTAGAATTAAAATTAGTTTAGGTCCAATGTCAACAAATCTCTGGAAACTCTAGTTACTTCCCCTTCTCTGATGCTCACAGTAGCAGTAGTCTACATTCACTGAACCCACTTGTTTATTCTTTGGCCCACTGCAGTATTAATAGACACTTGACTGAGCTTTCATGATGTGCCATGTACTGAGTTAAGCACTTTATATACATTCCAATCTAATGTGCTTGCTAAATGGCTGCAGGTACACTTGGAAAAGGCTAGAAGCTCTACAGCATGTTTTTGTCAGTGTAGAACTGACATCAAGTCCTTCATCAAGGGAACCCAGCCTCCCCAGATCTAGAGAAGGGGAGACTCTAGATCTGTGAATAGGCTCAAGTCTGAGAATCTGTTGAAGGCAGGGACTTGCAATTTTTGCCAACTCAACAAGATGTGAAGGCAGGACTTGCCGAGATGGATCGGAAGTCAACATGAGTGGGCACGCTGGTCAATTTGGAGTCACAGCAGGGAGACTCATGGAGGAGTGTCTGTTAACACCTACTTTATAGAGTTCTTGTGAACATTGGATTGGAATGTATATAAAGTGCCTAACACAGTACATGGAACATCATAAAAGCTCAGTCAAGTGGCTATTAATATTGCAGTAGGCCAAAGAATAAACAGAAGTGGATTCAGGCCAGGTGCAGTGGCTCACACCTGTAATCCCAGCAGTTTGGGAAGCTGAGGCAGGCAGATCACTTGAGGTCAGGAGTTTGAGAACAGCCTGGCCAACATGGTGAAACCCCGTCTCTACTAAAAATACAAAAATTAGCTGGGTGTGATAGCATACACCTGCAGTCTCAGCTACTCAGGAGGCTGAGGCACAGAATCACTTGAACCTGGGAGGAGGTGGAGGCTGCAGTGAGCAGAGATCGTGCCACTGCACTCCAGCCTGGGTGACAGAGTGAGGCTCCAGCTCAAAAAAAGAAAGAAAAGAAAAAAGTGGATTCAGTGAATGTAGGCTACTGCTTCAAGGCATTTAGCTGAAAATAATAGGGATCAAGAGAAAAGTTCTTTTTTATTGTTTTAAAGGCAGATCTTAGCATGCTTATAGGCTGGAGTGTCTTTGGGACAAGAAAGGGAATCTGAAACCATAAAACTAGGAGACGAGAAAGTAGGAATAATAGAGCAAAGTCCCTGAGGGGCAGAAGGGGATGAAACCCAGGCCCAGCTGTGTTGCTGAACATTGTATATCCAGGACTTGCTGAGATGGATCAGAAGTAAATATGAGTGGGCACACTGGTCAATTTGGAGTAATGGCAGGGAGCAGAATGTTAAAGAAGCTCCTATTTGACCCCTTGTATTTTCCTAGTGAAAGCGGAGGTATTTACTGGTTAAAAATATATGGAATGGGCAGGGAGCAGTGGCTCACACCTGAATTCCCAGCACTTTGGGAGGCTGAGGCAGGTGGATCATGAAGTCAGGAGATCGAGACCATCCTGGCTAACATGGTGAAATCCTGTCTCAACTAAAAATACCAAAGATCAGCCGGGTGTGGTGGCAGGCACCTGTAGTCCCAGCTACCAGGGAGGCTGAGGCAGGAGAATCACTTGAACCCAGGAGGAGGAGGTTGCAGTGAGCTGAGATCACGCCACTGCATTCCAGCCTGGGCGACAAAGCAAGACTCCATCTCAAAAAAAAAAAAAAAATATATATATATATATGGAATGCTTCTCTGGGCACACTGCCTATAGGGTGGTCCTGCTCTGGACTACCAGAGTATTTATGTACTTATTTATTTATATTTATATTTATACATTTGTATATAAACTATTAGTTTATATCTAACTTTAATTCTATATATATATATATATATGGAAGACATAATATTGTCTTATTACTGTTGTTGCTTTTTAAGTCTTGCTATATTGCCCGGGCTGGTCTCAAACTCCCAGGTCAAACAATCCTCCCGCCTTGGCCTCTCAAAGTGCTGAGATTACAGGCATGAGCCACTGCACCCAGCCCAGAAGACATAATATTGAAGGTTCTACTGAGGTTGAAGGTCAGGAAAGGTATCGTGGCCCCTCTCAGCAGCAATGCAGTGTTTTTCCTCACAGCTCATATCTAGGCATGGAGGCAGATGGGAGATTAACCCAGACTGAGGCTGTGTATTAGTTCATTCTTTTGATTGCAAATAACAGAAACTCAAACCACCTTAAGCGGAAAGGGGAAGTTATTGGAAGGATGCTAGGATCTCTCACTGAATAAGGAACCAGGATCCCAGCTCGGGTGGATTGAAGTGCTTCAGGGAACATAGGAGGTTATCTCCCATTTCTGCTCTCCACAGACCACATAATGGAATTTAGCCATCAGTGGCTACCAAGTTTTATGAATTACAATCCAGTCCCAAAGAAAGTTATACAATTCCTAGCTGAGGAAATCCTTGCGTTCTGGTGGCAAAGGGAAGGGGAAAGAGCCAGCTCTACCAGGGGGCTGGGCAGACCTGGTAATAGGGCTCTGCTGGGCAGGACAGGTCTCCTGGTCTGAAAGTCTGGCTCTCCCATCAGAATAGCAAAGATTGCTACAGAGTCAAGGAACCAGATTGATATTTTGTAAAAAGTAATTCCACAAGGAACAGAATTCATTCATCAGACATTTTAATGAGACCCAATCTGATATGACCCCTTCTTGGGGGTAGCTCATCATCCAAGGAGAAACAAACAGTTACAATGTTACAATGCAACTTGCTAAATATTGAACAGAGGTAATTACATAAAGCTGTGTTCCCCCAGCTGCTCCCCTGCTTGTGCTGAGATCAGGAGAGCTGTAGGAAGGAGCCACAGGGGTAAAGGATGACCCACTCCAGCTGTTGGAATATGAGATGAGTCACATCTGGAAATTCTAATTTGGTGCAGCTGCCCAAGGCAAAGTGGTAGGCCTTGTTCACATTTAACTCGGTAAAGCTTTATGAAGCACCTACCCAGTGGGTGCCATGGAGGTGGATCAGATTGAGCCACGCTGCTGCCACCTCTGTGGAGGGAGGCTGGCATGGATACAACTTGATGACTATAGACTCTTCCTCTCTGGATTCAGTTCCCTCTTTCTAGCCTCCTTGAATGGCCTCAGCTCATTTTGTGAAAAAATGCTGACTGAGGCCTCATGGAAGTTCTGTGCCGATTCTTAGGTGCCTGTGATTCATCTGTGCCTGATGAGAATCAGGGTCAAGTACGGCCCAATTCTCCAGGCTTTTCCAGGCACTGGCTGCCTGAAGCCAATCCAGGTCTGCCAGGTAGAGCACAAGCCAGTCCCATTTGCACTTCCTGCTGCTAAACCACAGGTCCCTGCTTCTCCTTAAGAGCAACCTTCTCCCAGAGCTGACTACACTTATGTCTCATACCCAGCTTGAACCAATTTTCCAAATACAAGATGAAGACTTAGTTTTATAGCTTTTTTTTTTTTTTTTAAGTTTAGGGCATTTATATATCTGCAACCCAATAAACCCCTGGTACCATGCAGCTCCCCCAAATTCAGTGCAACCAAAGCTGCTGAAACAAGTCCAGCCCCAGAAGGTGTAGTGGCACTGTGGTGTTACCTTATTTTTATATGACCCTTCAAAAAGGACACTGAAAACCCAGTGCCTGTTTGCAGAGATCATGTGTGGAAATTGAAACCCTGTCTTTAAGGAATGACCAAATTCATGCTACTTAACCTGAAAACTTGGGGGCAAAGTGGTTGTGATTATCTGAAGGGCTGCTATGTAGATGAAGTATTAAACATGTCGTAGGCAAGGTTTAGAGGAGAATGTGGTACTTAACCTTCTATAGATCCCACAATGAAATGACCTGCCTTGTGAGGTAGTGAGCTCCCTGTCAAGAGAGATTTTCAAGCAATGGGTAGAAGACCACTTGGCAGGAGTGTTGCAAAAAGTGGGCTAAACCAGATTTTTCCAACCTAGTATGGAGGAAGAGGCAGAGTAGGGGAAGGTCCTGCCCCTATGAGATTCTCCTGATTGCATGCAAGATGACAGGTAATCCCTGTGTGGACAGACTAGAAAAGCAGACAGCCCCTAAAATAGATGGGGAGAACTTTTAGCCCTGATATCCACACAAACTATTTTAGGATAGGGTAGCTTGGAAAACTTTAAGCAAATGACGTCACCTCTCCTAATGGGACTGTTCCAGACACGCACAGGGAGGCAGCCAGCGCATTGCAAGATACAAAGTTCAGCTCTGTGCAGCAGGAGACCCGGGTTTAGTTCTGACTCTGCCCTGTATGACCTGGGGCTCCTCCTTCCCTTTTCTGGGACCCTCCATAAAATGAAATGAACGTAGGCAGTCCTTCCCCTTCTAATGGGCGTTGCCCCTCTGACTGGAGCCCCCGATAGCAGATCTAGGGCTACAGTTTGGGGCCTTGGGGCTACACTTGTGGACAGCCAGAGACCACCTCTGGCGGAAGCACCGGCCACACTCGAGGCAGGGGAAAGGCTTCTCCCCCGTGTGCAGCAGCTGGTGCTGGGCCAGGTGGCTCCACTGAGCAAAACGCTTGGAGCAAAGGTCGCAGGCATAGGGCCGCTCGCCCGAGTGCACGCGCCGGTGGCTGGCCAGCAGTGAGGGGTAGGCAAAGCGGCGACCACAGTCGTCGCAGGCGTGCAGCTTCTCCTCTGTGTGCGTGCTGCGATGGATGGCCAGGGAGCCGCTCCGCCGGAAGGCACGCCCACAGTCTGGGCAGGGGTAGGGCTTCTCTCCGGTGTGCAAGAGCTGGTGCTGGAGCAGCGTGCTGCGCTGGGAGAAGCGGGCCTCACAGTGCTCGCAGGCATAGGGACGCTCCCCAGAGTGCACACGCCGGTGACTGACCAGGCGAGAGGAGGAGGAGAAGCGCCGCTCGCAGTCCGGGCACGGGTAGGGCTTCTCGCCCGTGTGGATGCGCTGGTGGATGACGAGGGCCGTGCGCTGGCGGAAGCGGCGGTTGCACTCGAGGCAAGTGTAGGGCTTCTCTCCCGTGTGTGTACGCTGGTGGATGGCTAGCAGGGAGGGGTAGGCGAAGCGACGTCCACAGCTAGGGCACTGGTGGGGTTTTTCACCTGTGTGTGTGGTCCGGTGATTGGCCAAGGACCGGCTCCTCCGGAAGCAGCGACCACAGTCAGGGCAGTGATAGGGCTTCTCCCCTGTATGGATGACCTGGTGCTGGGAGAGGTTCTTGCGCTGGGAGAAACGTTTGCCACACTGGTCACAAACATAGGGGCACTCGCCGGAGTGTGCCCGCCGGTGACTGACCAGCAGGGATGGATAGGAAAAGCGGCGCCCACAGTCTGGGCAAGGGTAAGGCTTTTTTAGATTCTGGGCGCACTTGTGGCTCTCCAGGGCCTGATGATCAGGGAAGGTACAGCCGCAGTCAGGGCAGATGGGGCCCCCGGACGTCTGCCTAGGAATCAGTCGGGGTTTGCTGGGCCTCCGGCCTCGCTTCCCCTTTCGGGGTGCCTCCTTAGGCGGGAATACTTCCTTCTCCCCATTCTTCTTTCTGGTTCTGCTTTCTATAGAAATACAGAAGCATTAATTTAACAAATACTGGGCTCCTGCTCTTGTCAATTACATTATAGGTTACAAGACCAATAGACTCACCCCCTGGTCTCAATTCCTAGTGCCACAGACAGCTAAGTGTGACATACTGTCATGCAAATACGGTGTGCATTACAGGAGCTTCTAACCCAGCTTGGAGAAGTCTAGGAAGATTTCTCGGAGATTAAACTAACTTTAAAAATTGAGGCCGGGCACAGTGGATCACGCTTGTAATCGTAAGCACTGGGAGGCCGAGGCGGGCAGATCACAAGGTCAGGAGTTTGAGAGCAGCCTGACCAACATGGTGAAACCCTGTTTCTACTAAAAATACAAAAATTAGCCGGGCGTGGTGGCACGCACCTGTAATCCCAGCTACCCAGAAGGCTGAGGCAGGAGAATCGCCCGGGAGGCAGAGGTTGCAGTGAGCCGAGATTGTGCCACTGCACTCCAACCTGGGCGAGAGAGCGAGATTCCATCTCAAAAAAAAAAAAAAAAGGAATATTTTTGAAGAGGTAAGCTTACATCATTCAAAAGTCAAAATATCAGCCAGGCATGGTTGCTCATGCCTGTAATCCCAGCACTTTGGGAGCCCAAGGCAAGAGATCGCTTGAACCCAGGAGTTCAAGATCAGCCTGGGCAGCATAGTGAGACCCCATCTCTACAAAAAATACAAATATTAGCCTGGCCTGGTGGCACGCGTGCCTGCCTGTAGTCCTAGCTACTTGGAAGGCTGAGGTAGAGGATTACTTGAGCCCAGGAGTTCAAGGCTACTGTGAACCATGATGGCACCACTGTACTCCAGCCTGGGCAACACAGCAAGACCCTATCTCAAAAAACAAACAAGTCAAAATATTAATAAAGGAATACAGAGAAGTCTTGCTGCCACCTTTTTCCAATCTACCTTGTAGAAACCATATTAGTTTTTTCCCATTTTTTTGATGCAATACAAATGTCACCTTCCCTATCTTTCTTTCATAAGAGATTGCATACACATGCTTTACAGCGTATGTTCTCTTCCCCACCTTTCTTTTTTTTTTTCTTTTTTGAGACAGAGTCACGCTCTGTCACCCAGGCTGGAGTGCAATGGTGTGATCTCAGTTCACTGAAATCTCCGCCTCCCGGGTTCAAGTGATTCTCCCTGCCTCAGCCTCCTAAGTAGCTGGGATTACAGGCATGCACCACTATGCCCAGCTAATTTTTTGTATTTTTAGTAGAGTCAGGGTTTCACCATGTTGGCCAGGTTGGTCTCGAACTCCTGACCTCAGGTTATCTGCTCACCTCTATCTCCCAAAGTGACTACAGGCGTGAGCCACCATGCCCAGCTCACCTTTCTTATACAAAAGACAACATATACACACCTTATACACACTTTACATTTTTTCACTTAATATATTCTAAAGATCATTTTATGTCAGCAAATCTTTTTTCTATTTTACAGCTACACAGAATTCCATTGTGGATGGTTTATTTGACTTAGCTGATTCTTTAAAAAATGTGGCTGGGCGTGGTGGCTCATGTCTGTAATCCTAGCACTTTAGGAGGCTGAGGCAGGCGGATCACCTGAGGTCAGGAGTTCAAGACCAGCCTGGCCAACATGGTGAAACCCCGTCTCTACAAAAATATAAAAATTAGCTGGGCACAATAGCAGGTGCCTATAATCCCAGCTACCCAGAGGCTGAGGTGGGAGAATCACTTGATCCTGGGAGGCGGAGGTTGCAGTGAGCCAAGATCACGCCATTGCACTCCAGCCTGCATGACAGAGTGAGACTCCATCTCAAAAAAAAAAAAAAAAAAAAAAAAAAGAATTAAAATTATGCAGTGTTAGAAACGTAAGTCCCAGCCAAGCGCAGTGGCTCATTCCTATAATCCCAGCACTTTGGGAGGCCAAGGTGGGCGGACTGTGAGGTCAGGAGTTCGAGACCAGCCTGGCCAACATGGTGAAACCCCGTCTCTACTAAAAATACAAAAATTAGCCGTGCATGCTGGCGGGCGCCTGTAATCCCAGCTACTTGGGAAACTGAGTCAAGATGATTACTTGAAACCGGAAGGCAAAGGTTGCAGTGAGCCAAGATTGCACTACTACACTCCAGCCTGGGTGGAAGAGCAAAACTCCGTCTCAAAAAAAAAAAAGAAAAGAAACATAAGTCCCAAGGCTCAGTGTACAGTGTGCACAGGCCCTAAGATCTTCTTAGACACAAAGTGTAAAAGCAAGACAGGCTGGGCGCGGTGGCTTACACCTGCAATCCCAGCACTTTGGAAGGCCAAGGCAGGCGGATCACCTGAGGTCAGGAGTTCGAGACCAGCTTGACCAATATGGAGAAACCCTGTCTCTACTAAAAATTAGCCGGGTGTGATCGTGGGCACCTGTAGTCCCACCTACTCCAGAGGCTGAGACAGGAGAATTGCTTGAAACCGGGAGCAAGAGGTTACAGTGAGCTGAGATCGTGCCACTGCACTCCTGCCTGGGCAACAGAGCAAGACTCCGTCTCACACACACACAAAAGAGTGTAAGGCAAGATATGGAAACCTATGAGGTATGAGCTAGCAGTGACTGGGTCAAAAGGCCCTCTAAGCCAATGGTTCTCAAACTCCACTGTGATCAGAATCATTGGGAGGATTTACTGAAACAGAATGCCAGGCCCTAGTGCCCGCTTTGGATTCAGCAGGTCTGGGGTAGGGTCCAAGAATGTGCATTTCTAACAAGTTTCCAAATAATGCTGCTTCTGGTCTGAGACCACGCTTTGAGAACCACTGCTGTTAGCATTGTTAAAGACCTTGGACTGTATTTTACCCAATGGTTTTCTTTTCTTTTTTTTTTTCCCCCAAGATGGAGTCTCACTGTGGCACCCAGGCTGGAGTACACTGGCATGATCTCGGCTCACTGTAACTTCCACCTCCCAGGATCAAGCAATTCTCCCTGCCTCAGCCTCCTGAGTAGCTGGAATTACAGGCGCCCACCATAGTGCCCGGCTAATTTTTGTATTTTTTTAGTAGAGACGGGGTTTCACGATGTTGGTCAGGCTGGTCTTGAACTCCGGACCTCAAGTGATCTACCCACCTCGGCCTCCCAAAGTGCTGGGATTACAGGCATGAGCCACCAGCCGGCCGGTTTTCAAACCTAGATGCACATCTGAATCAGCTGAGGCTATTTAAAAAATGGAAGTTCCTAAACATTCACACGAGTGAATGAATAGCTCTGGGATGGGGTCCTGGAACCTGCGTTTTTACCAAGTTCCCCAAGTGATTTAGATATAACCAATGGCCATTTAACAACCTTGGCAAAAATTAACTGAAAAGTTTTAAGCAAGGAAATATCATGGTCAGATCTGAATCTTGGACAGCTATCCCTGGTCTTGAAGAATCTGGCTCTGAAATTCCAGCCCAGACAGCTCCATCTTCTACTATGGGTGGATCTGGGACCCTTCTACCTGAATGGGGTTAAGCAGAGCCTTGTTGGATTCTGAGGAGATTGCAGTATGTCCTTCGCTGATAAGGGTCATCCTGCCGTAAGAGCAGAAAGAGGCCCCTGCATCCCAGGCAGCTGTTCCCCATGAGCTCCCTTCAACCAAAACCCAGAAAACTCTGAGAAGTTTAGGATCTCTTTGGTCCAACTCAAAGGTGGCTAGAGGCAGAGATCCTGGAAAGGAGGCAGAGGGTAGCACCTGTTAAAAGCTCACTGATTCTGGCTGGCTGCAATGGCTCACGCCAGTAACCCCTGCATTTTGGGAGGCCAAGGCAGGAGGATCGCTTGAGGCCAGAAGTTCAAGACCGAACTGAGCAAGACAATGTTTCTACAAAAAAAAAAAAAAAAAAAAAAGACGAAGAATAAGCCCACTGATTCATTCACACAGTGGAAAACTGCAGCTTGCAGACTGACATAGGAATCTCTGTGTGGTGGACCGGCCCCACACCACCAGACACAAGAGGCTGGGAAGATGAATATACTAAATACGCGGCACCCACCCCTAGCCCAACCAAAACTCTGGACAGAGCCGTTAGAGGTAGAACGTTATAGGAGGGCTGCAGGCTCTGCGTGGTTATTTAGCACTCACTTCTCTGGACTGTTAGCCCTCTCGGGTACTCCTGCGGATCTAGAGCAGCCGGTTCCCAGTCATCGGTGTTTCGTTCCAACCAGGAGATGAGGGCTGGTTTGGGACCTGCGCACCCTGGGGAAAGAGAACAAATCAGAAGGCCAGCTCCTAGATCACGCCGAGTAGTATCTCCCCGACGGCACCTCCTGCTAAGCCCCTGCCCACCTCCCCTGACAACCTGGTCGCCTGCCAGGACCGTGGCCTCCCTGCCTACACCCTCTCCGGCTCCTGCATCCCTTCGCGCCCCGCGGCAGCGGATGGGGCCGGCCTCACCGAGCGCGCCCAGGTGACCGTAGGTCTCCCGCATCACGTCCCGGTACAGGGCCCTCTGCGCGGGCCGCAGGCAGCCCCACTCCTCCGGGGAGAAGTACACGGCCACGTCCACGAACTTCAGAGCCCTCGGCCTCCTGCCCCTTTTCCGACTGGGTCTGGCCTTTCCTGGTCCCTGCGCAGGGAGCGGAGCCGAAGGTGGCGCCATGGGACCCGAGAAGCCGGCGCCACGGCCTTCCGTGTCCAGGCCTCGGCCCTCGGGCGCTGGCGGCCCCTGGGATCGAGGAGCCCCTGCCGGACCAGGGCTGAGCGTGGCCGGGGAGGCCCGGAGGGAATCGGAATTGGTCGCCCGCGGGGCTAACGGAAACCTTTTGCTGTTATTCAGGAAACTCCTGCCCGAACTTGGGTGAAAGGCACCGGAAGATGCCTTCGGGGAAAATGGCGGCGCTGCTACCGCACCGCCTTTGCCTGGAACACAGGCAGCTTCCAGCTATCGATTTTATTGACCGGAGCGCCATGCCGGCTTCCTAACCTCTTTGCCCTCAAGTGTAATGGCGCTGCGATTGGGCTTCACGCCGTCTTTTTTCCCCTCCCCAATACGCGCGTTCATTGGACGAGAGCCGAAGATCGAGCGTTCTGATTGGGTGCTAGCAAAGGCGGTCCGTTTGAACGAAGCCAAGAGCTGCATAAGGGCAGGAAGCTGGACTGCTAGGATCAGGCGACTACAAGGAGTTGTGAAGCGACTTGCACCGACCTGGGGGCAGCAAGAGGCCCCGGGGCTGCTTTCCGCTGTTCGACTCTGGCAGGCTCAGCCAATCACTGAAGGAGGGAACGATTTGAGCGATGGAGCCACTCTGGCCGAGTTAGAGCTGAGATTATCCTGAGTTCCTTTTACTGGTGTTCTCAGAGCATCCTTGACTTTGGAGAATGGTTATCTTCTTTGTTTGCCCTTTAGGGGAGGGAATTATGGTTAGCATTTCCTGGGGGCAGGCGCCATGCCCAGCATATTACATATTTCATCTTTATTATTTTTTATTTTTATTTTATTTATTTATTTTTGAGACAGAGTCGTGCTCTGTCGCCCAGGCTGGAGTGCAGTGGCGAAATCTCGGCTCACTGCAGCTTCCACCTCCCACGTTCAAGCGATTCTCCTGCCTCAGCCTCCCGAGTAAGTGAGATTACAGGCGCGTGCCACCACTCCTGACTAATATTCATATTTATTAGCAGAGATGGGGTTTCACCATGTTAGCCAGGCTGGTCTCGAACTTCTGACCTCAAGTGATTCACCCACCTCGGCCCCACGAAGTGCTAGGATTACAGGCGTGAGCCACTATGCCCGGCCTTATTTTTATTTTTTTGAGACAGGGTCTCACTCTGTTACCCGGGCGGGATGGAATGCAGTAGTGCAATCTCAGCTCACTGCAGCCTCTAACTCCTGGGCTCAAGCAATCGTCCTGCCTCAGCCTTCAGAGTAACTGGGACTACTGGTGTGCACTACCACGCCTGGCTAATTTTTTATGTTATTTGTTGAGTCAGGGTTTCCCTGTGTTGCCCAGGCTGGTCTCGAACCCTTAGGCTAAGTGATCCTCCTGCCTCGTCCTCCCAAAGGGCTGGGATTACTGGCATAAGCCACAGCACCGGAGCCATTAGTTATTCGCTTTTTTTTTTTGAGACTGGGTCTCATTCCGTTGCCCAGGCTGGAGTGAAGGCATGCACCCACAGTGCTCTGCTAATTTTTTGTATTTTTGGTAGAGACGGTGTTTCGCCATGTTTCCCAGGCTGGTCTCGAACTCCTGAGCTCAAGCAATCCGCCCACCTCGGTCTCCCAAAGTGCTGGGATTACAGGAGTGAGCCACCACACCCAGCCCGTTATTAATTCTTTACTAGCATTTTGTGAACCAATGGTTATCATCCTGGTTCTACTAATGAAGAAACGATCTCAGAGGGATTCCATGAGTTTCCAGGGCCATACTGCTAGTAAGGAGTGGGGAATAAAGATTTAAACCTGGGGCAGACAGAGCCTTTATTCATACCACTGATAGGCATCCTTCCTTCACAGTATCCTAATTTGCTTGCTAAACCAGGAATCCACCTGAGCTCTTGTTTTCTTCTCAAGTTCAATATTCTGCATAATCTCCCTACATTATTTTCACGTGACATTTGTTCAACGTACAAAGCATAGTGCTAGGCAATTGGGAGAGCGTACATAAATAAGTCATAGGCCATGCTTTGAATGGAGCTTACAGTCTAGTAAAGCATATAAATTCACAATGAATCATAACAGAATGATACAAGCATGTATGTGAAAGGCACTGAACTGAAAATTGCTGATGGAACAAGCCAGCACCCACCCCATTAGCCTCCACATTTTTTTTTTTTTTTTTTTTTTGAGACGGAGTCTCGCTCTGTCACCCAGGCTGGAGGGCAGTGGCGCCATCTCGGCTCACTGCAAGCTCCGCCTCCCGGGCTCACGCCATTCTCCTGCCTCAGCCTCCCGGGTAGCTGGGACTACAGGCGCCCGCCACCACGCCCAGCTAATTTTTTGTATTTTTAGTAGAGACGGGGTTTCACCATGTTAGCCAGGATGGTCTTGATCTCCTGACCTCGTGATCCACCCGTCTCAGCCTCCCAAAGTGCTGGGATTACAGGCGTGAGCCACTGTGCCCAGCCCTTTTTTTTTTTTTTTTTAGACGGAGTCTTGCTCTGTTGCCCAGGCTAGAGTGCAGTGGTGCAAACTCGGCTCACTGCAACCTTGGCCTCCCGGGTTCAAGTGATTCTCCTGCCTCAGCCTCCCGAGTAGCTGAGATTACAGGCACCCGCCACTTTGCTCGGCTAATTTTTGTATTTTTAGTAGAGACGGGATTTCACCATCTTGGCCAGGCTGGTCTCGAACTCCTGACCTCATGATCCAACCACCTCTGCCTCCCAAAGTGCTGGGATTACAGGCATGAGCCACCACGCCCGCCCTAGCCCCTACTTCTATGTATGTGTTATACTGCAGAGTTTCACCAGCTCAATGCCACCCCCAAGGGTCCTGCGAGCAGGAGAATACACCATTTGCCATGTCTCTTAGCTAGTGACATGCACATCTATCTCTCTAACCCTTTAATCAATATTGTAAAGCATATACTATGGGCAAAACACTAACCTCAAAGCTTTCAAGGAATAAAGACAAACAATGTGGCAGGAAAAGTCACAAAATTAGAAGGCAATGAGGCCGGGAGCAGTGGCTCACACCTGTAATCCCAGCAGTTTGGGAGGCCGAGGTGGGTGGATCACGTGAGGCCAGGAGTTCAAGACCAGCCTGGCCAACATGGCAAAACCCTGTCTCTACTAAAAATACAAAAATTAGCCGGGCTTGGTGGCACATGCCTATAGTCCCTGCTACTTGGGAGGCTGAGGCATGAGAATTGTTTTCTGTTTTGTTTTGTTTTGTTTTGTTTTGAGACGGAGTTTTGCTCTTGTTCCCCAGGCTGAGTGCAATGGAGCAATCTCGGCTCACCACAACCTCCGCCTCCCGGATTCAAACGATTCTCCTGCCTCAGCCTCCCGAGTAGCTGGGATTACAGGCATGCGCCACTACACCCAGCTAATTTTGTATTTTTAGTAGAGATGGGGTTTCTTCATGTTGGTCAGGCTGGTCTTGAACTCCTGACCTCAGCTGATCTGTCCGCCTCGACCTCCCAAAGTGCTGGGATTACAGACATGAGCCACCAGGCCCAGCCGAAGAGAATTGTTTGAAACTGGAAGGCGGAGGTTGCAGTGATCCAAGATGGTGCCACTGCACTCCAGCCTGGGTGACAGAGTAAGACTAAGTCTCAAAAAAAAAAAAAAAAAAAAAGGCTGGGCTTGGTGGCTCACGCCTGTAATCCCAGCACTTTGGGAGGCCGAGGCGGGCAGATCACTAGGTCAGGAGATCAAGACCATCCTGGCTAACACGGTGAAACCCCGTCTCTACTAAAAATATAAAAAATTAGCCAGGCATGGTGGTGGGCTTCTGTAGTCCCAGCTACTCAGGAGGCTGAGGCAGGAGAATGGCGTGAACCCGGGAGGCGGAGCTTTCGACCGAGCGAGACTCGTCTCAAAAAAAAAAAAAAAAAAGAGGAAGGAGAAGAAAGAAGAAGGAGGAGGAGGATGAGGAGGCAGCAGTGAGATATTCAGAGGAAGGAGATGTTTGAACAGAGGTGGTGGAAAAAAAACTACAGTTACAGGCTAGGTGTGGTGGCTCACACCTATAATCCCAGCACTTTGGGAGGCCGAGGTGGGGGGATTGCTTGAGCCCAGGAGTTCAAGACCAGCCTGGCCACCATGGCAAAACCCTTTCTCTACAAAAAATACAAAAATTAACTAGGCATGGTGTCGGGCACTTATAGTCCCAGCTACTTGGGAAGCTGAGGTGGGGGGATCGATTGAGACTTGGGAGGTCAAGGCTACAGTAGCCAAGATTGCACCACTGCACTCCAGCCTGGGCGAAAGAATGAGATCCTGTCTCAAAAAACAAAAACAACAACAACAACAAAAAAAAAAGGCGGGAGCTCTAGCCTCCTAATTGTGGCTGGGCGTGTGGGCATGGTGGCTCATGCCTGTAGTCCCAGCCCTTTGGGAGGCTAAGGCGAGAGGATGACTTGAGCCCAAGAGTTCAAGGCTGCAGTTAACTATGATTATTACACCACTGCGCTCCAGCGTGGTCAACAGATTGAGACTCTGTGTTTAAATGAATAGAACAAAAACAAACAAACAAACAAAAAACCTGGGCTGCATGAATCTGTTAAGAAAAGTCAGGTCAGCTGGGCGTGGTGGCTCACACCTGTAATCCATCCCAGCACTTCAGGAGGCTGAGGCGGGTGGATTGCCTGAGGTCAGGAGTTCAAGACCAGCCTGACCCACATGGTGAAACCCTGTCTCTACTAAATACAAAAAATTAGCCGAGAGTGGTGGTGCATGCCTGTAATCCCAGCTACTTAGGAGGCTGAGGCAGGAGAATCGCTTGAACCGGGGAGGCTGAGGTTGCAGTGAGCCCAGATTGCACCATTGCACTCCAGCCTGGGCAACAAGAGTGAAACTCCATCTCAAAAAAGAAAAGAAAAGTCAGGCCAGGCACGATGGTTCGTGCCTATAATCCCAGCACTTTGGGAGGCTGAGGAGGGCAAATCACCTGAGGTCAGGAGTTCAAGACCAGCCTGACCAACATGGTGAAACTCCCTCTCTACTAAATACAAAAAAATTAGGCGGGTGTGGTGGCACATGCCTGTAATCCCAGCTACTTGGGAGGCTGAGGCAGGAGAATCGCTTGGACATGGGAGGCAGAGGTTGCAGTGAGCTGAGATCACATCACTGCACTCCAGCCTAGGGGACAAAGTGAGACTCCATCTAAAAAGGGAAAAGCCAAGCTTTTATTTCTTTTTTTCTTTTTTTTAGCAGGAGAAGCAGATGCCACACTCAGAGCAGGACTGAGGCTTCTCACCTGTATGCGTGTGCCTATGAATGGCCAAGGGAGCCTCTTTGGTGCACGCACCACACACAGTCAAAGCACCAGTAGGGCTTCTCTCCTGCATGGATAAGCTGGTGCTGGAGCAAGTTTCCCAGTCAGCAAGGGGAGTGCCACACTGTAGGCAGTGGTGGCAGTGCTCACCCAAGTGCATGTGCCTGGTGGTGGCCACAAGGGAGGGGAATGCAAACTGGCACCCACATCTGTGCACACATCCGCATATGTGCGTGGACAGCGCCCTCCTCAGGTGGAAGAGGTGGCTGCAGTCGGAGCCCTTGCAGAGCTCGTCCCCTGTGTGGGGGCAGCTGGTGCTGGACCAGGTGAGCTCTCTGGGAGAATTAGACACTGCATGACCCACAAATGTGGCTGTCGGTTCGGGACTGAACAAAGGAGGACGAACGCAGAAATGGAGACAAAGAAAAGGATCTGTTTTAAAGAAAGTGTCGGGGGCTCCTTGCTTCTAGGGAATAAGGGCCCTGAGCTTCTACAGCCCTTCATATTTATTAGGTAGAATCAACAGGGACTAAGAGGTAGTAGTTGGTCAGCTGCTTGATTTAGCACAGGCTCACATAATTGCTTTCTTTATACAACAGGCTCCAGATGTTCCTATAGATAACTACAAGGAACAACTGCACCTGGTGTGTGACTGTCCTCAGCATTCCTTCTGGTGGCAGACGCAGTTGTCAGCTTGCCAACATCCTGCATTCATGAGAACAGTTTGCTGTTTGCTCATATAGCCTCCAGTGGTATACTGAGTTGGTCACGACCCTCATTCTTTTGGCCTCCAACATCTCCCCCTTTCTGTTTTTGCATTAGTTGAATAAAGGTAATTGCAGGCTGTGCAGCTCTCAATTGCCAGCTGGTGGTCCAGCTGATTTTACAGACTGTGAACAAAAAGCAGAAACATAATAACATTTTTCCAATAATTACACAAAAGACACTGAGGTGCTGTTTGAAGTAGGTCCAAGGGTTAAGGCTCTCTAAAAGTTGCTGGAATTCTGCCCAATATTTTAAAGAGGGCTGAAATGCTTGAGTTTGCTTATTCAAGTTAAGGATTTTACTTTGTAAATCATTAATATCAAAAATAACACTGGATGTAAAAAGTTCCCTGTAAATGGGCCTTTACAAGGTTCCATGGATATTCACTTTGATTGTATTCCAAATTGGTTACACAAATATGAGTATGGTTAAAATGACAATGCAATTGCTGCTGCAACTGCAAGCTTTGTACTTGTTCTCCTAGCCACAGAACAGTAGTCTTTAACATTATCCCTTCTGTTTGTATCTCGGTGTTAATTTTATTTTGAAGCATCCATGCCTGGTTGGCTATACACGTCCAATTTTCTACATATTGAGCTATTTAAATGGAGTTATGCAGTGCTACGGAGGACACCACAACAGAGGTTATTAATGTGACTAAGGATACTATAGCAAAAATTATCATGCCTAAGGCTCTACGAGCACGATGAGTAAGCTGAGTAATAAGGAGTTTTACAAAATGCAAAGCAGGGGCCCAAGGCTTGGACAGATTTACAGGAATCCATAATCCGGGAATGCGACCTAGAATTATTAGGGTGGATATGCTGTGTGTTTGTATTGTGCTATGATTAAGGCAATTATACAGCTGACAGGAATCACAAGCCAATTGGGCATCGTTTACCTGGAGTTGGTCCTTTTTTGCTGCTAGAAAGACATAGGGATTAAAAACACAAATTGTAGGCTGGGCGCGGTGTCTCACGCCTGTAATCCCAGCACTTTGGGAGGCCAAGACGGGCAGATCACGAGTTCAGGAGATCGAGACCATCCTGGCTAACAGGGTGAAATCCCGTCTCTACTAAAAATATAAAAAAATTAGCCGGGCGTGGTGGCGGGTGCCTGTAGTCCCAGCTACTTGGGAGGCTGAGGCAGGAGAATGGCGTGAACCCGGGAGGCAGAGCTTGCAGTGAGCTGAGATCGCACCACTGCACTCCAGCCTGGGCAACAGTGCAAGACTCTGTCTCAAAAAAACAAAAAAAACACAAATTGTAAATTGAGTGGTAATATTTTCTATAAAGGTAACATTAAAACTGTGTTGAGCACTATTACTATTATTGGGTAGTGTCCCAACCCAAATGCTGCCATTCATAAACGGGAGTGCCTTCCATATCGACTCCTAATTGGACCTCTCTTTCCTTGATAATGCCATTGAGGCAAAGGTGGGCTAAAGCCCATTCCGTGCCAAGCAAGTTACGTGACAGATTGGGATTGAATCCCAGTGTGATGTAGTGAAGAGATGTTAAAGTTTTGCCACCAGTGCTAGTGAAGCTTATGCCGTGAGGTCTGATTCTCATCTCTCCCATCTAAATGACCACGGGGACCCCAGTCAATAATGTCTCCCATTAACATGGACTGTTGTCTAGCTAAGGGGCCAAGACAGTGGGCCCAAGGAGAGGGGTGAGAATTATCAAAGGGAGCCCATTCTGTATAATCAATACAATTTGGGCGATGGGGCCGGGAGTGATTAGTAACCACACCAGTAATATTAATAGAGCTAAGGCCTAATAGGTACATAATATTTCCATGGTAACTCAGCCATGCTTGGGATTGAATTGCAAGGCAACTGCAGTTGAGTGAGGTATCCTGGGTGACGCATAAAGGAAGTTCCTCCAATGGAGTGGTATAATTGATACCATTGTTCTGAGAGTCTAATTGCTCTGTGTCAGGGGAGATTAGGGGTCCTGGTGCCTATGCTCCTTGATCATGATATATCTCAGGAGGAGTGTCGTTCCAGAGTATGGTCACACTACCAGTGGGTTAGGAACATATGCCCAATATGTTTTTGCCTCTGCACAGGGAAAACATACCTCACAGGATATTACAGCTAGCATGGCCATAAACATGGAGTCTGGGGTTTTTGCCTGACCCTGGCGCTCCAGCAGTTTTTCAACTTCCTGTGTGGTTTTCTTGATCTGTCCCCATGTTATGGGGGTTGATGTCATTGTGACTCCGGTTGGCCCCCATTCTGTCTTCGCATTCAGATTCCACTGGCTCATGGCTCATACTGGGGGAACCGGACGCATGGTTGGGATCCACAGATCCCTCCAGTCCCCCATTCCATGGTCGCACACACCTAGAGGGCACCCGCACGGTTTGTCCATCTCCTGTAAGAACACAAGCATAGGCTGGGTGTGGTGGCTCATGCTTGTAATCCCAGCACTTTGGGAGGCCGAGGCAGGCAGATCACGAGGTCAGGAGATCGAGACCACAGTGAAACCCCATCTCTACTGAAAATACAAAAAATTAGCCTGGCGTTGTGGCGGGTGCCTGTAGTCCCAGCTACTCGGAGAGGCTGAGGCAGGAGAATGGCATGAACCCAGGAGGCGGAGCTTGCAGTGAGCTGAGATCATGCCACTGCACTCCAGCCTGGGTGACAGAGCGAGACTCTGTCTCAAAAAAAAAAAAAAAACCAACAACAACAACAAAAAACACAAGCATATCCTCGTCCCCATGTCAGTAAATCCACTGGGCCTTTCCATTGTCCTTCTTCTGGGGATTTCCATAATAGCTTTGGATAAACTTTCCTCTTTCCTTCTAACATTTGCCCGTGTCATTCCGCCAGAGTCTTACTATCTGTACCAGGAGTCAAAAAATTTAAAGTAAATAAGGCTAAATGTAATTTTGTTTCAGGTGGTTAGTTGGTCTCCTATTCCCCCTTTTTGTTTTTTCAACATACATTGTAATGTTTGATGTGCCTGCTCTATGATTCCTTGTCCTCGAGGGTTATGAGGAATTCCTGTTTTATGAGTGATTGCCCATAACTGTAAAAATTTTGAAAAGCATGACTAACATAAGCAGATCCATTGTCAGTTTTTAATTGTTTAGGAACCCCCATATGGGCGAATAATCACAAACAATGTCGTCAGACACGGACAGCCATTTCCCCTGTTTGACATGTGGCATGTAACATATGAGAGTAGGTGTCTATAGTCACATGAACATAGCTGAGTGTGCCAAAGGCTGCTATATGTGTAACATCCATCTGCCAGATTTCATTTGGAGCCAAGCCTCATGGGTTGCATCCTTCCATGGGTGCAACACCAGGGACATGCTGGCAAGTAGGGCAGGCTTGCACAATAGCTGGAGCCTGGCTGCGAGGCAGATGAAACATACGAGTAAGGGCAGAGGTGTTTTGATGCAATAATGCATGAGAAACTTGGGCTTGTTGAAATACAGAACTGATCAGTTTATCTGCTCCATCATTACCTAGAGATAGTGGTCTAGGGAGTTGTGTGTGAGAGTGGATATGAGAAATATCAAAAGGAACAGCACGAGAGAAAATAGCTTGTTGAAGTCTTAGAAATAAGTTAAACAGCTCTGGTTCTAGGCTGCTTTTAATAGTGGCAGTTTCAATGCGACTGGCTACATTCACAACATAGGCTGAATCACAGACAATGTTAATAGGAGATGAAGCGGTGAGCTGTAAAACCTGAATAACTGCCATTAGTTCTGAGCATTGAGCTGAAACTCCAGAGGTCTTTATTGTTTGAGTATGCTTAGGTCCATAAATAGCTGCTCGGCCTTTGGAAGAGCCATCAGTGAAATAAGTCTGTCCGCCTGGAGTAGGCTTGTGATGAGTAATCACAGGAAGGATAAAAGGGTGAGCTTTATCAAATTGCAAAATTTTGTCTGATAGATAACGGTTAACTATTATTTCTACAAAATCTGTGAGAGCAATTTGCCATGCAGTCAACATTTCCCATGCTGCTGCCTGTTGTTGGGAATCCAAGGGAACAATAATTTTTTTCTGGATAATATCCCATAAGTATTTTTGATCTCTGCCTACCTATTGTTATAAGTTGAGTAATTAAAGACAAACTTGCAAAGATTTCACTGTCTGATTGGATTTTTAAAAAAGCCATTCTAATACTACTACAGATTTGTCTATGAATTGGCCTAAAGGTCTTGTTGGAGAATGGAGGGTAGGAAGAATAAACAGAAGCAAAGCCTTTTGTGGCTGTAGCCAGGAGGCATGTCGTTGCTGAAGCACCTGCTCTACAAGCTGTAACTCAGCTTCTGCCTCCTTAATAAGTTGCAGAGGAGAGCTTAATGAAGAGTCTCCTTGGAGGGTCTGGTAAAGCTGTTTGAGTTAATAAGTAGCAATACCTAGCATTGGGTGCAGCCAGTTAATATCCCCTAATAATTGTTGGAAATCGTTCAGAATTTGTAATCTGTCCTTACGGAGAGCTACTTTTTGAGGCCAAACACTTCTTTCAGTAACAATAGTGCCTAAGTACTGGTATGGGGAGGTTGTTTGCACCTTTTCTGGAGCTACTTTGAGATTCCATTTAGTCAAAGCCCGTTTTATTTCTCTGAATAACTGATGTAAAATTTAATCTGTAGAAGCAGCCAAAAGAATATCATCCATATAATGAATGATGTAGGCAGTGGGAAACATATTCCAAGGCCGCTTTAATGTCTGTCCTGCAAAATGCTGACATAACATAGGACTGTTGAGCATGCCTTGGGGTATAACTTTCCATTGATAATGAGAGACAGGCTCTTTTTGATTAACAGAAGGCACAGAGAAGGCAAATCGAGGCCTATCCTGCTCATGTAATAGTATAATAACAACAACAACAAAAAAAACAGTCTTTAAGATCTATTACTACAAGAGGCCAGTCTCTTGGAATCACTGCCGGGGATGGCAGACCTTGCTGTAATGCACACATTGGTTTAATCTGTGCATTAATAGCTGTCAGATCATGAAACAGTAGGAAACATTTTCCTAACTTTTTTGGAATTACAAATACTGATGAATTCCAGGGACTGACTCTTCAATATGTCTTGCATCCAGTTGCTCTTTTACTAGCTGATGGAGTTGAGTTAGTTTCTCCTGTGATAGGGGCCATTGATCCACCCATACAGGCTTGTCAGTCAGCCACCCTAGCGGCAAAGCATTGGGTGGAGGAGAAATATTAATGACCCCTGTCAGAAATCCTGACGACCTAGCCCTTTTCTATCTGTTTGCCCAGTTATTGATATAGGATCAGGGTTTCCCTGTTGGGACTTTCCTAAGCCTTTTCCGTTCTGATATCCCATTTTCTTTAACATTTTAAATCCTGGATTGTCAATAGTTTCATTTGTAAGTCTCATATCCTGTGCTGTAAGTAAATCTTGGCCCCATAGGTTAACAGCTATATTTGCAACATAAGGTTGAAAAGTACACGACTGTCCATCTGGTCTGAGACGGGTAAAATCTCAGCACTCTGTTGAACACTTTGAACTTTTCCTACTCCCACTAAGGATGTAGAAGTTAATTGCAGGGGCCAGGATGGGGGCCAATTGTTTTTAGATATTACTGACACATCAGCTCCCATATCCATAAGCCCATAGAACTTTTTTCCTTTAATTTGCACTGTACAGGTGGGTCGATTAGAAGCTATCGTTTGGGGTAAATTTCCCTTCTGGTTGTACTCCCAAATCCTTGATTCCCTCATTTCTCCTTATGTGGAGAAGGGTAATTTGCAGGCAATAGGCAGTAGTTGTATATTCTCCTGGTTCAAAAACCCACAGATCTTGTGACATTACCACTACTTGAATTTCTCCTTCATGATCAGAGTCAATTCCTGGGACTATAGTAATGCCCTGTAAGTTGAGACGGCTTCTACCCAAAATTAATCCCATATATCCTGTTGGCAAAGGACTCCAAATGCCAGTGGGAATTTTAGTGGTTTTTGTCTCCTCTGACTAACGTAACCCATTCTCTGACTGGGAGAGCTATTCCTGCGCTTCCAGGTGTTCCTGGGGAGAGGGAATCAATGTTCCTCCGGAGATCCACCCCTGAAGTCGGGTTGTGGCCTGGATGGGGAATGCCCTCATTGTTTGAGGGGCCTGGGTCCAGGCCCCCTTCTCATTTCCCAATGTGGGCGGTCCCATTCTGATGAAATTGTGAATGGCATTGATTAGCCCAATGATTTCCTTTATTGCAATGAGGGCAAAGTCCTGGCGTTTTTTTCTGTTGGGGGTAGGGTACTGCATTATAAGATCCCTTCTGCCCAGAGGTCTGATGGCACTCCTTTTTGAAACGTCTGATTTTTCCACAATTATAACATTTTCCCCTTTTAGAGTTTGACCCTTGGCCCTTTCTAGATTTGGCCACTAATAAATTAGCCGTTGCTTGAGCTAACATTGTAGAGCGATGAAGCTCAGTTCCCACATTTTGACAGGCTTTGAGAAAATTTCCTAAGTTTTTTGTACATCTTACAGAAGCCAGTGCACGTTTACAATCCTCATTTGCATTCTCAAAAGCTAAAGTTAAAGTTAGCATCTCTGCAGCCGCGGTATGAGGAATCTGACACCTCACTGCCTCTAGTAATCATGCAAGAAAATGTGCAGAGGGCTCCTGCAACCCTTGCATGGCACGTAAAAAAGATTGTATTGGGACCCCCTTCCTCTGGAATTGTGGCCAACGTGTGTTTAGCGGCCAGTGCACACTGCTGATAAGCAGCTTCTGGGAGTGCCATTTGATGTTGCAGGTCTGAATAAGGGCCATTACCCAACAGCATATCCTCTGTAATGTCCCTGTGTCCAGCAGCACGATTCTGTCTAGCCTGGTCTGCACACAGTTCTTGCCAATTTAAATTCCATGTCAGGTATGAACTAGCAGACAAACAAGTGCAGGCCAAATGCTTTACATCAAAGGGTGGAAGGCGCATAGCACCAAATACAGATTCTAGCAATCCTAAAGTAAATGGGCTCTGTACTCCATTATTCAGTACATGAGCTTTTAATTCCTTCAACAACTTAAACTCTAGTGGGGTGTGTTCATGAATAAACTGCTGTGGATTATTTGGATCCAGCCTTATAGAAATAGGAAAAGCACAAGGTTCGAAGGGCTCTCCAGCTATGGCAGCAGAGCGTAGAATTCTTTGTTTTGGGGTCTCTATTTCTGTTACTGAAGGAGACAGTACACGTGTGTCCACTACTGGAGGGGGCGGTACAGGCCAATTTTCATCCTCCCTCTCCTGTTTATTATTTCAATGGGCGCTGTTGGAGGGACAAAAGATTCTTTTGAAATTTGAGATTCAGAACATGGCTCCTGCTGTCCGGCAGAATAAGAAGGAGACAATGGCAGGAGGACAGTATGGAATAAAGTCAAAACAGAAGGATCAACTTTAAGACCTTTTTGATAAGCCTGTTTTAATCCTTCCCCTACACTGTCCCAATTTTCCGCATCGAGATGCCTGTCTGTGGAAACCATGGGTTATGCATAACAACCTCCTGCAGCAGCTTAGTGTTTGAGAACTAACCTGAGCACCAGATTGTTTAAGTAAAACTTTAAGCAACTGCACATAATGTTGCTCCTCAGTTGACAAATTCTGCCCCACGTTACCCTGATTCACAAACTTCCCACTCCCAGTATCTCTTTAGGGCACTGACCTTATATCCTCTGCCAGCAGATTTGTCCTGGGGTTTCTCACTCATCTGGTCAGTTTCAGTTTCTCTGCTCCAGCAGATCTTCTTCCTTCACGTCCCTGATTAGGCACCACTTGTGGCTGTTGGTTTGGGACTGAATGAAGGAGGACAAACGCAGAAATGAAGACAAAGACAAAAGGATCTGTTTTAAGGAAGGGGTCAGGGGGCTCCTTGCTTCTAGGGAATAAGGGCCCTGAGCTTCTACAGCCCTTCGTATTTATTAGGTAGAATCGACAGGGAGGACGAGGCAACGGTTGATCAGCTGCTTGATTTATCACAGGCTCACATAATTGCTTTCTTTATACAACAGGCTCCAGATGTTCCTATAGATAACCACAAAGAACACTTCACCTACGGCATGACCATCCTCAGCATTCCTTCTGGCGGCAGATGCAGTTGTCAGCTTGCCCACATCCTGCATCCATGAGAACAGTTTGCTGTTTGCTCATATAGCCTCCAGTGGTATACTGAGTTGGTCACAACCCTCATTCTTTCGGCCTCCAACACACAAACATGGGGACGGTCACCAGAGTGGATTTCCTGGTATTGGACCAACAGTGAGATGGAGGCAAAGAGCTGCCCACGGTCAAGACATGCCTACGGCTTCTCCCTCATGTGTGTGCCTGTGGGTGGCCAGAGCCCCACTTGTTCGAACACAGTGGCCACTCTGGGGGCAGCAGCAGGGTGTCTCATCTCTGTGGATGAATGAGCGGATGCTGGAGCAGACCCTTGCTTTGAGGGGGTGGGCAGTTACAGGGAAGGGCTGCTCCAGCAAGTGGATTTGGAGGGGCTGCCCAGGAAGAGGAGGGAGCCAAAGCCACTGGAGCCTGAGTGCACTGTCACCTCATGGTTGAGGAGCCCCCAGGCCATGTCTGGCCACAGGCCCTGCAGATAGGGCCTTTGGCTTCTCCAGGGGTCCTGCTACTTGTGACATACTGACCACTTCCTCACACAGGCCACATTCAGTTTCTTGACCCCCATTTCTTTTTTTTAAGACAGAGTCTTGCTCTGTCGCCCAGGCTGGAGTGCAGTGGCGTGATCTCGGCTCACTGCAAGCTCCGCCTCCCAGGTTCACGCCATTCTCCTGCCTCAGCCTCCCCAGTAGCTGGGACTACAGGTGCCCGCCACAAGGCCGGCTAATTTTCTGTATTTTTAGTAGAGACGGGGTTTCACCGTGCTAGCCAGGATGGACTCGATCTCCTGACCTCGTGATCTGCCCGTCTCGGCCTCCCAAAGTGCTGAGATTACAGGCGTGAGCCACCGCGCCCGGCCATTGACCCCCATTTATTTATTATTTGTTTGTTTGGTTGTTGTTTCTATTTTTTCCTTTGCATTTTTTTAAGTTTATTTTTTAATTCTCTTCTTTTTTCTTGTTTCGCTTTTGGCCATCATTTCTTCCTTCTGTTCTTTCTTATTCTTGTTTTGCAGAGACAAGATAATTGGAACTAAGAATTATAAGGTGGTCTGGGCATGGCAGCTCAACTTACTGGAACCCTGGAATTGGAGACCATCCCGGCCAACCTGGTGAAACCCCGTCTCTACTAAAAATACAAAAATCAGCCTGGCAGCCAGGCGCGGTGGCTCACGCCTGTAATCCCAGCACTTTGGGAGGCTGAGGCGGGTGGATCACGAATTCAGGAGATCAAGACCATCCTGGCTAACATGGTGAAACCCCGTCTCCACTAAAAATATTTTTAAAAATAGCCAGGCATGGTGGCAGGCGCCTGTAGTCCCAGCTACTCGGGAGGCTGAGGCAGGAGAATGGTGTGAACCCAGGAGGCGGAGCTTGTAGTGAGTGGAGATCACGCCACTGCACTCCAGCCTAGGGTACAGAGCGAGACTCCATCTCAAAAAAAAAAAAAAGAAATCAGCCCAGCATGGTGGCGGGTGCCTATAATCCCAGCTACTTGGGAGGCTGAGGCAGGAGAATCCCTTGAACCCGGGAGATGGAAGTTGCAGTGAGCTGAGAACATGCCACTGCACTCCAGCCTGGGTGACAGAGCAAGACTCTGTCTCGAAAAAAAAAAAAAAAGACCAGGCGCGGTGGCTCACGCCTGTAAACCTAGCACTTTGGGAGGCTGAGGCGGGTGAATCACCTGAGGTCAGGAGTTCGAGACCAGCATGGTGAAACTCCATGTCTACTAAAAATACAAAAAAATTAGCAGGGCATGGTGGCACACACCTGTAATCCCAACTACTCGGGAGGCTGAGGAAGGAGAGTTACTTGAACCCGGGAGGTGGAGGTTGCAGTGAGCTGAGATGGCACCACTGTACTCCAGCCTGTGCAATGGGAGTGAGACGCCATCTCAAAAAAAAAAAAAAAAAAAAAAGGCCGGGCGTGGTGGCTCACGCTTGTAATCCTAGCACTTTGGGAGGCCGAGGTGGGCGGATCACGAGGTCAGGAGTTCGAGACCAGCCTGACCAACATGGTAAAACCCTGCCTTTACTAAAAATATAGAAAAATTAGCCAGGCGTGGTGGTAATCGCATCTACTCAGGAGGCTGAGGCAGGAGAATCGCTTGAACCCAGGAGGCGGAAGTTGCAGTGAGCCGAGATTGTGCCACTGCACTCCAGCCTAGGCAACAGAGTGAGACTCTGGTCTCAAAACAAACGAACAAACAAAAACGTAAATGTGGGCATTGCCATGGAAACAGATTTCTCAAAAAACTGATATCTCAACAGAACCCCAGAAACAGCTGTTTCCATCCTAAATGCCAAGTCACCAAATTATTTACATACAGAAAGTTCTGGGAAGCTTCTAATGTCAAGCTACGCCATGAGAAATAAGGGCAGGCCCACAAACCTGGCTCGGTGAACTCTGGCCCCTCTGAGGCCAGCCAGGAGGAGCACACAGATCTTCTAAGCTTAGGGTATTCAAAGCCAAAATTCAGGCTAGTCACAGTGGCTCACACCTTAATCCTAGCACTTTGGGAGGCTGAGGCAGTGGATTGCTTGAGGCCAGGGGTTCAAGACCAGCCTAGCCAACATGGCGAAATCCCATGTCTACTAAAAATATAAAAATTAGCCAGGTGTGGTGGCACACGTCTGTAATTCCAGCTACTCAGGAGGCTGAGGCAGAAGAATTGCATGAGCCTGGGACACAAAGGTTGCAGGGAGCCGAGATGGCGCTACTGCACTTCCATGCCCACTCCAGCTTGCATGTCTCAGAAAAAAAAAAAAAAAGGAAGAAAGAAGGAAAAAAGAATAAGGCCTACTTTAAGAGATACCAAGTGAAATTTAGAAGACAACAAGAGGGTAAAACCACATTACTATGCTCGGAAATGCTTGGTGATAAAGGATAAAAATAAATACAACACATCCAAATACAGGATGATCGTGTGTGCAACAAACAGAGATATCATTTGTCAGATTGCTTATGCCTGTGTAGAAGGGAATATGATAGGCCGGGCATGGTAGCTCATGCCTGTAATCCCAACACTTTGGGAGGCCAAGGTGGGCAGATCACGAGGTCAGGAGTTTGAGACCAGCCTGACTAACATGGTGAAACTCCGTTTCTACTAAAAATATAAAAATTAGCCAGGCATGGTGGCGTGTGCCTGTAATCCCAGCTACTCAGGAGGCTGAGGCAGGAGAATCACTTGAACCCAGGAGGTAGAGGTTGCAGTGAGCCGAGATCGCACCACTGCACTCCAGCCTGAGCGACAGAGCAAGACTCCATCTCAAAAATATAAAAAATAAAGCAATAGGGCGTGGTGGCGTGCGCCTGTATTCCCAGCTACTCAGGAGGCTGAGAGGGATCACTTGAGCCCAAAGGTTTGAGGCTACAATGGGCTATGACTGTGCCACTGCATTCCAGCCTGGGCAACTAAGGGAGACCCTGTCTCTCAAATAAAACAAACAAACAAATTAATAAAGCAATTGTTTTCAGCAGGGATGA
This sequence comes from Homo sapiens, assembly GCF_000001405.40. Classification (NCBI taxonomy): domain Eukaryota; kingdom Metazoa; phylum Chordata; class Mammalia; order Primates; family Hominidae; genus Homo; species Homo sapiens. Next base: position 30,627,674 of record NC_000016.10, read on the forward strand.
TTAGGGTGAGGCTGTGGTCAATATTCAAAAATATATACTTTCCTCACCTTCATTATAATGGCAACTATTAGAAACATCAAGCCAGGTACCGTGGCTCATGCCTGTAATCCCAACACTTTGGGAGGCCGAGGCGGGCGGATCACAAGGTCAGGAGTTTGAGACTGGCCTGGCCAACATGGTGAAACCCCGTCTCTACTAAAAATACAAAAATTAGCCGGGCGTGGTGGCCGGCACCTGTAATCCCAGCTACTCAGGAGGCTGAGTTAGGAGAATTGCTCGAACCCGGGAGGTGGAGGTTGCAGTGAGCCGAGATCACACCACTGCACTCCAGCCTCGGTGACAGAGCAAGACTCCGTCTTAAAAAAAAAAAAAAAGAACTATTAACACTCAGAAATAAGTGCTGATGATAATGTGGAGAAATTGAAACTCTTGTGCACTGTTGATGGGAATGCAAAAATGGTGCAGCTATTGTGGAAAACAATATAGTAGTTTCTCAAAAAAGTAAAAGCAGAAACACAGAATTACGATATGATCTGGCAATTCCAGGTACTAGGCAAAAGAATTGAAAGTAGAGTCTCAGCCAGGCACGGTGGCTCATGCCTGTAATCCCATCATTTGGGAGGCCAAGATGGGCGGAGCACGAGGTCAGGAGATCGAGACCATCCTGGCTAACATGGTGAAACCCCGTCTCTACTAAAAATACAAAAAATTAGCCGATCGTGGTGGCGGGCGCCTATAGTCCCAGCTACTTGGGAGGCTGAGGCAAGAGAATGGCGTGAACCCGGGAGGCGGAGCTTGCAGTGAGCCGAGATCGCGCTACTGCACTCCAGCCTGAGAGACAGAGCGAGACTCTGTCTCAAAAAAAAAAAAAAAAAAAAAATTAGCTGGGCGTGGTGGTGCGCACCTGTAGTCCCAGCTACTCGGGAGACTGAGGCAGGAGAATCGCTTGAACCTGGGAGGTGGAGGTTGCAGTGAGCCGAAATCGGGCCACCGCACTCCAGCCTGGGCGACAGAGGGAAACTCCGTCTCAATAAAAAAAAGAAAAAAGAAAACGATTGTCTTTGCTTTACTCTTTCCTCGGTGCTTCTCCTCCACCCAAAGGAACAGATTGTCTTTTTACTCCTAGAGGCGTACAGCGGACCCTCATTCCATAATTCACCCCCTTTACAGGCTATGAGGCACAGGAAATGGAATAGGTTCATTCGTAGTTCAGAGGGAAGAGGTCAGGCCTTGGAATCAGAACCTCCTTTGAACCCTGGCTCCACCTGGCGGCAGCTGTTGGAAGTAAGCAAGTGAGGGGTTCATCTGTGAAGCTGGGATCATGCTACCTATTTCACAGAAATGTCATGTGAGATTTAAATGCATTACCTGTGTCAAGTATGGGGTCTATGGTAGGCAGTTATTTCCAAAGGGTTATCTGAGGGAGATAGAGCTTGGCCAACAAGAAGGCTGCTTCCTAGTATGTTCTGCTATCTCTAAGCAGTGAGACACACTACAGTATACATTCTTGGAGAAGCCTTGAAGGTTGATGATCATGTTCTTGGGATGCAGCGGCCGTGGTGACCAACATAATAAGCCTCAGCATTCGCATTGTAATTGAGCTCATTCAAGCAAAGCTATCTTCAGTAGGGACTGTCCCGTCTAGAGAGCATGCACATTTTCATTTTACCCGTCCTCAAACTGATCCTTTCCTCATTATAATAGTAAAAACACACCCCTGGGTGGAGATTTAAGATGCTGAATGACGAGGAATGAACAAGCATGTACAGCTACTGTGCATGTGCACCCAGAGGACCACCCAGAACAAGCTTACTAGTGACACCTCTTCCCATCCCCTTATGAATAATCGTGTAAGACTCCCATAAAGGGACTCTTCCTAGTGTCAGTCTTTGCTGTCTCATCCTTACCAGCAGCCCGCCCAGAATCCTCACGCTCTCAGGATGTCCTGTCTATTCTGCACCTAACTTTTTTTTTTCTTTGAGACAGAGTCTCGCTCTGTCACCCAGGCTGGAGTGCAGAGATGCGATCTCACCTCACTACAACCTCCGCATCCCGGGCTCAAGCAATCCTCCCACCTCAGCCTCCCGAGTATCTGGGACTACAGGTGTGTGCCACCACACACAGCTAATTTTTCTATTCTTAGTAGAAACGGGTTGCCCAGGCTGTGGCATCTAACTTACAAAATATTTTTTCTTTTGCAATAAATTACTATATGCTACACTTTTTTTGTTGTGTCTCTTGTCTAAATTCTTTTAAACCAAGAAGAACAGATATCACAACAGCCATCAATAGAAGTACAGTCAGCTTCAGTGTTCCATTCCTTGGCTATTAGGGTATCTCCCATTTCCATCACTCTCTCAGGCTGATTCATTTAGACTTCTAGAAGATATTACCCTCAATCTGGATAAAAAAACTGAGATCCCAACTCGTGCTACTGTGTGTGTGTGTGTGCGTGCATGTGTGTGTGTGAGAGAGAGAGACAGAGACAGACACAGGGTCTCACTCCATCGCTAGGCTGCAGTGTAGTGGTGCAATCACAGTTCACTGCAGCCTCGACTTCCTAGGGTCAAGTGATCCTCCCACCTCAGCCTACCAAGGAGCTAGGACTACAGGCATGCACCACCATGCCCGGCTAATTTTTGCATTTTTTGTAGGGACCTGGTTTCATCATGTTGCCCAGGCTGGTCTCGAACTTCAGGGCTCAAGTGATCCTCCTGCCTCAGCCTCCCAATCCCTGGGATTAAGGCATGAGCCACCGTGCCCGGCCCATTCTAATCTTTTTAAATGACTGGCACAGGAAACACTGATCTTCACCTTGGAGGGATTCCAGGCATGGACTGACCTTCACAACTCTCCCACTCCAACCAAAAGCAATGTACCTAAAGCTTCAAACACTTAAAGTCATCTTTGGGCCCCTTTCCAAAGAGCTTATGTTTCCTTGAGAATTCCCATTTACAAAGCAAACTTAACCTCTGCTCCTCACTGGCAAGAGAGCCTTTCTGCTTTAATTTCCAAGGATAATAATTTCTCCCTCTTAGGGTTGTCACGAAGATTAAGTGTGATAATTAAAGGGACCCTCTTTAAAAAGAATGTGGTACAAGACCTGAGTTCAGTTATATGCTAAACAAAATATAGCTTTCCTCCCTACCTGTACTTTGCAGCCCTCTCTCTCTGTATCATTCACAGGGAAAGGGGTGAGTGAAGAAAAGATTTTAGTTGTGTTACATTTATTTATTTATTTATTTATTTATTTATTTATTTATTTAGAGGCAGAATCTCACTCTGTCGCCCCGGCTGGAGTGCAGTGGTGGGATCTCGGCTCACTGCAACCTCCGCTTCCCAGCTTCAAGTGATTCTCCTGTCTCAGCTTCCTGAGTAGCTGGGACTACAGGTGCATGCCAACACGCCCAGCTACTTTTTGTATTTTTAGTAGAGATGGAGTTTCGCCATGTTGGTCAGGCTGGTCTCGAACTCCTGACATCAGGTGATCTGCCCATCTCGGCCTCCCAAAGTGCTGAGATTACAGGCGTGAGCCACCGTGCCTGGCCAGTTGTGTTACTTTTAGAAACCCATTGATATACAAATAAATAAACAAAAAAGAAGAAGGAAATAGAAACCCACTGTTATATTCCTCAAGCCTGGAAGAAGCCTGGTGCCACCTGGAATCTAAGAGAATGGAAATGCCTAGAAAAGGTACTGAAATTGCCCCAGACAGTTTCTGTAGTGGGAGATCTTTGCAAATGATAGGCCCTGAGAAGTCTGACTTGAGGCATACAAGGGTTCTCTTGTCTCAACAGGATCTTTTGGAACCTTCCTTCTCCTTGGGATCCCCAACTTCGGATACCACAGATCTCAGCTTTTTTTGTCCCATCCAAGAGACAAGGTGGTTGGCCAGGCATGGTAGCTCACACCTATAATCCCAGCACTCTGAGAAGCTGAGGCAGGCAGATCACAAGGTCAGGAGTTCGAGACCAGCCTGGCCAATATGGTGAAATCCCGTCTCTGCTAAAAATACAAAAATTAGCTAGGTGTGGTGGCAGGAGCCTATAGTCTCAACTACTTGGGAGGCTGACGCAGGAGAATCGCTTGAACCTGGGAGGCGGAGGTTGCAGTGAGCCGAGATCGCCCCATTGCATTCCAGCCTGGGCAACAGAGCAAGACTCTGTCTCAAAAAAAATTAAAAAAATTTAAAAGGTGGTTTGGACCTCTTAGATCCTGAGGGAGAAGAAATTAGGCAGAGCAGGTGTAGGAGACCCAGAGGAAGTCCCTGGTGGAAGAGGGGAACAACTCTGACAGGTCCTCAACTAGGAAGTTGGGGATACTTATCGAACTTTTTTTTCCTTCTTAAGAGCCAGGGTTTCACTCTGTTGCCCAGGCTGAAGTGCAATGGCATGATCATAGCTCTCTGTAACCTCAAATTCCTGGGCTCCAGCCATTCTCCTATCTTGGCTCCCCAAAGTGCAAGGATTACAGGCCCGAGCCAACACACCCAGCCAAAACTCTAAAATTTAAACCTTTATTTTAGCCTCAAGCAAGTATTCTGGACCTAGAGACACTGAATTGAAAGAAAACCCTCATTAGGAACTAGGCCTCATTATCTTGCCTTATGTATTATTTTTCTCTTGTAACAATATTGTGAGTATAATAATTATATTGTAATGTATTACTGTGTTAAAAGCATCAGTTTCTTAAATGCAAACACTAAAAATATATAGCTATTTTTGTATTCCTCTTTTGCTTTTGTTGTGTATGGACATGGGGTCTCACTGTGTCACTAGGCTGGGGTGCAATGGTGCAATCACAGCTCACTACAGCCTCAAACTCCTGGGCTCAAGAGATCCTCCCGCCTCAGCCACCTGAGGAGCTAGGACCACAGGCGCCCGCCACCATGCCCAGCTATTTTTTTTTTTTTTCATTTTTGTTTTGTTTTGTTTTGTTTTATTTTTTGAGATGGAGTCTCGCTCTGTCGCCTAGGCTGGAGTACAGTGGCGCAATTTCAGTTCACTGCAACTTCCACCTCCCAGGTTCAAGCGATTCTTCTGCCTCAGCCTGTGGGATTAGAGGCTCCCATGACCATGCCTAGCTAATTTTTGTATTTTTAGTAGAAACAGGGTTTCACCATGTTGGCCAGGCTGGTCTCCAACTCCTGGCCTCAAGTGATCTGCCTGCCTGAGCCTCCCAAAGTGCTGGGATTAGAGGCATGAGCCACCGTGCCCAGCCTCGTTTGGTTTTTTATTTTTTAAATGTTTGGTTTTTTTATTTTTTTATTTTTTTTGAGACAAAGTCTCGCTCTGTCGCCCGGGCTGGAGTGCAATGGCATGATCTCGGCTCACTGCAACCTCCACCTCCCGAGTTCAAGGGATTCTCCTGTCTCAGCCTCCCAAGTAGCTGGGATTACAGGCATCCACTGCCACGCTGGGCTAATTTTTTTGTATTTTTAGTAGAGAAAAGGTTTTTACCATGTTGGCCAGGCTGGTTTCAAACTCCTGACCTCAAGTGATCCGCCCGCCTTGGCCTCCCAAACTGCTGGGATTACAGGTGTGAGCCACCGCGCCCAGCAATATTTTATTTGCTTTTGTTTTTGTTTTTTTGAGACAGAGTTTCACTCTTGTTGCCCCAGCTGGAGTGCAATGGCACGATCTTGGCTGGCTGCAACCTCCACCTCCTGGGTTCAAGCGATTCTCCTGCCTCAGCCTCCTGAATCTCTGGTATTACAGGCGCCTGCCACCACGCCCAGCTAATTTTTGTTATTGTTAGTAGAGACGGGATTTCGCCATGTTGGCCAGGCTGGTCTCGAACTCCTGACTTCAGGTGATCCACCTGCCTTCACCTCCCAAAGTGCTGGGATTACAGGCGTGAGCTGCTGCGCCTGGTGTGTTTGAGTTTATACTGGGTAGGGAGTCATGGTTAACGCCTATAATCTCACCCAGAGTCTGAGATGGGAGGCTCCGTTGAGTCCTGGAGTTCGAAACCCCGTCACTACAAAAAAATATATATAAAGAAAAAAAAATTAAGCGGGCGCGGTGTGGCACCTGTGGTCCCAGCAACTCGGGAGGCTGAGGTGGGAGGATCACTTGAGCCAGGGAAGTCGAGGCTGCAGTGAGCCAAGATCACGCCGCTGCATTCTAGAATGGGCGACAGCCTAAAAAAAGTCAGCCTTAACAATAACAAAAAAGACAATGGCTAGGGCCCCTCCCAACCTTTCATGCCCTACCCGGAGCCCCTGCGCGGCCCTTACATTTAAAAGCCCCTTTGGGAGGCTGAGGTTGGCGGATCACTGGAAGTCAGGGGTTCAAGACCAGCCTGGCCAATATGGTGAAATCCCGTCTCTACTTAAAATACAAAAATTAGCCTGGCGTGGTGGCGGGAGCCTGTAATCGCAGTTACCCTGGAGGCTGAGGCAGGAGAATTGCTTGAACCCGAGAGACGGAAGTTGCACTGAGCCGAGATCGCGCCACTGCACTCCAGCCTGGGTGACAGGGCGAGACAACGTCTCAAAAAAAAAAAAAAAAAGCCCTAAAGGACCACTCTTGGATCTGATCCTGAGAAAGTCCCTTAGAAAACATGGCGACGCCAGCCTCACCACCTGTTTCCAAAAGCAGTGTGACGCCCTTCGCTCCCTTAGTCAAGCTAATCTTACTAAATAAGGAACAAGCTTCCCCTGAGGCTTGCCCTTCAGCGCACTGGCACTGCCCACCCGAACGGGCGTCACGGATCCTGGTCAGTCTCTAGGATCGCGCTCGCTGATAGGACGCTTCTGGTCGAACGTCCAAACAAGGTGTGCGGTGATTGGGCCGCGGAGGGCGGGGCGTTTGAACGGCGCGTGCGTGGGAGTTCCCCAGGCCGGCGTCATTAGGATCCTGGTGGGCGGTGGGACTTGGGTTCAAAGAAGACCAAGCAGGCAGACGTGTTCGGGGGCCCGCGGGTTCCGAGACTGGAGACTGGACCTTTGGCTGTCCCCACGTGCATTCTAGGTCAACGGTGCGGTGGCAGAACCCTGGGGCTCTCCCCCGCGGAACTCGGCCCTGGCCGAGGCCCCAACCACGCTAGTAGGAGGAGGCCGAGCATCCCTCCTCGAAATCGCGAAATCCCGGCCCGACAATGTAGCCACGGAGTCGAAAGCCGCGTGCGAACTTGGCACTCACAAAGCCTAGATAACCGTCTATTTTCTCCTGTAAAATAGGAGGGATGGACCCCCACAGATCATTGTAAAAGGTTCTTACAAAGAAAAATCCTCCTGGACTGGGCACGGTGGCTCACGCCTGTAATCCCAGCACTTTGAGCGGATCACACTTCGAGACCAACCTGACCAACATGGAGAAACCCCGTCTCTACTAAATTAGCCGGGCGTAGTGGCGCATGCCTGTAATCCCAGCTACTCTGGAGGCTGAGGCAGGAGAATCGCTTTAACCCGGGAGGCAGAGGTTGTGGTGAGCCGAGATCGCGCCATTGCACTCCAGCCTGGGCAACAAGAGCGGAATTCTGTCTCAAAAAAAAAAAAGAGAGAAAAGAAAAATCCTGGAAGTCAAGTAAAAATGTGTGAAGGTGTTTTATAAAATATGAAATATCTAGAATACACAAATCTATAGAAGGACTCGGGGAAAGGGGAGTGAATGCTAATAAATACAGAGGTTCTTTCTGGGGTGATGAAAATGTACTAGTACTGATTGTGGCCGCGCTAGCACAAAAATCCGTTTCATTGGCCAGACGCTATGGCCCAGGGAAAAAAAGAAGGACTAGGGGGAATGGGGAGTGAATGCTAATGAATATGCAGTTTCTTTTTGTGGTCATGAAAGTGCACTAAAATTTTCATGCTAGCACAAAAATTGAATTGTACACTTCAAATAGGTGTATTTGTGATGTGCATTCTAGCTCCATAAAACTCAAAATGTGTGAAAATTCTTTGTAACTTTACTAAAAATTGGGGGCACTCTATAGTTTACAAAACTATCCCCATCCAGGCAGGGCACGGTGGTTCACACCTGTAATCCCAGCACTCTGGGAGTCTGAGGCGGGCGGATCACCTGAGGTGAGGAGTTCAAGACCAGCCCGACCAACATTGTGAAACCCCGTCTCTACTAAAAATACAAAATTAGCCGGGCGTGGTGACGCATGCCTGTAATCCCACTTACTCGGGAGGCTGAGGCAGGAGAATCGCTTGAACCCGGGAGGCAGAGGTTGCAGTGAGCTGAGATCGCACCATTATACTCCAGCCTGGGCAACAAGAACAAAACTCCGACTCAAAAAAAAAAAAATTCTCCATCTAGTCCTCTGAGGTGAGCAGCATTTTGTTTGTTTGTTTGTTTTGTTTGTTTTGAGATGGAGTCTCGCTCTTGTTGCCTAGGCTGGAGTGCAATGATGCGATCTCAGCTCACTACAACCTCTGCCTCCCAGGTTCAAGCGATTCTCCTGCTTCAGCTTCCCGTGTAGCTGGGATTACAGGTGCGCACTACCATGCTTGGCTAATTTTTGTATTTTTAGTAGAGACAGGGTTTCACCATGTTGGCCGGGCTAGTCTCGAATTCCTGACTTCAGGTGATCCACCCACCTCAGCCTCCCAAAGTGCTGGGAGTACAAGTGTGAGCCACCGAGCCCTGCTTATTTATTTATTTATTTATTTAGAGACAGAGTCTCTGTCATCCAGGCTAGAGTGCAGTGGCACTATTTCAGCTTACTACAGCCTCCGCCTCCCAGAGCTAAAGCAATTCTCCTGCCTCAGCCTCCTGAGTAGCTGGGATTACAGGCATGTGCCACCACACCCGGCTAATTTTTGTATTTTTAGCAGGTGGCGTTTCGCCATGTTGGCCAGGCTGGTGGTGGCACAATTGGAGGGCAGAAGGGACAGTAAAAGATGCCCTAGAAGCTCAGAAGAAGGAAAGACCTCAGAAGGCTTCGACGCATGGGTGGGGCTGCTGTTGCAGCTGGACCTTCAAGGATGATAGAATCTAAACAAATGCAGTAGTAATGAAAGAGGTAAAAGATGGGAAACCATGGAAAATATACAGAGGTAATAATTAGATGAAGCCCCCACGTGGTGACTTGTGCCTGAAATCACAAGTGTGCCCAGAAACGGGGCCTCACTGTGTTGTCCAGTCTGGTCTCGAACTCCTGTTTCAAGCAATCTTCATGCCTCAGCCTCCTAAAGTGCTGGGATTACAGGAGTGAGCCACTGCATCCGGCCACCCTTCATTTTAAAAGTACATTTCTGGCCAGGTGCGGTGGCTTATGCCTGTAATCCCAGCACGTTGGGAGTCCAAGGCGGGCCAATCACTTGAGGTCAGGACTTCAAGACCAGCTTGGCCAACATGATGAAACCCCATCTGTACTAAAAATACAAAAATTAGCTGGGTGTGGTTGTGTGAACCTGTAATTCCAGCTGCTCAGGCGGCTGAGGCACGAGAATAGCTTGAACCCAGGAGACAGAGGTTGCAGCAAGCTGAGATCGCACCACTGCACTCCAGCCTGGGTGATAGAGTGAGACTCAGTCTCAAAAAAAAAAAAAAAAAAACCACATTTCTGCCCAGGCGCATTGGCTCATGTCCATAATCCAGCGCTTTGGGAGGCTAAGGTGGGTAGATCACCTGAGGTCAGGAGTTGGAGACCAGCCTAGCCAAAATGGTGAAACCCCTTCTCTACTAAATACAAAAAATTAGCTGGGCGTGGTGGCAGGTGCCTGTAATCCCAGCTACTCAGGAGGCTGAGGCAGGAGAATCGCTTAAACTGGGAAGGCGGAAGTTGCAGTGAGCTGAGATCGTGCCATTGCACTCCAGCCTGGACAACAGCGAAACTCTAAAAAAAAAAAAAAAAAATTAGCCGGGCGTGGTGGCATCCGCCTGTAATCCCAGCTACTCAGGAGGCTGAGGCAGGAGAATCACTTGAACCCAGGAGGTAGAGCTTGCAGTGAGCCAAGATCGCACCATTGCACTCCAGCCTGGGCAACAAGAGTGAAACTCCATCGCAAAAAAACATAATAGTAAGGCCGGGCGCGGTGGCTCAAGCCTGTAATCCCAGCACTTTGGGAGGCCGAGGCGGGCAGATCACAAGGTCAGGAGATCAAGACCATCCTGACTAACACGGTGAAACCCCGTCTCTATTAAAAATACAAAAAATTAGCTGGGTGTGGTGGCGGGTGCCTGTAGTCCCAGCTGCTCAGGAGGCTGAGGCAGGAGAATGGCATGAACCTGGGAGGCGGAGCTTGCAGTGAGCCGAGATCGTGCCACTGCACTCTAGCCTGGGCGACAGAGCAAGACTCCATCTCAAAAAATAATAATAATAATAATAATAATAAATAAATAAAATATATTTCCCCAAGGTTCAAGCCTCCACCCTCTTTGCCTTGGTTTCAATATACTGTAGGCCAGTGATTCCCAACTGGGGGTGACTGCTCCTAGAGGGCATTTGGCAATGTCTGGAGACATTTTTGTTTGTCACAAATGGGCAGAAAGACAGGGAGGAGACGTAGGTGCTACTGACATCTAGTGGGTAGAGGCTAGGGATGCTGCTATTAATACTACATCCTACAATGCACAGGACAGCTCTTCACAGGAATTATCTGGTCCAAAATATTAATTGCTCTGAGGTTGAGTAACCCCCTTCTAGGCCAACACATCTAAATGGCTGCTAAATATTTTCACATGATTATTGGGTTATGAGTTTATTTTTCCTAGAAACTTTCACTGACTACTCAATTAGACTTCCCTCCTGTTACTAGCAATATTAGACCTAATGTCCCAAAACATGGGTGTTATCTGAGTCCTTCCTTTCCATGCTTTTCCCTGCCAGTCCTGAGAGTCCATTATGTACTGGTAGATTAGGATAAATCAGTTATTTTATTTAAAAATGTTCATTCTGAGGCCAGGCACAGTGGCTCACGCCTGTAATCCCAGCACTTTGAGAGGCCCAGGAAGGCAGATCATCTGAGGTCAGGAGTTCGAGACCAGCCTGGCCAACATGGTGAAACCCCATCTCTACTAAAAATACAAAAATTAGCCGGGCATGGTGGTGGGCACCTGTAATCCCAGCTACTGGGGAGGCTGAGGCAGGAGAATCACTTGAACCTGGGAGGCGGAGGTTGCAGTGAGTTGAGATGGCACTATTGCACTCCAGCCTGGATGACAAGAGCAAAACTCTGTCTCAACAACAACAACAACAACAACAACAACAACGGACCGGCGCAGTGGCTCACGCTGGTAATCCCAGCACTTTGGGAGGCTGAGGCGGGAGGATCACCTGAGGACAGGAGTTTGAGAGCAGCCTGGCCAACATGGCGAAACCCCGCCTCTACAAAATAAAATGAAATAAAATAATACAAAAATTAGCCAGATGTGGTGGCAGGCGCCTGTAATCCCAGCTACCTAGGAGGCTGAGGCAGGAGAATTGCTGGAACCCAGGAGGCAGAGGGTGCAGTGAGCCGAGATCACACCACTGCACTCTAGCCTGGGCGACAGAGCAAGACTCTGTTTCAACAACAACAAAAATAAATAAATAAAAAATTGTCCTAGCAGCCGGATGCGGTGGCTTATGCCTGTAATCCCAGCACTTTGGGAGGCCGAGGCGGGTGGATCACGAGGTCAGGAGTTGAAGACCAGCCTGACCAATATGGTGAAACCCCGTCTCTACTAAAAATACAAAAATTAGCTGGGTGTGGTGGCAGCCACCTGTAATCCCAGTACTTGGGAGGCTGAGGCAGAGAATTGTTTGAACCTGGGAGGCAGAGGTTGCAATGAGCCAAGATCATGCCACTGCACTCCAGCCTGGGCAACAGAGTGAGATTCCATCTCAAAAAAAAAGAAAAGCAAAAATTATCAGGGTGTGGTGGCAGGTGCCTGTAATCCCAGCTACTCGGGAGGCTGAGGCAGGAGAATTGGTTGAACCCAGGAAACAGAGGTTGCAGTGAGCCAAGATTGCACCACTGCACTCCAGCCTGGGCAACAGAGCAAGACTCCTTCTCAAAAAATAAAAAATTGTCCTAGCATGGTGGTGTGCGCCTGTAGTCCCGGTTACTTGGGAGGTGGAGGTGGGAGGATCCCTTGAGCCTGGGAGGCAGAGGTTGCAATGAGGTGAGATTGTGCCCCTGCACTCCAGCCTAGGCAAAAGAGTGACACCCTGTCTCAAAAAAAATAAATAAATAAAACAAGAAAACAGAGTCAGGTGCTCATGCCTATAATACCAGCACTTTGGGAGGCCGAAGTGGTAGGACTGCTGGGGTCCAAGAGATCAAGATAACCTGGGTAACAAAACAAGACCCTGTCTCTACAAAAAATTAAAACATAAAAACTTAGCTGAGCGTGGCAGTGCGTGCCTGTAGTCCCAACTACTCAGGAGGCTTAGGCGGGAGGATCGCTTGAGCCCAGTGGCTAGAGGCTGCAGTGAGCCATGCCTGCACCGTTGCACTCCAGCCTGAGCAACAGAGCAAGACCCTGTCTCTTAAAATAAAAATTAGGGCTGGACGTGGTGGTCATGCCTATAATCCCAGCACTTTGGGAGGTGAGGCAGGTGGATCACTTGAGGTCAGGAGTTCAAGACCAGCCTGGCCAACATGATGAAACCTGTCTCTACTAAAAATACAAAAATTAGCTGAGCATGCTGGTGTGCACCTGTAATCATGAAAAGTCAGGATTAAAACCATGCGTATATGTTCGTGTTTATATAAAAAATGAATTTAGATTCTCTACTCAGTTATTAACCTGTTCTCATGTACATGGATGGCCATGGGGCATTCTGCAAATGATGGTGGAGGAGGGACAGTTTTTCACTAAGTGAGACTGTCTGGCACTGTGTAGGACACAACTGATCCCCATGGGTTAACCCATTAATGCCAGAGGTCCTCCATCACTCACTGCGACCAAAACACCCCCTCCTAAAAATTCACAAAACAACCCCTAAGGGGTGGCACTGCCCCTGAGGAGAGCCACTGCTTTCAGGCCACGGAATTAGAGCACAAGGTTCAGCATCTGAGGCGGGATCTGCAGGGATTGGGAGGTGAAAGGATTATTCAGGACTCAGGGAAGCTCAGCTTAATTGGAAGAAAAAGGTAGTGGGGAAAAAATGGGGGGTACAAGCATATGACAACTTCAATATGACAACTTCACCAAATCTCCTAGCAAAGCCCTACCCAAGCATTACATACTGACATATACATTACTTAAATTTTTATTTTTTTGAGATGTAGTCTTGCTCTGTTGCCTAGGCTGGAGTGCAGTGGTGCAATCTCAGCTCACTGCAACCTCCGCTTCTAGGTTCAAGAGATTCTCCTCCCTCAGCCTCCTGAGTAGCTGGGACTACAGGCATGCACCACTATGCCCAGCTAATTTTTGTATTTTTAGTAGAGATGGTGTTTCACCATATTGGCCAGGCTGGTCTTGAACTCCTGACCTCGTGATCCACCTGCCTCGGCCTCCCAAAGTGCTGGGATTACAGGCATGAACCACTGCGCCCAGCCAAAATATATATATATAGAGAGAGAGAGAGAGAGAGAGAGAGAGACAGGTTCTGGCTCTGTTGCCCAGGCTGGATTGCAGTCGTGGCATCTCAGCTCACTGCAACCTCTGCCTCCTGGGCTTAAGCCATCCTCCCACCTCAGCCTCCGGAGTTGCTGGGACTACAGGCTCACACCACCATTCCTGGCTAATTTTTTTTTTTTTTTAGAGACAGGGTTATGCCATATTGCCCAGGCTGGTCTCAAACTCCTGAACTCAAGCAGTCTGCCTGCCTCAGCCTCCCAAAATGCTGGGATTACAGGCGTGAGCCACTGCTCCCAGCGTATTTAAAAAATTTTTTAAAGAATAATGTAATACAGAAAAGTGCACAAACCCTAAGTGTAGGCTCAATGCATTGTCACAAAGTAAACACACCCATATCAAGAAACCAGTACCCATATCAAGAAACCAAAACATTGGCTGGGTGTGGTGGCTCATGACTACAGTCCCAGCCCTTTGGGAGCTGAGGCTGGGGAGGAATGGGTGAGGCCAGGAGTTCAAGAGGAGCCTGGACAACAGAGTGAGACCCCCTCTCTACAAAAACAAAACAAAACAAAAAATATATACATATATATTTAGCTGGGCATGGGGGTTCACACCTGTAGTCCCAGCTACTTAGGAGGCTGAGGTGGGAGGATTGCTTGAGCTCAGGAGTTCAAGGTTGCAGTGAGCCATGATCGCAACACTGCACTCAAGCCTGGGCAACTGAGCAAGACCCTCCCTCCTTTTTTTTTTCTTTACTCTACTTCTCTCCAGCAGAGACCCTGTCTCTACAAAGCAAAACAAAACATCTGTAGCATCCTAAAGGCTCATGTCCCTCCTAGTTACTACCCTACCACAAGAGTAACCACTAGTTCAATTTATTTTTCTTTATTTTCTGTTAGAGATGGGAGTCTTGAACTCCTGGCTTCAAACAATCCTCCCATCACAGCCTCCCAAGTAGCTGGGGTTACAGTTGTGAGCCACCATGCCCACCGTGTAGTTGTAACATTTATTTTTTATTTTATTTTTATTTATTTATTTTTTTATTTTTTGAGATGGCGTTCCGGTCTTATTGCTCAGGCTGGAGTGCAATGGTGCGATCTCGGCTCACTGCAGCTTCCGCCTTCCGGGTTCAAGTGATTCTCCTGCCTCAGCCTCCCGAGTAGCTGGGATTACAAGCATGTGCCACAACATCCAGCTAATTTTGTACTTTTAGTAGAGACGGGGTTTCTCCATGTTGGTCAGGCTGGTCTCAAACTCCCAACCTCAGGTGATCCACCCATCTCGGCCTCCCAAAGTGCTGGGATTACAGGCGTGAGCCACCGCGCCCAGCCTGTAATATTTATTTATTTATTTATTTATTTATTTATTTATTTATTTATTTATTTTTGAGACAGAGTCTAGGCTGGACTGCAGCAGCACGATCTTGGCCCACTGCAACCTCTGCCTCCCCAGTTCAAGCAATTCTCACACCTTAGCCTCCTGAGTAGCTGGGATTACAGGTGCACACCACCATGCCCAGCTAATTTTTTGTATTTTTAGTAGAGACGCAGTTTTGCCATGTTGGCCAGGCTGGTCTCAAACTCCCAACTTCAGGTGATCTGCTTGCCTTGGCCTTCCAAAGTGCTGGGATTACAGGCATGAGCCAATGTGTCCAGCCTATATTGACTTTTAAAAGTAGTATTATAGATGTTTTATTTATCTATTCATTAATTTCATCAGAGTAAAAGGAGTGTTCAAAACTTTTTTTTTTTTTTTTGGCCGGGCACAGTGGCTCATGCCTGTAATCCCAGCAGTTTGGGAGGCCGAGGTGGGCAGATCACGAGGTCAGGAGATTGAGACCAGCCTGGCCAACATGGTGAAACCCCGTCTCTACTAAAATACAAAAAATTAGCTGGGCATGGTGGCACGTGCCTATAGTCCCAGCTACTCCGGAGGCTGAGGCAGGGGAATTGCTTGAATCCAGGAGGCGGAGGTTGCAGTGACCCGAGATTGTGCCACTGCACTCCAGCCTGGTGACAGAGCGAGACTCTGTCTCAAAAAAGAAAAAACAAAACAAACAAACAAAAAAAACTTTTTTTTTTTTTAAGACGTGTGGCCAGGCCCAGTGGCTCACACCTGTAATCCCAGAGCTTTGGGAGGCTGAGGCAGGAGGATCACTTGAGCCCAGGAGTTCAAGACTAGCCTGGGCAACATAGCGAGACCACCCTTATCTCTATAAAAATTTTTCTTTTTTTTCTTTTTTTTTTTAAGGCAGAGTCTTGCTCTTTCGGGCAGGCTGGAGTGCAGTGGCATGATCTCAGCTCACTGCAACCTCCACCTCCCGGGTTCAAGCATTCTCCTGCCTCAGCCTCCCAAGTAGCTAGGATTACAGGCTCGAGCCACCACACTGGGCTAATTTTTTGTATTTTTGTTAGAGACGGGGTTTTGCCATGTTGGCCAGGCTGGTCTTGAACTCCTGACCTCAAATGATCTGCCCACCTCAGCCTCCCAAAGTGTTGGCATTACAGGCATAAGCCACCGCACCCAGCCCAAAAATTGTTTCTTAATTACCCGGGTGTGGTGGCATGTGCCTGTAGTGTTAGCTACTTGGGAGGCTGAGGTGGCAGGATCACTTGAGCCTGGGAGGTCAAGGCTACAGTGAGCTATGATCACGCCAATGCACCCAGCCTGGGTGACCAAGCCAGACTCTGTCTCAAGAAAAAAAAGGCATGTGTTAGCTCTGATGGGCTGACAACCAAATTATCTACATTCTCCTCAATTTCTGCCCCTGGATCTCTGCACTTGCAGTGATGACTGATGCACAGTCTTCCTTCCCAACTCCCTTTCCTTAAAGTCACATTGTTCATCACCTTCTCTGGGAAGCATTCTCCTGTAGCTCTGCAATGTGCCCTTTTGGGAACCTGTACATAAGTTGAGTTGAGCATTTATCTCATCGTGTTGGTCTATTTCATTGTCTCTGAAGACAAGGACGCTCACTGTCTTGTCCACCATAGTGTTTTTGTGTCTGGCTCATTGCTGGAGTTCAACAAATGTACTGAACAAATAAATAGACACCTCAGCCCATATTTAGAGCCCTCCTGCCCCCACAAAAACCTTGACTGTCCCATGTTTAGGCCTTCCTCTTTCTCTAGAGCAAAGGTCACAGTGGTGTGAATCTGTTTTCTGTCTCTTAGACCTCAATGCCTCAGCATTGCCACTCTAGCCATGAGTATTGATCTCCAGACACCTCTATCTGGAAATTTTTTTTTTTTTTTTTAGAGACAGGGTCTCACTCTGTTGCCCAGGCTGGAGTTCAGTGGCTCCATAAACAGCTCATTGCAGCCTTGACCTACCGGGCTCAAGTGATCCTCCTGCCTCAGCCTCTGGAGTAGCTGGGACTCCAGTTGCAGGCCACCATCCCCGGCTGGACTCGCTTTCTGAATGTTGCCTAGATCTGGCCTCCACATGAAAGTATAGGATGCCAGGAATCACCTTTAGACAAGCTGGCAGCTGCCCAGCCCAGCTTCCTCCACTTCATCTGAGCCATCTGTCCTCAGAGGCACCATCAGTGCTCATTTTCTTTTTTTTTTTTTTTTCAGGTGTGACAGCAGCATTCAAAACGACTTTAAGGATTATGTCTGCAATGCAGACTTTACACCTCTCCTGCAAATGGCCCATCCTCTAAAATATCTGCACAGTAATTGCAAGTGGGGACTTTCAAAATTCAGATATTCCATTTTATTTAATGCTGAAACACTAGTACCTACATTTGTTGGTGATGATTAAGTCTGGGTCAAATCAAGACAGAGAAACCACATGGTAATTTGAACAAGGAAAGGTTTAATATTTTAAAAAAATCAACAATAGCCAAGTGCAGTGGCTCATGCCTGTAATCCAAGCACTCTGGGAGGCCGAGGCGGGCAGATCACGAGTTCAGGAGATCGAGACCATCCTGGCTAACACGGTGAAAACACATCTCTACTAAAAATACAAAAAATTAGCTGGGCATGGTGGTGGCAGGCACCTGTAGTCCCAGCTACTCGGGAGCCTGAGGCAGGAGAATCTCTTGAACCCAGGCGGCAGAGGTTGCAGTGAGCTGAGATCATGCTACTGCACTCCAGCCTGGGTGACAGAGTGAGACTCCATCTCAAAAAAAATAATAATAATATAACAATAACAGAGGATTAGAGAAATGATTAGATTGTGTATTATTTTTCTAAAACTGACATAACAAATTACCACAGATTCATTCAAGAGGGCTCAGCTTCACCCCACCTCCCAGACTGGAATGCAAGTCATAGCTCACTGCAGCCTCAAACTTCTGAGCTCAAGTGATTCTCCCACCTCTGCCTCCCAAAGTGCTGGGACTACAGGCATGCACCACCATGCCCCGCTAATTTATTTTACTTTTTTTGGAGAGATGGGGTCTCGCTTTGTTGCCCAGGCTGGTCTCAAACTCTTTGCTTCAAGCAATCCTCCCACCTCAGCCTCCCAAAGTGCTGGGATGACAGGTGTGAGCCACCCCGCCTCGCAAGAATCCTTCCTTGCCTTTTCCAAGCTTTTGGTGGCTGCCGACAATCTTTGGCATTCCTTGGCTTGCAGATGCCACACTCCAATTCCTGCCTCCATTGCTACATGGCATTCTCCCTCTGTACGTCTGTGCCTGTCTTCACATAACATTCTCCTTTCTATGTGTCTGTGTCCAAATTTCCCTCTTCTTGCAAGGACACCAGTCATTATATTACCGCCCATCCTAATCCAGTATGATCTTGATTACATCTGCAGACTCTATTTCCTAATAAGGTCATGGCTGGGCGTGGTGGATCATTCCTGTAATCCCAGCACTTTGGGAGGCCAAGGCGGGAGCATTGCTTGAGCTCAGGAGTTCAAGACCAGCCTCGGCCACATAGTGAGACCTTGTCTATACTAAAAAAAAAAATTAAAAATTACTTTGGGAGGCCAAGGCAGGTGGATCACGAGGTCAAGAGATTGAGACCATCCTGGCCAACATGATGAAACCCTGTCTGTACTAAAAATACAAAAATTAGCTGGGCACGGTGGCACATACCTGTAGTCCCAGCTACTTGGGAGGCTGAGGCAGGAGAATCACTTGAACCCTGCAGGTGGAGGTTGCAGTGAGGCGAGATCGCGCCATTGCACTCCAGCCTGGTGACAGAGCGAGATTCCATCTCAAAAAAATAAATAAATAAAAATAAAAATTAGCAGGGTGTGGAGGTATGTGACTGTGGTCCCAGCTACTCGGGAGGCTGAGGCAGGAGGACTGCTTGAACCCAGGGGGTCAGGGCTGCAGTGAGCCAAGATCCAGCCACTGCACTGCAGCCTGGGTAACAGAGCAAGATCCTGTGTCAAACAACAACAGCAACAACAACAACAACAACAACAACAACAAAATAAGGTCAGATTCAGAGGAAGTGAAAGGTTCAAGATTTGAAAATATCTTTGGTGGGGTGGGGGGGAGGTGGGGAGACAAAATTCTGCCCACTACAGATAATAAGAAGTAAACAGAATTCTAAAAAAAAAAATGCAAGAAGAGCAGATATTAGGTTGGTGCAAAAGTAATTGCGGTTTTGCCATTACTTTTAATGACAAAAACCACAGTTATTTTTGCACCAACCTAATACAAGGAGCAGCCACAGCTCCTCTCAGGCGGAGACAGAGCATACAAGAAAAAGGCTCCTTCTGGCCAGGCGCGGTGGCTCATGCCTGTAACCCCAGCACTTTGGGAGGCCATAGCGGGTGGATCATTTGAGGTCAGGAGTTTGAGACCAGCCTGGTCAACATGGTGAAACCCCATCTCTACTAAAAATACAAAAATTAGACAGGCATGGTGGCATGTGCCCGTAATCCCAGCTACTTGGGAGGCTAAGGCAGAATCGCTTGAGCCTGGGAGGCGGAGGTTGTGGTGAGCCACCACACTCCAGTCTGGGTGACAGAGTGAGACCCTGTCGAAAGAAAGAAAGAGAGAGAGAGAGAAGGAAGGAAGGAAGGAAGGAAGGAAGGAAGGAAGGAAGGAAGGAAGGAAGGAAAAAGAAAGAAGGAAGGAAGGAAGGAAAGGAAGGAAGGAAGGAAGGAAAGAAAGAAAGAGAAAGAAAGAAAGAAAGAAAGAAAGAAAGAAAGAAAGAAAGAAAGAAAGAAAGAAAGAAAGAAAGAAAGAAAAGAAAGAAAGAAAGAAAGACAGACCTCCTTCCTTCCTGAGATCCACAAGTTTTTGGAGAGGGCACAGAAGTACAGAAGTCGCTGAAGTACAGTAGTTGCTGGAGTGTCAGTCTGGTGGAACTTGCTGGAAATCCACCCTCTTGGGTGCCAGGGAAAGCTGTTCATGGGCAGGTGTCTCCACAGAGGAACTCCACTGCAAAACCATCCAGAGGGCACCTGGGGGAGCTGCTGACCCTGGGGTTCTGCTGGCCACCCTGCCCTGCAGAAGCAGGGAGCTGGGAACCCACTTGTGCTGCAGGAGCCTCCCAGGAGGGTTTGCTGAACTGGGAAGCAAAACTCTTTCTTCCTGCAATGTCTCTCCAGCCATCTATTGACAAAACTTAGCATGATGCTGGCTGGTAAAAAAAATTTAAATATATATATATATTTAAAGGGTCCAGGCCAGGCGCGGTGGCTCACGCCTGTAATCCCAACACTTGGGGAGGCCGAGGTGGGCGGATCACGAGGTCAGGAGATCGAGACCATCCTGGCTAACACAGTGAAACCCCATCTCTACTAAAAATACAAAAAATTAGCCGGGCGTGGTGGCGGACACCTATAGTCCCAGCTACTTGGGAGGCTGAGGTGGGAGGATCACTTGAGCCCAGGAGGTCAAGGCTACAGTGAGCCATGATCACACCACTGCACTCCAGCCTGGGTGACAGACCAAGACCTTGTCTAAGAAAAGAAAAAAGAAAGATGGGCCGCCCAGAGTCTAAACGGACCCTGAGTTTCTGAATAATGACACACTGAAGTGCACCCACGGCCACACCAGCAGCCCCACTGGAGGCTGTGTGGGGCCCTCTTGCTAATGCATCAGCATACACTGTGGTACACCCCACAGTGTGTCCACCACCTGTGTAGGCAGTGGGCAAAGTAAAGTTGTTGAAATGGGAAGTCACAAAAAGAGCAGAGGTGAGACCGCAAGATCATGAGGGCTCACATTTGCTGGCCTGGGCTAAGGGCCAAGACTGCCACAGTCTACCTTAGACTTCCATTTGATGAACTCTAGCACCCCAAGTTAGGGTCACACTGGTGGGCTCTTCCTACCAAATACTCAGGTCCAGGACTTTTCTTTGGACTACATCTTTTACCCTTGGTGTCATTGACTTCAAGAGACCTAGAGAATCAAAACTCAGATTAGGGCCAGGTGTGGTGGCTCATGCCTATAATCCCAGCAATTTGGGAGGCCGAGGCGGGCAGATCACTTGAGGCCAGGAGTTCGAGACCAGCTTGGCCAACATGGCGAAACCCCGTCTCTACTAAAAATACAAAAAACTAGCCGGCCGTGGTGGTGAGCACCTGTCGTCCCAGATACTTGGGAGGCTGAGGCACGAGAATCGCTTGAACCCAGGAGGCGGAGGTTGTAGTGAGCTGAGATGGCGCCACTGCACTCCAGCCTGGGCGACAGAGCGTCTCAAAAACAAAAAACAAACAAACAAAAAATACCTAAAAACTCAGGTTAGGCCTGCTCTGCTTTTGAAAGTTTTTCCTGCCCTGGGGCCTGAAAAGCACCTGTGGGGTTTAGGTCTTAATTTGGCAAGGTTGAAAGAATCTCCAAGCACTCACAGCTGGATGAAACATCACTGTACCTCCTCAGGCACCCATACTGCCAGCCCTGATCCAGAGGGAGAGAAACACCTCTACGTGGAAGAACCACGGCGGCCTGCTCCCACCAGAAGTCTGAATGGGTTTCCAGAGGACCCAGCGGACCTCCTGTTACAGAGATGCTGTAGTCCTGCAAGAACGTCTCCCTGCATGAGTCCTTAGGGACGGAGCTGGGGAGCCTCCATTTCCCACATAAGCCCTTCTCGATTATGCTTTCCATATCATCCCTTGTTTGTTTGTCTGTTTTGAGACAGGGTCTCTGTCGCCCAGGCTAGAGTGCAGTGGCGCGATCATAGCCCACTGCAGCTGCGACCTCCCAGGCTCAAGAGAGCCTCCCACCTCAGCCTCCTGAGTAGCTGGGACTACAGGCGTGCGCCACCATGCTCGGCTCATTTTTTTGTATTTTTTTTTTTAGAGATGGGGTCTTGCCATGTTGGCCGGGCTGGTCTTGAACTCCTGGCCTCAAGTGATCCGCTATCTTCTGCCTCCCAAAGTGCTGGGATAACAGGTGTGAGCCACCACACCCGGCCCTGTTTTATCACTTTCATCACTCAATCCCCTGAGAATTATGACACCTAAACCAGGAAGCACCTCTGCACCTTATCTCGGACCCAGGATTCTAGGCTTCAGGGTCTCTCGTTCTGTTAAGAAAACAAAATAAGGACTCGTGCTGGGCGCTCACGCCTGTAATCCCAGCACTTTGGGACGCTGAGGCGGGAGGACTACTTGAGCCCAGGTGTTCAAGATCAGCCTGGGCAACATAGCGAGATCCTGCCTCAAATTAAAAAAAAAAAATTAAAAAAGAAAAGAAGTACTGGTTTGGACCAGGGAATCTGGGGAAGGAGAACTAGTGCAGACATGGGCTTTGGTTAAGCGGTCAGGGCACCTTCATAGCGCTGCAAGAAGCCACTACATGCCCACTTCCTCCCCACCAACAGCCCAGCTTCCAGTAAAGGGTCCATGACGCAGCTCCTCCAAGCAGCAGCGTCCCACCCTGATCCCTTACTCCTCAGGACTATTTACACCTCCCCCATCCTGCGGGCCCCACTTGAGACAGTGGTTCCTGAGAGCCGGGCCCCACTAGCAAGCCAAGGTATATTCTTGGCCTCCTGCAAAGATGCCCCTGTCCTATAGACCTCTGCGCGGACCGTGGGCACCCCCACTTCTCCAGGAAGAAGTAGGTGGGCAACACTCAGGGGAAGTCAAGCTTAGCGCCCCCAGTCTCCTCCCCACTTCGGCTCGGTCCCATCTCTCCAGGACAAGGCGCCAGCAACGGAGCCACAGGCCGCACCAGCCCGTCTTTGATCCCGGGTGTTCGGACTCAGGGCCTCCACCACCCCCTCCTAAACTCGGACCCTGGGCCGTGGGAACCCAGTTTAGGAACCCAGGAAGATGCCGGAACCTTCCTCAAACGAGGCCACTCTAGGAAATTGGGAATTTCACATATCGTTAGCACTCAGTCGACGTTTATTGGCCTAAGAACGAAAGAACCGGAAGATGCCCTTAAAAAGCGTGGCGGCACTCTAGCTTCAATCGGTTGCCTCAACATATCAAGAAACCTGGCATTGTATATGGCCCTCAAAAGATGACGCCACCCGGTCCACCACGGTTCAACGAGGACTAAGACATCTGCCCTCAACCATCATGGCGGCGCCACTCAGTTTGGCTTCCTGCCCCTAGGGATGATGGCCGCCAGGTGGCTTCACTTAGTTTCTCACCACCCCGGAAGACGGGGACCGGCGATTGGGCGGTGTCCAGAGGCTCCGAGAAGAAGGCCATCGGCGGTTGGGCAGCGTTGGGTAAGCTTGGTTTTTAAAGGAGCCGGAGGTGGGAGCTGCGGAAGACCCGGGATCCACGGGAGGCGGCGGTGAGCAGCCCTTGGGGGAGGGCAAGGAGTGGCTGGAGAGAGGGCGGGAGTGGGGGCGGGGAAGGAAACTTCTGAACCATCTGGTCCCGGGCCGGGGGAGACCGCTGGGCGGGGACGCGAGGAGGGAAGGGGCGTCTGTGGGCGGGACCTCCCGGGATTGGAGTGAAGAGGGTATCTGCTTGACAGTGGATCCCTGGGGATCTACGCTGAGTTCGGAGATGCTCCAGCTCGGGCCGCCCCTGTCTGAGCGGAGCTTTGCGGCGCTGAAGCTTACAGGGGAAGGAAAAGCCTCGCCCGGCGTCTGATTGGCGGAACCGCGCTGTAGGATTCTTTCCTCAGGGATCCAGTCTAGGGGATCTGGTGGGATGGAGGGTCGTCGATGTATGGAGTATTGCTTTGGAGTCCTCGGCCACTCGCTGGGAGAGGAGGAGGATCGCAGAGGGATCCAGCGGAAATAGCCTCCCAGGACCGGGATCCCCGTGGATCCCGGGGGATCTCGGGGCATAATCTGCAGGGACAAAGGCCTCGGGAGGCTCGGGCCGCGGGAGAACTGGGGCCGCTGCATTCTGGGTTCTGGCGGCAGGTGCCAGGCAGGGCGCGAGTGATCCGCTGATCGAGGCGGTGGCAGCGGGAGGACACCCGCTCCGGGCGACCGGCCGGGGGCGCCCTTTCGCGCCCCAGGGCTGCGGCCGCTGGGCTACGGGGAGCCGCGGGCGGACCATGAAGGGCGGAGCCCCAGGGAAGGGGCCGGCCCTCACCCCCCGCTCCCCCGCTCCCCCCTTACCCCAGGCCGCAGCCTGGGATTCCCCAGGGACCCCCCCGGAGCCGCCGCGTCTCCCATGGACTTGCCCGGGGACTCCAGGTGAGAGCGTACCCGGGCGGCCCGCCTGTCTTGACCCCGGGAGATGGGGATCCTGGCGACCGTGCCGGGAAACTACAGAGCCAGCGACAGGTTCGGGCGACCGTCCTCTGCTTCTTTCACCCTCCAGCCCGCCTGGCCAGCCGCGTCTGTGCCGCCAGCCTCTGACTCGAGCATTATGGGGAGCCAGGAGCCCGAAACGGCCGAGGCTGCAGCTCCCGGGGGCCCCTTCTCCCCTGGAAAAGGCCTCTCGGCGGGTCCTGGCCGTGGTGCTAGAAGATGTCATGGCTGTTCACATGGTGAGCCCCCTGAACCAAGAGACTCTCTATTCCCCCATGACTTTCCTCACTACCAAACTCGGGCCAGATCCCTACTGAGGATAACTGAAGTCCAAATCCATCATTGTTGTACTCAGCCCTCAGGCAGCCTCCCTCATGGTAGAGTCCTGCTTGGCTCCCACTTACTCCAACCTAGAATTGGGCAGTGCCCATTCCACCCACCAACGATTTTGGGCTGGAACCACATCCCTGTAACTCTGAGAAACTCTTCTGCTTCTTTTTTTCTATCTTTTTTTTTTTTTTAGAGACAGGGTCTTGCTATGTTGCACAAGCTGGTCTCAAACTGGCATCAAGCGATCTTCCCATCTCTGCCTCCCAAAGTATTGGGATTACAGGCGTGAGCCACGGCGCTGGGCCGAAACTCTTCTGCTTTCTTCCCAGCCCAGCCTCCTTAGGAAGCAGGCTGAGGTCTTTGACTCCACTGCACAGATAAGAAAAACTGGCCCAAAAAAGGCAGTGACCCACCCTAGCTCACCCTGTCTTTTTCATTTCTCTAAACAGCGTGGATGAGATTACCCAGGTCCTACACCTGCAGTTTAGGACTCTTAATATCTGGCCCCTAATTCAGTCCAATTCATCTCTTCTCTTGGGATCCGAGTGAATTCTAGCCCCAATCTCTGTTATGTTTGTGGCTCAGGGCACTGTGAGGCACAGGGAAACCTTGTCCCGTCCAGCCTCATTCTATCACCTTGCTCTTGACACCTCTTTCTCTTCCAGGTCCCCGTGGTGCCCTCAAAGCAGACCTCCATACCACAGCACCACAGCTACCATCAGGATCCTGTCCACAGGCAGCCGCCTGCCTCGCCACCCCGGCAGGCCGGGTGGTCCTCGCAGGCCAGGTGAGCATGGCAGGATGGGGGTAAGCCGAGGGCCCAGCTGAGCCATTTTAATCTTCCTGTTCCCTCGCTAGGCCTCCCGACCCTCTGTGTTTGTGTCGCGAGCCCTTGAGCCGCATCCACCGGACCTCTTCCACCCTGAGGCGGCGATCAAGGACAACCCCTGGCCCAGAGGAGGGCCCTTCACAAAAGGTGGACCGGGCCCCCCAGCCCACCCTGGTGGTGATGCTGGAAGACATCGCCAGTCCTAGACCCCCCGCTGAGGTATGGGAACTGAGGGTACGGATGTCAAGGGTTCTGCTGGGTTCCAGCAGGGATAGAAGGGTAGGAGGCCTGAGTCTTAGGTGGGTTTTTCTTGGGGTGAGGAGGATGGCATTTTAGGCGGCAGACACTGCCTGAGCAAAGACTATATAAAAACGTCTTTGGCGTGAACCCAAGCAGCTATCCGGGAACTGAAAGAGTCAGGATGTGGGGCACTAAGGGGGCTTTCCTGCCTCCCCACAAACATCCCCTATTTTTATCCAGGGCTTCATTGATGAGACCCCCAACTTCATCATCCCAGCACAAAGGTGAGAGGGCTGGAGTAGGGATTATCAAAGGATCCAGGCAACAGCCATCATCCAGGTAGCCAGAGCTAGGGGCATCGGGACTGACTGATCCAATCCTTCCTTGTGGCATCTTAAAAAGCCTTAAGGGGCCGGGCACGCCCATGCCTAATGCCAGCACTTTAGGAGGCCAAGGCAGGAGAATCGCTTGAGCCCAGGAGTTTGAGGCCAGCCTGGGCAACCACATCACTGTGACCATATCTCTACAAAACGTTTTGTTTATTTATTTGTTTGTTTTTGAGATGGAGTTTTTGCTCTGTTGCCCAGGCTGGAGTGCAATGGTGCGATCTCAGCTCACTGCAACCTCTGCCTCCTGGGTTCAAGTGATTCTCCTGCCTCAGCCTCCCGAGTAGCTGGGATTACAGGCATCCGCCACAATGCCCGGCTAGTTTTTGTATGTTTAGTAGAGACGAGGTTTCACCACGTTGGCCAGGCTCTTGAACTCCTGACCTCAGGTGATCCACCCACCTCGGCCTCCCAAAGTGCTGGGATTACAGGCGAGAGCCACCATGCTCAGACAAGATATTGTTTTAAATTAGTTGGATGTGGTGGTCCATGCATGTAGTTCTAGCCACTTGGGAGGCTGAGGTGGGAGGACTGCCTGAGCCTGGGAGTTCAAGGCTGCAGTGAGCTGAGATTGTGCCCCTGCACTCCAGCCTGGGCCACAGAGCAAGGCTCTGTCTCAAAAAAAAAAAAAAAGAAGAAGCCTTAAGGGATAGGGGAGTTGCTGGCTCAGGTGGGATACCTGGAAGTTCCCCTAGCCTTTACCTTGCCCTTCACCCCAGAGCTGAGCCCATGAGGATAGTTCGCCAGCCAACGCCTCCACCTGGGGACCTAGAACCCCCATTCCAGCCATCTGCTCTGCCTGCAGACCCTCTGGAGAGCCCACCAACAGGTAAGGACTTGGGTAGAGATCGGATGAGACTTGGGTGTCTGGGACATCCTAGTTGAGCTTGGAAGTGTCAGGTACAGAGTTGGGGATAGGGCTTAAGCCACCTCCCAGGGCAGGGCTTGGTATATAAAGATGGGATGTTGATGTCAGAGGCTTGAAGTTCAATTCTTAAATGCAGAACTTAGTGTTTTAAGGGTGGGCTAATTCCCCTGTGCACAAAGTTGAGCATGTGGGGAGGGGCTGAGACACTGCAGCCAAGGAATATCCACCTGTGACCCTCTCCTTTCCTCAGCCCCAGATCCTGCTCTGGAGCTCCCATCCACCCCACCACCGTCCAGCCTTTTACGCCCCCGCCTCAGTCCCTGGGGCTTGGCCCCGCTCTTCCGTTCCGTCCGCTCCAAGCTGGAGAGCTTTGCTGACATCTTCCTCACGCCCAACAAAACCCCACAGCCCCCACCCCCGTCCCCCCCAATGAAGCTGGAGTTGAAGATCGCCATCTCAGAGGCCGAGCAGTCTGGGGCTGCTGAGGGCACTGCGTCTGTCAGCCCCCGGCCCCCAATCCGCCAGTGGCGAACTCAGGACCACAATACCCCAGCACTTCTCCCTAAGCCCTCTCTGGGCCGAAGCTACTCCTGCCCTGATCTGGGGCCCCCTGGCCCAGGTACCTGCACCTGGCCACCTGCTCCACCCCAACCAAGCCGACCACGGCCGCGGCGGCACACTGTGGGTGGTGGGGAAATGGCCCGAGCCCCGCCACCCCCTCGGCCCTGTCTCCGGAAAGAGGTCTTCCCTCTCGGAGGAGTGGGAGCCTCCCCTTCTCTCACCACATCTTGCTCGTCCACGGCATCCACTTCCTTCTCCGAACCAGCAGAACCCAGGTAGTGCTCTCAAAAAACCCCCTTGAAGCCTGGCTGCAGCCTGGTCCCAGCCTCCTTCCCTGAGTATCCAGTGGGCAGGAGACGGGGGATAATGCAGTGAATCCTGTTTGTCCCTGAGCCTTGACCTTCTTGGCAGGTTGGGTTCAACCAAAGGGAAGGAGCCAAGAGCCTCAAAGGACCAGGTGCTTTCAGAACCTGAGACCAAGGTAGGCATTCAGATCGGGTAGAAGAGACTAGTGGGGGCCTGAGCCCATGTCACTCTTTCACCCTCTGCCCCATTTTTGCAGACCATGGGAAAGGTTTCTCGATTCAGAATACGCAGAACACCAGCCCGTCCTCAGCTAAACCTTACACCAATGGGACTGCCTCGACCAATCAGGTGAGGGGCTCACTGGGCATTGAGCCATCTTGGCCAAACAGATGCAGGCTTATGTCCCCTGAAGTATAGCTTTGTCTCCCCTCAGGGAGCACAGTCCAGCCTGAAAGATTCAATTCGGTGTGGGGATGGTTTGTGCTCAAAATTGCCTGTCTGCCTTATGTAGCACTCCTGGCCCTGACATGTCCCAGAAACTGAAATACAGACCAGGCCTTACCTGTCCCTTCAGGCCCCACTGGCCCAAGGTTTCTCAGTGGCCTCTGCTCTTTGCTCACAGGTTGAACAAGAAGGAGTTCAGCTTGGAAGAAATTTACACCAACAAGAATTACCAATCACCCACAACCAGGAGGTGAGACACTTGGAAGGCTAGAGGGTGGCAGAGGGAAATCTGGAGCTGTGGAGCACCCTGATAAAACCAGCTCCTCTCCCTGCCTTGTTCAGGACCTTTGAGACCATCTTTGAGGAACCCCGGGAGCGCAATGGGACTCTGATTTTCACCAGCTCAAGGAAGCTCCGGCGGGCTGTGGAATTTCGGGACAGCAGCCTTCCTCGATCACGAAGACCGTCCCGTGGGGTCCGGGCTGCAGGGGGCAGGACTGTTCCTCCCAATGTGGCCCCCAGCCCTGATGTGGGCCCCCTGCTCCAGCAGCGGCTGGAGGAGCTAGATGCCTTGCTCCTGGAGGAAGAAACAGTAGATCGGGAGCAGCCCCACTGGACCTAGGTGCCCCATCTGTTGGTCATCCATCCTGAAGGGACAGGAAACCTCCCAGGCAGTTATTTTTTTTTCTCTATATTTCTAGTAAAGTTTTCGATATGTTTCTGATTCTTTTGTATCTCTAGCTGAGTTTAAGATTGATTTGGCTGATGTTTCTACGTTGACCCCCAAAGGTCTGGGAACTGGGGCTGGTGCTAGAGATGGTGACAGGGGTTGGGTACAGAGTACAGGGAGGGGGTGAAGTGGTCACTTGAGATAGATAGATAGATAGATAGATAGATAGATAGATAGATAGATGATAGATATAGATGGAGTTCCGCTCATGTCACTCAGGCTGGAGTACAATGGCACGATCTTGGCTCACTGCAACCTCTGTCTCCCTCATTCAAGCGATTCTCCTGCCTCAGCCTCCCAAGTATCTGGGATTACAGGCGTGCGCTACCACACCCGCTAATTTTTGTATTTTTAGTAGAAACTGGGCTTCACCATGTTGGCCAGGATGGTCTTGAACATCTGACCTCAGGAAATCCGCCTGCTTTGGCCTCCCTAAGTGCTGGGATTACAGGCATGAGCCACCATGCCCGGCCTAGAGATACTCTCTTGCTTAGAGGATTCTCCTGTGTGGAGGGACACTTCTGAATCAGTGCCAGATGATACTGTGACCCTAGACCGTGGTCTGGGTTCTCCCAATTCATTTATATCAAGGAGACTGAAAGGCCTATAGTGGGTCAAGGCCTTGAAGATCAAGATGGCCCTGAATTCCTGCTAACATGCAGGCCAGGACCTGCTGCTGGATTCAAGAGCTACGGCTAGGCCAGGTGCGGTGGCTTACGCCTGTAATCCCAGCGCTTTGGGAGGCCGAGGCAGGTGGATCACAGGAGCCTAGGAGTTCGAGACCAGCTTGGCCAACATGGTGAAACCCCGTCTCCACTAAAAATACAAATATTAGCTGGGTGTCTTGGTGTGTACCTGTAATCCCAGCTACTCAGGAGGCTGAGCCAGGAGAATTCACTTGAACCCGAGAGGCAGAGGTTGTAATGAGCTGAGATCGCACCACTGCACTCCAGCTTAGGGAACACAGCCAGACTCTGTCCCCCCCAAAAAAACAAAACAAAACAAAGAGCTAAGAGTAATGGGCCATAATGAAGCACTCACGACGACTGTCATAGGTGCTTGACCTGCACATGTCCCTGCGACAGGGAATTAGTCATTTTATGGACGAGAAAGCAAGGCAGGCATGTCAGCGCGCTGTCCACTTTTAAAACGGTAACCCGGGCAACCGAAGGCCAGAAATGGCTGTCTCTTTTTTTTTAAGCCAGTCACATTGAGCAGTGGGGTGCATCTTTCATAACTGAGAGGCATCACAGGGCAGTGGCTGACATAGACGTGGCTAGGAGACTACCAGCCCGTCTGTGCGCGCATTCCTTTCCGTCCCAGTAAAATGGGGCTGACAGCATCTCCTTCATGGAATTATTACCAAACGCAGTCACAAACGCGGAGAAGCGCTCATGCAGGTGCAAGGCGTTTTCGAATTGCTAGCACTCGGGACCGCTGCCAGCAGCCGCGCCTGGAAGGGACGCGGCTGCCTGTTAGTGCGGCCGGCGCAGGCGCAGGCACAGCACGCGGCCGCTCGGGCCACCCCGGGCCGCGGAACGACTCGCAAGCAGCCAGCCTGACGGCGGCGCCGCCACGCGCGTGCGCGAGACGCCAGGCTGTCTGTGGGCCGCGCCGAGCGGCGGAAAGGCGGCGATGACTTAACTGGCTGTGGAACGGAACCTCTTGCAGCCGCGCGCCCCCCGGCGGCCAACCGCCCCCAACGCCTCAGGCCCCGCGTCTCCGCCCCTCGCCTCGACGCCATCAGGAGACCGGCCAATAAACAAACAGCAGGAAGAGGCGGGGCCCTGTAGTAACCGCCCCAAACACCTACTTCTAACCAGTCGAGTCACAAGACTGGGGGGAAGGGCGGAGCCAATCCGACGTAACCCAATCCAAGATTTGAGGGCGGTTACATGCACCCACTCCCTCGGGTTTGGCTCCGCCCCTCACCTTGACGTAGCCCTCCCAGCCTATCAACGACTGCGCCCGTTGGGGGTGAGGGGAAGGGGGCGGAGCGTGGGAGGAGGCCGAGAGAGGAAGGAGGCGTAGGCTGAGGAGGAAGAGGGAGGAGGGGTAGGGAAGTCCTGGCGGAGAAGCGCCCTAAGACTCCAAAGGAGACAACAGGAGTTTGTGCTGGAGCTCCCCCGCTGCCCATCGGCCGTTCCGGATCCCCTAAGGCCCAAGTCGGACAGAGACGGAGGAAAGGAGGAAGAGACTTTTATGTCGGCGGACAGGGGAGCTGTACCCGTCACCGTTGCCTCACATCCGGGGCTTTGGAGGGCTGGCCTCGCTGCCCCGCCCCGCCTCGCGCCTTTCATGGCGACCGGAGGCGGAGGCTGGAGGAGCTGGGCCCGGAGGAGGCCCCTTTAAATCTCCTTAAAGGGGTGGCCACTGAACTCGGCGGACTGCAACGCCAGCCTTAAAGGGGAAGCCGCCGAGCAGACGCTGACAAATTGAGAACTGTGCCGTTGGGAGAACTGGGGCGAGTGGGGTTTTTCTTTACGTCCTCCTCCCCCACACACAAGAAGTCTTTTAAATTCAACTTAAAGGGGAAGTGGCCGCTTGTGGAGGACTAGAAACTAACTCCGAGCCCTTAAAGGGACGGCCTGCTGTTAGAAGGACCCTGGACTCCTTAAAGGGGTGGCCTCTTTGAGCCGGAGGACTTGAGACACTTTTAAAGGGGAGGTCTGCGTTTCGGGGCGAGCTTTCGGCCCCTTTTAAAGGGGTGGCCCTTCCTCTTCCTCGGGGAGACTTGCATCGACCCCTGGCAGGGGGTGGCCACCGCACTAGGCCGCCGGACACTGTCGGGTCGTCTTAAAGGGGCCGGGAGCTGGACAACTTGGGGCCTCGCCTTAAAGGGACGGCCGCCCCGTTTTCGCCGTCGCGGCCCCGCCGAGCCCGCAGGGGGGGCCCTCGGGCTTGTCGCCCCGGGGGCGGCGCCGGCTCCCCGGGCCGTGGCCTTGGGGCAAGCTCGGGGCCAGCAGATCCGGCTTTAAAGGAGAAGCCGTGGCCCTCTCGTCACTGTGCAGCCGCCAGCGCCGCGCCTGCGACCCCGGGCCTGCGGACAGGCCGCTTCGGGCCCCGCCGCCTCCGGATGCGGCGCTGAGGGCGGTCGCCATGGAGACGGCAGCGGCCGCGGCCCCGGGTCCGGGCTGGGCAGCAGAGGGGGAGCGCCGACGGCGGCGCTGCTCGCGCCGAGACCGAGACCGGGAGCAGCGGCGCCGCCGAGGTCCAGGCGGCGACGCGCCCCGGGCCCTGTTGGCCGCCCCGCGCGGCTCCTCGTCCTCGTCGTCGCCGCCGCCGCCCGCCAGGCCTTGGTCGTCAGCTTCGTCTGGAGAGCGGCCTGGGGGCCCGAGACGCCGGCGGCCCCGTCCGAGACCTCGACCCCCGCGACCCCGAGCTCGGAAGCGGCCTGCCGGCTCGGGCAGCCGCGGGGAGGAAGAGGAGGAGGAGGAGGAGGAGGGGGGCGCAGACGACGGCGAAGCCGAGGAGGAGCCTGAGGAGGAGGAAGAGGAGGAGGAGGACTTGATCGATGGCTTCGCCATCGCCAGCTTCGCCACCCTCGAGGCCTTGCAGGTGGGGCCTAATGGGGCTAGGAGACTTTGGGGGTTTCCGAGGGGCAGCAAGGAGGGGGCAGTGCCCCTAGTGGGTGGAGTTGAGGGGGGAATGCTGGCACCCCAAACCAGAGCAACCGGCTCCTCTGGCCAGGCCTCTGCCCCGCCCTGGGGTGGGAGGAGGTAGAGCTCGTCTCTGGGGACCCGGTTTCCCGGCCCGAGGGGTACTTCGGCAACCTGGTCACCCCTAGAGGGGTTGGGAGCTTGCCCTTTTCCATCTATCTCAGCCCCACCTCCTCCTCCACAGAAGGATGCATCTCTTCAGCCCCCAGAGCGACTGGAACATCGGCTGAAGCATTCTGGGAAGCGGAAAAGGGGGGGCTCCAGTGGGGCCACCGGGGAGCCAGGGGACAGCTCTGATCGAGAGCCTGGCCGGCCCCCTGGGGATCGGGCCCGAAAATGGCCCAATAAGCGGAGAAGAAAAGAGGTGAGGTTGTCCCTTAAAACTCTTTAGGCAGAATGTATTTCCCACAGCCCCGTTTTTCATCAGCAACGCCACTGCCCCTTGTAAACAGAGACCCCAGTTTCTAAGGGCAAAGAGGCAAGCAGGGCAAATTTGAGCCCTTACTCATCCGGGTCTGACGAAGGCCTGTCTACAGTCAGGTGCACCTCCTTTTGCCTGGTTCTGTGTCTACTTCAAACGTTTTGATAATTCAGAGAGGCGTCAAAGGAATATAGTTGGGTCGTAAATTAATTGTGGTTCCTGCCCTTCCTCGAGGTGGTGGCAGTCCAGCAGAAAAGAAATAGCCAGCAAGCAAACACCTAGACCTTAATTTGAGAAGCTACAGAAGACAAAGATGGGGAGAGATGCTACAGAAACCCACATGAGGAAGCCGCTTGTGCTGCCTGGGGGATGGGAGGAGAGTTGTGGTTGGGGAAAGCCCCCTAGGATGTCTTAGTCAGGTCCTGAAGTATAGTCAGAAGTTTGCTAAGAAAAGACACGGGGAAAAGTTGTTTTGGGCAAGAGCATGAAGACGTGAGGACCCGGCGTATTTAGAGAATGGTGAGAGCACTGGGACCCGGGTGGGCAGTGGCGGGAGAAGCAGCTGGAAGGAGAGGCTGAGAGTAGATCCTGGAGGCCCATGAGCGCCCTGCTGGGAGCTGCGACTTTCCCAGCTGCCTCAGCAGCCGCCTCCCTCACCTCTGGACTCTGGTCTTCCTCAGGCGTCCTCCCGTCACTCTCTGGAAGCTGGATACATAGTAAGTGCTATCCACCTGTCCTGGCCCCTCCCTGCTCCACCCTGGGCCTCTTCCCTCTCGTGACACCTCTGTCTTTCCTTCTCCCCAGTGTGACGCGGAAAGTGATCTGGACGAGAGGGTGAGTGGGGCTAGAGCTTGGGTGGGCAGTGTCACTGCTTGTAAAAGGGACTGCAGCATAAAGGTCTTCTGCGTGCAGCAGACAGCCTTCCCTTGAGTGAGAAACATGGCTTAGGTTGAGTCAGGATTAGGTTTTTGGGAGGAACGGGGGTGGATTGGGAGGGTAAATGGCGTCATTTTTTCTTTTGGTGACTAGGGGTTAGCTGACCAAGGAATGGAGGGTCCATGCTTTGGCATACTATCCTTTCCAAAGCCCTTGAGCTACTTCTGGTTCTCCACGGAAACCCAGAGTGGCTGTGGCACTGAGATGGGCCTTCTTCCCATCTTAGAATGAAGATCTAGATTCAAGTCTGAGCAGAGACCGCAGATAGAGTAGTGAGGACACTAAATCATTGTAGTCAGTGTAGGGACTCAGCCCATAAAGGTGTATTTGAGTTTATCCTTAGGGGCGATTTGCTTGTTGTGAGATAGTATGTCCTAGAAGTTAATGCGCTACCCATTGGGCCCATGTAAGTAACTCAATTTGCACTCCCTGATGTGTGTCTTGTTTTTGTTTCAAAAGTTGGCTGGATAGGACTGTGGTGAACCAGAGGGTTCTTGTCAATTTCCGTCATCCATCTCTATCTGTCTAGGCTGATTGTTGCTACGAGAACAGGGGGCCCATTCTTGAGGCAATCTGCAAGCCTGAGTTTTAATGAGGAATCTCCGGATTCTTAAATATCTGCAGTTGGTTTAAAACTTTTACCAACGCTGGTGGACCAAATAAATCTGTAAGCGAGGGAGGCCTGTGGGCCAGCAGCTAGTGACCTCTGACGTTTTGGTTTGGTTTGCCTGCTTCTCTGCTGCTTCAACGCTGCCTCCATTTAGTCCTCTTGGCCTATCGGATTCTTGGGGTCAGCTGCTCCACTCTGCTTTTTCTCCAAGCTCAGCCCCCTAGAGCCCAGTCTTTGATGGATCTCAGCTAAACTGAAGGAACAGACTTGCCACTACCACCAGTTCCTAGCAGCCTCCAGAGGCTATTTGGCCTTCCTGGGTGGAGGCCTGGCCCACCCACAACCTAACTCTATCCCTTGCCCTTCTTCCCCAGGTCTCCGATGATGACCTCGACCCATCCTTTACTGTCTCAACCAGCAAAGGTTGGTCCCAAGGTCTGGGGCTGGAGGCACGGGAGGGCAGTGGGGTGAGCATGAGCCTCAACTGAGCATGTCTGCCATCCTGCCCCACAGCCTCGGGCCCCCACGGCGCCTTCAATGGGAACTGTGAAGCAAAACTCTCCGTGGTCCCTAAAGTGTCGGGCCTGGAGCGGAGCCAAGAACAGCCCCCGGGGCCCGACCCGCTGCTAGTGCCTTTCCCCCCAAAGGAACCACCGCCTCCACCGGTCCCTCGGCCTCCTGTCTCACCCCCTGCACCCCTGCCGGCCACTCCCAGTCTGCCACCCCCACCCCAGCCCCAGCTGCAGCTTCGGGTCTCACCCTTCGGCCTCCGCACTTCTCCATATGGCAGCAGCCTGGACCTCAGCACTGGCAGGTGAGTGGTCTTGGGGGATTGATGCGGTCCGGAAGGGCCTGGTCAGTTTGGTGGCGGGGACACAGGATGGTACCTGTGGGGTATGACTTGAAAAAGGATTCTGAGACTGAAAAGTTTGAGAAAAACAAATGGAAAGAGATGACTGCAGGACTTATTTGAGTCCGTTACACATTCCCATGCAGGGGAATCCAGGCTGTGCTGTTTCCCAGTTGTGTTTGCTGGTGAGAACGTTTTTTCAGGCAGGCAAGTCTGCTCGGAATAGTGTTCTTTGGAACATACTTTGGGAAATGCTGACATGATGGTTAAGAGCGCTGGCTTTGGTGTCAGACCCAGATTCAAATTCTTGCTCTGACGCTTCCTGGCTGTGTGATTTTTGACAAGTCACTTAACCCCTCTGAGCCTCGATTTCCTCTTTCTGTCAAATGGAATGATCATAGTACTTTCATCTTAAAGCTGTTGTGAGGATTAACTACGAGTGAATGCAGTGTTTCCCAAAGTGTGTACATTCAGCGTCAGTGATATATGGGATGATTTCAGGTCTTACGTGAGTAAACTTTAAAAAATAGTCCTGAGTTAGCTTTTGTGAACTTTAGAAAGCTGAGTGTCATGCCTCAGCCCCTTGATTTCACACGCGATTGCTTAGGGGGAGGCTAAGTTAAAAAAAAAAAAAAGGAAATTGAGTTCTTAAAAGAAGCCATTGATGCAGTTCAGATGGTTACTTTGCTGGGCAGCAGTGGGGAAGGTGGCGTGGAATGTTGGAGACTTGGATTAGCTTTTAAAGCAGGTGCCAGCACTTGGCCTACAGCAGGTGCTTGCCACAGGGTAAGAACTATTGACACTTACTATTGATGCTCTATTTTGTCACCGTCATTGTCATTGTTATTATTGAGAAAACTAAGGCTCAGAGAGGGGCAGTGACTTGCTCAAGGTCACCCCGGGCATTCATGGCAAGATGGGCCTAGAATTCAGGTCTCCTGACTCCCAGGCCAGGCCAGTGTGGTGCTGCTTCCACTGTTGTAGGGTGGGACCCCAGGTGGCTTGTTCTAATTAAGCGTCAACATGAATGATCTGTTCTGTGCTGTGGTTGAGTCAGAAAGGGAAAGTCATCTGGCCAGAGATGGCAGAGGCAGCTGCGTGGATGCAGAGACCTAGACAGGGAGAAATAGGGGTTGCTGGGTGTGGGAGGCGCCTCAGTCTGAGAACGGATTCCCTCGGTGGGGGGCGGTCCTGGGGCTGGGTTCTGCCACCTCCCGTGTTGGAGAACCAGGGTCACGGTATCACCCAGGCTTCTGACCCCCTCCCGTCAGAGCTGGCACCTCCCAACCCCTCACTCATCTCCCCACTTCTCTCCCCAGCTCTTCACGGCCGCCCCCCAAGGCCCCGGCCCCTCCCGTGGCTCAGCCTCCCCCCTCATCATCCTCTTCGTCCTCCTCCTCCTCATCTGCCTCCTCCTCGTCCGCGCAGCTCACCCACCGGCCCCCGACGCCCTCACTGCCCCTGCCTTTGTCCACCCACAGCTTTCCCCCTCCCGGGCTGCGGCCCCCCCCACCACCCCACCACCCCTCCTTGTTCTCCCCTGGCCCCACCCTGCCCCCACCCCCACCCCTGCTGCAGGTGCCAGGGCACCCTGGGGCCTCAGCCGCTAACGCCCTTTCTGGTGAGTTTGGGGTCCTGGCCGGGGGGTGGGGGGCCATCACCCCGGGCTCGGGCCCAGTTGGCTTTGGGGCACCTGAGCCTCAGCAGACAGCAGGGCTTGAGGAGGGAGTGGCTCGAGGCCAGAGGGAAGGCAGTCACCTGGGCCCAAGGAGGCTGATGTGGCGACAGCATTAAAGCCTTCTCCCGTCCCCTCCCACAGAGCAGGACCTGATCGGCCAGGACCTGAACTCTCGCTACCTGAATGCCCAGGGTGGCCCTGAGGTGGTGGGGGCAGGGGGCTCGGCCCGGCCCCTGGCCTTCCAGTTCCACCAGCACAACCACCAGCACCAGCACACCCACCAGCACACCCACCAGCACTTCACCCCTTATCCCCCGGGCCTGCTGCCACCCCACGGCCCCCACATGGTGAGCTCCTCATTGGGCTGGCGATGAGGCTCGGAGGCCTCTGGGGAGGGCATGGCTTCTGGGGGAAGGCCCGGGTCCCTGGCTGGCAGCTTACTCTTCCCTTCTCTTCCCTAGTTTGAGAAATATCCAGGAAAGATGGAAGGCCTTTTCCGACATAATGTGAGTGTGTGTGTGCGTGTGCGTATGGGGTGTGTGGTGTGGGCGTGGATGCATCCATGCTTGTGACCCTGACTGCTGGGGTCCAGTCTTCAGCACAAAAGCAAGAGCCTTGAGCCTGGGACAGCTCCCTGGGGGGCTTTAGGGTGGAGGCCCGTGGACTGACGGGCAGGCTGGACTTGGGCTGCGCCTCCACCCCCACCTGTACTAGTCCCCCTTCTCTCCACAGCCGTACACGGCCTTCCCTCCCGCAGTGCCCGGGCTGCCTCCGGGCCTCCCGCCGGCCGTCTCCTTTGGCTCCCTGCAGGGGGCCTTCCAGCCCAAGGTGAGCTCCCAATCCAGACACCACCACCGCCTACCATCTTGACAAACCCAGACACGCCGGGTCCAAGCACCCTTCTCCCATTCCCCAAAGTCGTGCCCATCCTCCTGCCCTGCCCTGCTGCACCCAGTTTTCTCCAAAGCCATGATCCCTCCCTGCCCAGTGTCCCAGCTTGGTTCTGGATCCCTTTGTGCTTGGTGCCAGCTCTCCTGTCTGATCCCTCCACTCCCCTTTCCCAGAGCACGAACCCTGAGCTGCCACCACGACTGGGGCCGGTGCCGAGCGGGCTCTCCCAGAAGGGGACACAGGTGAGGGGGCCAGGGCAGGTCCTGGGGGAGCTGGAAGGTGTGTTGCGGGGAGAACAGAACTGACTTGAGGAGAGTGAACTGCTGATTCCTCCCTTGAATTCACAATCGGGTGTTCCTGGGTGTCTAATAGAGAGGGAATTTCTGTAAATAGCTGGCTTTCCCAGGCATGAGGAATGAGAGTTTCATGAGCTTGTCCCAGAAATAGGATGATTAGGACAATGGTTTTTGTAGTGGTTTTCAAACTTTTTAATAAAGTTACAAAACACTTTTTTTCCAAATGACATCATACCAGGAAGCCCTGTTCGGAAAACAAAAGATAAGCTGCCCCTTGGTGAAGTGAGGAGAGCCAGAGCCTCCCTCCCCTTAGCACTTGCAGCAGTGTAGACCCCAGGGCTGCGGGAACGTTGTGAAACGCACAGGACCAGTTTCCTACAGGGAAGACTAGGCCAGAGGTTTTCCAACTTCCTTCAAAGGCATTTTCCCTAAATAAATCTTAAACAGACCGCTATACTCTAAAGTTGGTAATAGGAGAGCTTCTCTGAGAAACCTGTCCTGCCTGCCCCCTCACCACCCGCAGCCTTCCAGCAGGGCAGCTCCCTGGGGCTTGGTTCAGAAACCTTGTGCTGGAGGAGAGATGCCTAGACTGGGAGAGATGGGGAAAGGAGTTTGGGCCTGAGCAGGAAGGGTTTGAGGGAGTCCCAGTGTCTCAGGCATGTTGGGGGTGAGTGGATGCTGTGGAGATGCGAGGCGCCTGGCCCAGGACTCGGGTCTGAGTCGCCTCCCATCTCTCCTTTGCCATCCCCAGATCCCCGACCATTTCCGGCCACCTTTGAGGGTGAGTTGTGTGAGGACCTCAGGCTGCATGAGGCTGGGGGCTGGTGTTAGCATGTTTGGCTAAGGGGGGTTTTGCTTACAAATAAGTGAGAAGCCCAGAACATGGAGGCAGCCAGATGTGGAACAGCAGAGAGTGAGGGCTTTCAAGTTGCAGACCTGGGCTCGGATGGAACTGGCCATGGGACCTTGGGCAAGGCAGTTGATCTCTCTGAGCCTCAGTTTCCTAGGCTGTAAAATGAACCTAGTCATCCCTTGGTTGTAGGAATGATGAGTAGGGATATTTTGTGGCGAGGCTGGGCCCAGAGCCAGGCCTGGAGTGGATGATGAGTGAACGTTCTTTCCTTCCCTTTCCCTTTGGTCATCCTTCTGGGGCGGCAGAAACCAGGGAAGTGGTGTGCCATGCACGTGCGTGTGGCTTACATGATCCTGAGACACCAGGAGAAAATGAAGGTACTGGGGCCGGAGGGCTGGGGAGAGTGGGTCTCAGAGTCAGGGGAGGACTGAGCTCTGGGCATTGGCCCTCAACAGAGCTCAGCAGAATCTTGGCCAGAAACATTCTCTCCTGTCCCCCATCACTGCTGAACAGTTCTATGGCTGGCACCTTAGTTCTCTGGCTCATTAGGGGGCTGCTCAGAGAAGGCTCCGAGAGAGGCAGAAGATAGGCATCCAGGCCCCATCTGGGTGCCAGCCAGCCTTTGGAGGGGAACCACGGGTGAGAGAGCAAGAGGGGGACCAGACTGGCTCCTCATGTACTGCCCCTCTCCCTGTGTCCCACACAGGGTGACTCCCACAAGCTTGACTTTCGGAATGACCTCCTGCCCTGCCTTCCGGGGCCCTATGGGGCCCTGCCCCCTGGGCAGGAGCTCTCCCACCCGGCCTCCCTCTTCACTGCGACTGGTGAGTCTGGCCAGCCCCCTCGGGCCTGAGGTTCCCTGTCTATAGCCTGAGGCCCAGCTTGTGCCCACTCAGCCTCATCAGAATCTCCCACCTCTCTGCCCCAGGTGCCGTCCACGCTGCAGCCAACCCTTTCACGGCAGCTCCCGGGGCCCACGGACCCTTCCTGAGCCCCAGCACCCACATTGGTAAGAGCCAAGGGCGTGTTGGGCAACCCAGGCTTTGTCCCTGACTTCCAGGAGATGGAAATCAGACCCAGCAGGCAGCTGGAATGCAGGATAGACCTGGTTCCACTTGCTTAGTGACCTTGGGCAGGTTACTCTACCCCCTCTGAGCCTTGATTTCCTCATCTGTAAAATGAGTAGGGAAGGGCAGGGTGACTTCAGTCTCTGCCAGCTGGAGCCCTGTCTCCCAGTAGCCAGTGGCAGGGGCAGTACGCCACCTGGAAGGGGAAGGTGGGGAGGCCATGCTGGCCCAGGGGAGAGCATGGCCACTGACTCCTAGGATCTTGGCAGGCTTCTTGGGGAGGTTTCACCTGGGTTTGGGTGGACAAGGAAGAGTTGAGCCTGGTGGCTTGGAGAAAGGTGTTCCTGGCTGGGGACGTGGTGACATTCCAGTGGCGGGATAGGTTAGTTGTTCTGTCTGGCTGTGTGACGCATGCATGAAGTTAGGGTCAGGTCGGGAAGGGCCCTGCATGTCAGGTGGGGGGAAGCCAACAAGGTCTTCAGGCTTGCTGCGGAGCGGAGATCTGCTGTGATGGGTCCAGGCGGCTGGTGTTGGGGAGTTGGGGAGAAGAGCGTGACTTCATGTCAAGGAAGCCCTGGGTTGGTACCGCTCCCTGGCTAGATGACCACCAGCAAGTCATTTCACCTCTCTGAGCCTCTCTGTTTTATCATCTTCAAGTGGGCATGATCCTAACCACCTCTTGGGCTTTTTGTGAGGTTAACCGACAGGGTGCTTGTCAAAGCTCAACACCTTCCTGGCCCAAGGAAGTGCTCAGCACATGGCTGCTGAAAGCAGGCAGCTGAGGACTCCAGGCACCGGTCCTGCCTCTGCCCAGCCAGGCCTGGTGCCTGCTCAGCACCGGCTGCCCAGTGCTCTGACCACCCCCCTTTCCTCCCACAGATCCCTTTGGGCGTCCCACAAGCTTCGCCTCTTTGGCTGCCCTCTCCAACGGGGCCTTTGGAGGCCTGGGCAGCCCCACATTCAGTGAGTGCGGGTGCGGTGGGGTGGGGGGGCTGCGGCCACAGGGTGAGAGCTCAGACGGTCTGGGAGGAGGCCTGAACAGGGCCTCCCACTTCTGGCCCCTGTCACTCTCTGCTTCACCCTCTGCCCAGACTCCGGCGCCGTCTTTGCCCAGAAAGAAAGCCCAGGGGCCCCACCAGCCTTCGCCTCCCCACCGGACCCATGGGGCCGCCTGCACCGCAGTCCTCTGACCTTTCCTGCCTGGGTCCGGCCCCCTGAGGCCGCCCGGACTCCAGGCTCAGACAAGGAGCGGCCTGTGGAGCGGAGGGAGCCCTCCATCACCAAGGAGGAGAAGGACAGGTGTGCCTCCCACCCACCCTGCCCCTGCCCCACCCTCAGCCCCTGCTGCCCCTGGAGAACTTCATTCTCTCCCCACGCCTGCCCTCCAGGGACCTCCCCTTCTCACGGCCCCAGCTCCGAGTTTCTCCTGCTACTCCCAAGGCCCGGGCTGGTGAGGAGGGGCCTCGGCCAACCAAGGAATCTGTGCGGGTAAAGGAAGAGCGGAAGGAGGAGGCTGCCGCCGCCGCTGCCGCTGCTGCTGCCGCCGCCGCTGCCGCCGCCGCAGCAGCCACTGGGCCCCAGGGCCTTCACCTGCTGTTTGAGAGGCCCCGGCCGCCCCCGTTTCTGGGCCCTAGCCCACCAGATCGCTGTGCTGGCTTCCTGGAGCCAACCTGGTTGGCAGCACCCCCACGCCTGGCAAGGCCACCCCGCTTCTATGAGGCGGGTGAGGAGCTAACTGGACCCGGGGCCGTGGCCGCTGCCCGCCTCTACGGTCTGGAACCTGCTCACCCCTTGCTCTACAGCCGCTTGGCTCCTCCACCACCACCTGCTGCGGCCCCGGGAACCCCTCACCTTCTCAGCAAGACCCCACCGGGAGCCCTTTTGGGGGCACCACCTCCGCTTGTGCCCGCCCCCCGGCCCAGTTCCCCACCTAGGGGCCCTGGCCCAGCTCGGGCTGACAGGTGAGGGGAACGGGGGGGGGTCGGGGCAAAGCTCCATCTCCCCTTCCTTTAACCAGGTCCTAGGGCTGAGGTTTTAAGCCAGGGCTGGAGGGCAAAGGTCATAACCTCACCAGCCACCTCTGAGGTCATGGAACCTGGGAACAGAAGCCTCAACCCCCACAAGACCAAGCATCACATGGAGTGTAGGGTCACTGGGAGAGCAGAGGTCACAGCCTCTAGAGAAGGGAGAGGGGCGTGTGCATGGGAGTGTGGCTCATCTCGGGGGCCATGGGGCCTCCTGAGGTACACCTTTGCCCCTGTAAGGGCCTCTAGGCCCTGGGCCTGCCTCCCCAAGGGCTCACTAAGCCAGAGGCCAAAGTGCCCCCTCCCGTTCACCTACCACCCAAGTCCTCATGCCCTCCGAGGGCTGGGGGAGGAGGGGCTCAAGGAAGGGGGGTTCCATGTACATATTTATCACCCCTTTCACATAGCCCCAAGACCTTTTGTACATTTTTACAGGGGTGCCCCTCCCAACAGTTCCCTTCCTGGTTAATTAAACCCTCAGACTGGTGCTGTGTTCCTAGCCTCTGGCCTCTCTGTGGGGAAAGGGGACTGCAGGGGGAAGAGCCGGGAAGGGACAGTCAGGCTTCTCCCTGGGAAGGTGGGGCCAGCAGGAGATGACCAACAGGGGGCAGGACCTGGGGACCTGGGCTGGAGGGAAGGGCAGAAGCTTCCTACTTGGCTGACAGCCCCGGTTCCCCCAACATGTTCCCGTTCACTCTGCCCCCACCCCCAAAGGCTCAGCCTCTAAATCTCAGACTCCACCACCTCTTAATGGCTCAGTC
The DNA here is from genome assembly GCF_000001405.40 of Homo sapiens. Taxonomy (NCBI): domain Eukaryota; kingdom Metazoa; phylum Chordata; class Mammalia; order Primates; family Hominidae; genus Homo; species Homo sapiens. The sequence goes on from NC_000016.10 coordinate 30,670,466, forward strand.
CCCTTCACCCCATTTCCAAGTGCCCCCAGGACTCCTGGGCCCTGCTTCCCTGAACCCTGTTCTCCAAAACCCTGCCCCAGGCTAAGGGTGGCCAGAGAAGGTCACCATGTACCACACACCAAAGAAGGGGGTCGGCCCAGGGGTGGGCGACACAGGCAGCTTCTTCGGCAGCCTCACGGCAGCAACCCCAGCCTTCCCAAAGCAGCAGGCGCCTCCAGGCTGGGGCCCAACCTAGAAGGCAGGGGTCAATCTAACAAAACCCTAACGTTGACTTTTTTCCCTGGTGGGGCTTCTTCTGTAACATGACTTGCGAATATTTATATAAAAACGAGTGTTACAATGAGACCCCCGGCTCCTCTTTGAGTGTGTGTGGGGTGGGTTGGACCAGGGTGGGGTGTGTGGGTCCTGGGGTAAGGGAGGGATGAGGACAGTACTGTCCGTATCCCGCCAAGGTTTTCCTCCCTGCCATCCACTGGGCAAGTTGGTCTGCCATTTCTGGAGGGATGGGTTCGAGGGTTGGGCACTGAAGTTTTTCACACTGTTTTTCTATAATCCAGGAATACATAGTATGTAGGATTCAAGCAACCCAGTAAGACACTGAGCAAAACATTAAATTTCTCCTTCACCTGCCAACCTTCCCAAGCCCCATCCCCTTCCCCCAGGTAACCGCTGTAAATCATTAGGTGTATATTCTTCAGGTCCTTTCTATGTGTTCTCGCACATGTCTGCACAGGCAGAGTATGTTTAAAAAGATCTGTAATTTAAAATTTTTCTGGTTTTTGTGGAGTAATACATAGTCATTATAAAACCATTCAAACACACAAATACAGAACACGGAGGGAAAGTGCTCCATCATCCCACCTCTTGAGGATAACCAGTTTTTTGCTTTGTTTTGTTTTGTTTTGTTTTTTTGAGACGGAGTTTCGCTCTTGTTGCCCAAGCTGGAGTGCAATGGCACGATCTCGGCTCACCGCAACCTCTGTCTCCCGGGTTCAAGCGATTCTCCTGCCTCAGCCTCCCGAGTAGCTGGGATTACAGGCATGCGCCACCACGCCTGGCTAATTTTGTTTTTTTTTTTTTTTTTTTTTTTAATAGAGATGGGGTTTCTCTATGTTGGTCGGGCTGGTCTCTAACTCCCAACCTCAGGTGATCTGCCTGCCTTGGCCTCACAAAGTGCTGGGATTACAGGCGTGAGCCACCGCACCTGGCAACCACTGTTAATTTTCGGGGAAATTCCTCCAGTTATTTTTCTAGCTACTACAGGTCACTGCAACAAAGCGAGGCACATGAATTTTTTCATTTCCTGGTGCATATAAATGTTATGGTTCTGGCTGGGCATGGTGGCTCACGCCTGTAATCCCAGCACTTTGGGAGGTTGAGGCAGATGGATCACGAGGTCAGGAGATTGTAGACCATCCTGGCCAACATGGTGAAACCCTGTCTCCACTAAAAATACAAAAATTAGCCAAGCATGATAGCGTGCGCCTGTAGTCCCAGCTACTCAGGAGGCTGAAGCAGGAGAATTGCTTGAACCCAGGAGGTTGAGGTTGCGGTGAGCTGAGGTAACGCCACTGCACTCCAGCCTGGGCGACAGAGCGAGACTCCATTTCCAAAAAAAAAAAAAATTACTGTTCCACAATACTGCAGTCTTAAGTGAGCAATAGTGTTATGTCTATGAAAACGGTACATCCCTTAATTTTTTAAATGCTAACAGTCATCTGAGCTTTTGCAAGTCGTAATCTTTTTGCTGGTGGAAGTTCTTGCCTCATTGGTGATGGCTGCTGACTGACTGAGGTGGTGGTCGGTGAAGGCTGGGATGACGGCGGTTTCTTGACAACAAGGAACTTTGCCTCCTTGATTGCCTCTTCCTTTCACTTGAACACTTAGAGGCCATTGTAGGGTGTTATTAATTGGCCTAGTTTGAATATTGTCTCTGGGAAGAGGGAGGCCCAAGCACAGAGAGAGAACAGTTAACACACATTTATTGATTGAGTTCGCCCTCTTACATGGGCACTGTTTGTGGCACCCCAAAGCAATTACAATAGTAACATCAAAGATCACAGATCACTATAATAGATACAATAATGGAAAAGTTTGAGATAATGGGAGAATTAACCAAATGTGACTCAAACACGAAGGCCAGGCGTGGTGGTTCACGCCTGTGATCCCAGAACTTTGGGAAGCCAAGATGGGTACATCCCTGAGGTCAGGAGTTCAAGATCAGCCTGGTCAACATGGTGAAACCCTGTCTCTACTACAGAATACAAAAAGCTGGGCATGGTGGCTGACTCCTGTAGTCCCAGCTACTCAGGAGGCTGAGGCGGGAGAATCACTTGAATCCGGGAGGCGGAGGTTGCAGTGAGCTGAGATTTTCCAGCCTGGGTGACGGGGCGAGACTCTGTCTAAAAAAAAAAAAAAAAAGCAAGTCACTACTAAACTGGGCTGTCAGGGCTGTTGCCTACCTGAGCTCCTATAGAATTGACTGAGTGACCTTATTCTAAGTATGCCTGCTTTTTTTCTTTTTTGAGACAGGGTCTCACTCTATCACCCAGGTTAGAGTGTAGTAGTATGATTTCAGCTCACTGCAACCTCCACCTCCTGGGCTCAAGCAGTCCTCCCGCCTCAGCCTCCCGAGTAGCTGGGACTATAGGCATGCACCACCACACCCAGCTAGTTTTTGTATTTTTTGTAGAAACAGAATTTTTCCATGTTGCCCAGGCTGGTCTCAAACTCCTGGACTCAAGCTATCTACCCCCTTGGCCTCCCAAAGTCCAGGGATTACAGGTGTGAGCCACCACACCCAGACTTGTTTTGCTTTTGAGGCAGCTTTTGAGCAAAACAACAGCCGGTCTGTTGCCCAGGCTGGAGTACAGTGGTGCAATCACAGATCACTTCAGCCTCGAACTCCTATTCCCAAGTGATCCTCCTGCCTCAGCCTCTCGAGTAGCTGGAACTACAAGCCTGTGCCACCACATTTGGCTAGCTTTAAATTTTTGTAGAGACAGGGTTCTTGTCTTGTTGTCCAAGCTGGTCTCAAACTCCTGGTCCCAAGCAATCCTCCTGCCTCAACTTCTGAAAGCGCTGGAATTACAGGCGTGAGCCACTGTGCCTGGCCCATAAATGTACCTGTTGCCTTAGGAAAGATGCAGCCAACATTCCCTGCCACCACCACACATATCCAGGATGTCTAGGGAAGGCTCAAGCCTAGATTGCTCCAACAGAAGTCAGAAACAAGTGACCAGAAGGTGAACGTTGGCTTGCAGACAAGATTTCACATGGAAGTTCTTGTTTTCAGCTTCTCTTGAAAAATCCAAAAATCTGTGGTCACTAGACCTGCTTACCCCCATGGCTTTCCTTTGAAATGGGGCATAATCTCACCAGATTGCGACTGTCCCCTCCACTTGTTGTCTTGGAGTAGACCACAGTCACTATTCAGGCTACCTCTCTGGCCCCTATAGGCATTTGAGAGTGACTCTCAGTGAAATATTTTCTTTCTTTCTCTCTCTCTTTTTTTTTTTTTTAGACAGAGTCTTGCTCTGTTGTCCAGGCTGGAGTGCAGTGGCACAATCTCAGGTCACTGCAACCTGCGCCTCCCAGATTCAAGCGATTCTCCTGTCTCAGCCTCGCAAGTAGCTGGGATTACAGGCATGCAACACCATGCCTGGCTAATTTTTTGTATTTTTAGTAGAGACAGGAGTCACACTAAATGTTGGCCAGCCTCGTCTCGAACTCCTGACCTCAGGTGATCCGCCCGCCTCAGCCTCCCAAAATGCCGGGATTACAGGCGTGAGCCACCGTGCCCAGTAGAGTTAAATATTTTCTAGACATGCCTATCCCACCTCTCCTAGATCTCTCCCCAAGCACCTCAGATATCCCAAATTAAGTCATCTTCGAGATCTGATGCCCCACTTCCCCCAAGGTTTCCATCTCTGTGTCATCAGCACTCAAGTCAGAAACCTCCCTCTTCCCTCACTTGATGCAGTTTCTGAGCTGCCTTTGATTCTTTCAACCACTGTTGACTTCATCCACAGTGCCAGGCACTGCACTTAGTGGCTGGGGATACAGAGGTACACAAAACAAACCCCAGCCATCCTGGAGCTTACATTGGACTATGAAAGAGGACAATTACAGAAGCTAATGACAGAATTCCAAGGGCCAGGCGTGCCGTCTCTGCCTGTAATCTTTGGGAGGCTGAAGTAGGCAGATCACCTGAGGTCAGGAGTTCGAGACCAGCCTGGCCAACATGGTGAAACCCTGTCTCTATTATAAAAATACAAAAATTGCCAGGCGCGGTGGCTCACGCCTGTAATCCCAGCACTTTGGGAGGCCGAGGCAGGAGGATCACAAGGTCAGGAGATCAAGACCATCCTGGCTAACATGGTGAAACCCCGTCTCTACTAAAAATACAAAAAATTAGCCGGGCATGGTGGCGGGTGCCTGTAGTCCCAGCTACTCGGGAGGCTGAGGCAGGAGAATGGCGTGAACCCGGGAGGTGGAGCTTGCAGTGAGCCGAGATGGCGCCACTGCACTCTAGCCTGGGCGAGAGTGAGAGACTCCATCTCAAAAAAAAAAAAAAAAAATTAGCCAGGTGTGGTGGCACACACCTGTAATCCCAGCTACTCAGGAGGCTGAGGCAGGACAATCACTTGAACCTGGGAGGTGGAGGTTGCAGTGAGCCAGGATCGCTCCATTGCACTCCAGCCTGAGCGACAGAGCCAGACTCCATCTCAAAAAAGAAAAAAATTCATTTTTAATTTTTCTGGGTACATAGTAAGCGTATATATTTATGTGTTACAAGATATTTTGATACAATCATGCAATGTATAATAATCACAAAAATATGGAAAGCTTCACGAATTTGCAAGTCATCCTTGCTAAGGGGCCATGCTGACCTCTGTATAATGTTTTAGTATATGTGGCTGGGTGTGGTGGCCCACGCCTGTAATCCTAGCACTTTGGGAGGCCGAGGTGGGCGGATTGCCTGAGGCAGGAGCTTGAGACCAGCCTGGGCAACACGGTAAAACCCCGAAGTCCCTTCCTCACTCAGGCCGAGGCAGGCCCTTGAGCCCAGGAGTTCGAGACCAGCCTGAGCAACATGGTAAAACCCCGTCTCTATGAAAAATACAAAAATTAGGATGTGTCGGCCGCACGCCTGTAGTCCCAGCTACTTGGGAGACTGAGGCAAGAGGATCACTTGAGCCCAGGAGGTTGAGGCTACAGTGAGCAATGATGGCACCACTGCACTCCAGCCTGGGAGACAGAGCAAGACCTTGTCAAGAAAGAAAGAAAGAGAGAGAGAGAAGAGAGAGAGAGAGAGAGAGAGGAAGAGGAAAGTTATACATATACATGTTTGTTATTTAAAAGTAGAGATGGGAGCTGAGCACAATGGCTCTTGCCTCTAATCCCAGCACGTCAGTAACTGAGGCAGGAGGATCACTGGAGCTCAGGAGTTCAAGACCCGTCTTTATGTAAAAACAAAACCAAACACATGGCCAGGTGCAGTGGCTCACGCCTGTAATCCCAGCACTTTGGGAGGCCGAGGCAGGCGGATCACCTGAGATCAGGAATTTAAGACGAGTCTGGTCAACATGACGAAACCCCGACTCTACAAAAATATAAAAATTAGCTGGGCACAGTGGTGCACGACTGTAATCCCAGCTACTTGGGAGGCTGATGCATGAGTTGCTTGAAAACGGGAGGTGGAGGTTGCAGTGAGCCAAGATCGCACCACTGCACTCTAGCCTGGGCGACAGAGTGAGACTTCGTCTCAAAAACAAAAACAAAAACAACACAGATCTCTGTGGATAGACATTTAAGTTGTTTCTAGCATTTGTGTTATGACAAACAGGATTTCTGGAAGTATTTTTATTATTTTATTATTATTGCTGACATAAAATTCACATACCATGAAATGTACCTTTTAAAGTGTGCCATTGCAGTGGTTTTCGTATATTCACAAAGTCGTACAACCATTGCCATTATCTAATTCTGGAGCCATTCAGAAACACCCATTTTTTTATGGCCATGTGTGCATGTGTCAGAAGAAGGCACTCTTGGAGGTGCAGCTGATGGGTTGTACAACCACTGCCATTATCTAATCATGGAGACATTCAGAAACACCCATTTTGTATGGTTGTGTGTGCCTGTGTGAGCAGAAGGCACCTGTGGAGATGCAGCTGATGGGCTTTGGGGTGATGAGTCCTTCCAACGGAAAGAAAGCAGGGCCCAGAGGCTTGGGATCACCACATTACCCCTGCTACACTGAGCAATTTGCAATGACTGCCAGTCCCTCAGGAAAAGTTAGTTCTATCTGGATTTTTGCACATCGGATTTCCTTCAAGCAGGCTAGACCCTTAAATATTCCAGTTAGAACAGTCTAATGATAGGAAATGCCCCAGTAACATGGGAGTTGTAATATCTCAATTCACAGACCTTGCAGTTGTGTGGTCCTTTTAAAACCTAAGTCAGGTGATGTCATTCCTCACCTGACTTTTGAGAGTTTTCAAAACTCTCAAAAAACGGAAAAAAGCGGTGGCTTACGCCTATAATCCCAACACTTTGGGAGGCTGAGGAGGGCAGATCACAAGGTCAGGAGTTTGAGACCAGCCTGGCCAATATGGTGAAACCCTGTCTCTACTAAAAAAAAAAAAAAAAAAATTACCCGGGTGTGGTGGCGGGCGCCTGTAGTCCCAGCTACTCCGGAGGCTAAGGCAGAAGAATCGCTTGAACCCAGGAGGTGGAGCTTGCAGTGAGTCGAGATGGCGCCACTGAACTCCAGTCTAGGCGACAGAGTGAGACTCCGTCTCAACAACAAAAACAACAATATAAAAGAAAGAAAGAAAGAAAGAAAGAAAGGAAGGAAGGAAGGAAGGAAGGAAGGAAGGAAGGAAGGAAGGAAGGAAGGAAAGGAAAGAAAGAAAAGAAAAGAAACAGCCAAAATAAACAAATTCTGCAATGCCTAGCATCTCACTCACAGTAGAAGCCAAGTCCTTACAAAGGCCTGCAAAGCCCGACACAGTCTGGTTCCTGCCTACCTCCCAGCCCCGCTTTCCCAGCCCTCGCCCTCTCACTGACTCTGTTCCAACCCCTCTGGCCTCCTGGTGGGGCCTCCAGCTCACCCAGCACATGCCCACCTTGAGGACTTCACAGTGCTCTTTCATCTGCCTAACAGATTCGTGCACAGTTCCAGCCTCACTTCATTTCCCTGCTCTGTCATCCAGGCTGGAGTGTAGTGGCATGATCTCGGCTCAGGGATTACAGGTGTGCACCACCATGCCCAGCTAATTTTTGTATTTTTAGTAGAGACAGGGTTTCGCCATGTTGGCCAGGCCGGTCTTTAACTCCTGACCTCAGGTGATCTGTCCGCCTCGGTCTCCCAAAGTGCTGGGATTACAGGTGTGAGCCACCACGCCCAGCCCATGCTGGGCACTTTGTTAGGCCCCAAGGTGGTGGGCAGTGATGGGTAAGACTTATGAATGGCGTAAGCCACCACACCCGGCCCCTAAACCCGCACTTTGCTAACTGTTTGCTTTGTGATGTTCAGGCTAGTTGCCTAAACTCTCGGAGCCTGAGAGTGAACCACACCTATCACAAAGGGAAAGAGCCTTGGACTCCACTGGGCGGTGATGAGTAAAAGCTGCTGCAAATGAAAAAGGCCTCCCACAGTGCTGGGAGCACGGTCGAGGTCCACAAAACAGTAGCTATCAGGGTGATTCTTATGTAAATGCTCTGAATAATAATACCATTAACATTTATAGAACTAGGTGTCAAGCTCTGTTAGGCACCCACATCAGGCGAGATCTTCTAGTCCCTAACTCTTCCCCTAAAACCAGCTTCTGCTCGCCAAGCCCCACTGGGAATGAGGAGGAGGGGCTCTCGGTGATGCAAATGAGTGTTGACTTTTTTTTAATCAACAAAACAATGAGCCCTTAGAAGTATACAATGGAAATGTTTAGAATGTTGAAAGGAGAGAAATCAGTTAACAAGTGCTTATTGATACACTCACACCCAGCTCTACTTGTCAATAAACATTTCCCAAAGCCTGCAGATTGGAATCCAGGCGAGGGCCCTAAGGGCTGTGTGAACTGGGGCCTGTTACTTGAGGTCACTGTGTTTCAGGTTAATGCAGGAAAACAGGGAAGTAATGAGGCTGACCTGTTGGGTCTTCGGTGAAATGTGTATGAAGAGCTTGACACTTACTAGAAATGAAGCAATTTTTCTTATCTAAGGAAATCATTTTACCCCAACCCTCCCCACCTCACTCCTACTTCAGAAGTGTAGGAGGCTCCCCTAGATTCTGAGCCTTAATTCTGACATCACAGAGCCACTTTCAGTTTCCTGGGGGAAGACAGGAAGGAGGAATAATGTGTGGAATCAATACTGAGGATGCTGGCCTGGCGTGGTGGCTCATGCCTGTAATCCCATCACTTTCTGAGGCTGAGGCGAGCAGATCATCTGAAATCAGGAGTTTGAGACCAGCCTGGCCAACATGGTGAAACCCAGTGAAACCCAGTCTCTACTAAAAATACAAAAATTAGCCAGGCATGGCTATGCAGTAGGTGCACGCCTGTAATCCCAGCTACTATGGAGGCTGAGGCAGGAGAATTGCTTGAACCCAGGAGGAGGAGGTTGCAGTGAGCCAAGATCTCGCCACTGTACTCCAGCCTGGGCAATAGAGCAAGACTCCATCTCAAAAAATAAAAAATAAATTAAAAAAAGACTGAGGATGCCTAGAGCCACTGTGCTAGGTGCAGAACAGGCTAGTTAAGCAAGCAATGGAGAGATACCTAAATATATATGTATAAATATTTTTTAAATAGAGACAGGGTCTCACTATGTTGCCCAGGCTAGTCTTGAACTCCTGGCCTCAAGCAATTCTCCCACCTTGGACTCCCAAAGTGATGGGATTACAGGAGTCAGCCTCTATGCCTGGTGGAGAGATACTTTTATTTATTTATTTATTTATTTATTTAACTCAAAGTCTTGCTGTCACCCAGGCTGGAGTGCAGTGGTGTGATCTCGGCTCACTGCAACCTACACCTCCCGGGTTCACGCCATTCTCCTGCCTCAGCCTCCCAAGTAGCTGGGACTACAGGTGCCTGACACCACACCCGGCTAATTTTTTTTTAATTTTATTTTTAGTAGAGATGGGGTTTCACCGTGTTAGCCAGGATGGTCTTGATCTCCTGACCTCGTGATCCACCCGCCTCGGCCTCCCAAAGTGCTGGGATTACAGGCGGGAGCCACCGTGCCTCGCCAATTAATTTTATTTTTGAGACAGAGTCTCGCTCTGTTGCCCAGGCTGGAGTGCAGTGGTGCGATCTGGGCTCACTGCAGCCTCCACTTCCCGGGTTCAACCAATTCGCCCGCCTTGGCCCCACAAAGTGCTGGGATTACAGGTGTGAGCCACCGACCCTGGCCATGGAGAGATATTTATTTATTTATTTTTTATTTTTTAATTTTTATTTTTTGAGACGCTGTCTTGCTCTGTCACCCAGGCTGGAGTGCAGTGGCGTGATTGCAGCTTACCTCAGCCTCCGCTTCCCGGGTTCAAGCAATTCTCCTGTCTCAGCCTCCGGAGTAACTGGGATTACACGTGTGGGCCACAACGCCCAGCTAATTTTTTATTTTTAGTAGATATGAGGTTTAACTATGTTGGCCAGGGTGGTCTGGAACTCTGACCTCAAGTGATCCACGCACCTCGGCCTCTCAAAATGCTGGGATTACAGGCATGAGCTACCGCACCTCACCTGGAGAGATACTTACAGAAAAACAAAAACAAAAACAAAAACCTTACGGTGTTTCCTTATGCGTGAAGATATTCACTACAAGGGTATGGGCTGTTATGATATGTACTGGTTTTCTCCCATGGTTCCTGGCTCCTGACTCCTGTATCCCTTATTAATCTTTTGTTATAATGTGGGGTGTGTTAGGCCTCAGGAAACAGAGTCTCTCTCCTGCCCTCCTTTCACCTTCACCTGCCCCAAGGCAAGACTCTAATCTACTCCTGCCTTTCTGATTATGGGTTTTAAAACTCTCCCAGAAAAGGGTCCCACCCTACACCCTGAGGGCAGGAATGCTGATGCCATGAAGCTTCCATAAAAACTCAAGAAATTCATGGCTCACACCTGTAATCCCAGCACACTGGGAGGCCTAGGTGGGAGGACTGTTTGAGCCCCGGAGTTCCAGACCAGCCTGGGCAACATAGGGAGACCCCATCTCTACAAAAAAGTAGGCAGGTGTGGTGGCGCACGCCTTTAGTTCCAGCTGCTCAGGAGGCTGAGGTGGGAGGATCGCTTGTCCCAAGAGGTCAACGCTCCAGTGAACCATGATCATGCCACTGCACTCCAGCCTGGGTGACAGAGGGAGATCCTGCCTCAAAAAAAGAACAGAAAGATAAAAAGAAGGCCAGGGGCTGTGGCTCACACCTGTAATCCCAGCACTTAGGGTGGCTGAGGTGGGAGGATCACCTGAGGTCAGGAGTTCAAGACCAGCCTGGCCAACATGGCGAAACCTCATCTCTACTAAAAATACAAAAATTAGCCTGGTGTGGTGGTGCGTGCCTGTAGTCCCAGCTACTGGGGAGGCTGAGGCACAAAAATCATTTGAACCCAGTAGGTGGAGGTTGCAGTGAGCTGAGATCATGCCACTGCACTCCAGCCTCAGCCACAGAACGAGACTTCGCCTCAGGAGAAAAAAAAGAAGAAGAAGAAAGAAGAAGAAGAAGGAGAAGGAGGAGGAGGAGGAGGAGGAGGAGAAGGAGAAGGAGAAGAAGAAGAAGAGACAAGATCCAAAAGGACAAGGTTTCAGTGAGACTTCATCTCAGGAGAGAAAAAAAAAAAAAGAGAAAAGACACAAAAGGACAAGGTTCAGTGAGCTTCTGGATAGCTGAACAGGCTCCTTCCCCCATACCTCAACCTACGCTCTGTCTAGGCGACAGAGCGAGACTCCGGCTCAAAATATATATGTAAAATAAAATGAAAAAATAAAATAAAATATTGTTTCTAGAGGTAGAGAACGGAAACAACTCAAGTGTTCAAAGTAGGAGATTGATTAAATAAATCCTATGAGGTTGATCCCAATGTGTAGATCTGAAATAATCTTCAATATTTATTATTAATTAGTAAATATCGATATTATCTTGTATTCATGGATAGAAAGACTCAATATTGTAAATATGTAAATTTTCTTCAATTTGTTCCATACAAGGCAATGCAATGCTAACAAAAATCACAACAGGAATTTTCATGAAACTTGCCAAGCCAATTAAAAAATATGCATAGGGACGGGCGTGGTGGCTCACGCCTGTAATCCCAGCACTTTGGGAGGCCGAGGTGGGTGGATCACGAGGTCAGGACATCAACACCATCCTGGCTAACACAGTGAAACCCCGTCTCTACTAAAAATACAAAAAATTAGCCGGGCGTGGTGGCGGGCGCCTGTAGTCCCAGCTACTCAGGAGGCTGAGGCAGGAGAATGGTGGGAACCCGGGAGGCAGAGCTTTCAGTGAGCTGAGATCGCGCCACTGCACTCCAGCCTGGGGGACAGAGTGAGACTCTGTCTCGAAAACAAAAACAACAACAAAAATACGTATAGGAGGCCGGGTGCGGTGGCTCATGCCTGTAATCCTAGCACTTTGGGAGGCTGAGGCGGGCAGATCATGAGATCAGGAGATCGAGACCATCCTGGCTAACGCGGTGAAACCCCATCTCTACTAAAAATACAAAAAATTAGCTGGGCATGGTGGCGGGTGCCTGTAGTCCCAGCTACTCGGGAGGCTGAAGCGGGAGAATCGCTTGAACCCAGGAGGCGGAGGTTGCAGTGAGCCGAAATCGCGCCACTGCACCCCAGCCTGGGCAACAGAGCGAGACTCCATCTCAAAAAAAAAAAAAAAAAAAGTATAGGAAGGGCTCAGAACAGAAAGATACTCCTGAAGAAAAAGGGAGAGGAGATTTGCTCCACCAGAATTGTTATAGAGCTGTGGCAAAAAAGATGAGGTAGTGTTGCTAGGGGTAGGAAGTCACCAAAATTAACTCATGAATATATGAAACTTTAATAATGACAGGGTGGTATGCCAGATCAAAGGAGGTGCTCATCAATAAATGGAGATGGGCTGGGCGCGGTGGCTCATGCCTGTAATCCCAACACTTTGGGAGACCGAGGCGGGCAGATCACCTTAGGTCAGGAGTTTGAGACCAGCCTGGCCAACATGGTGAAACCCCATCTCTACTAAAAATGCAAAAATTATCCCAGCGTGGTGGCACATGCCTATAATCCCAGATACTCGGGAGGCTGAGGCAGGAGAATTGCTTGAATCCGGGGGCGGATGCTGCAGTGAGCAGAGATCATGCCACTGCACTCCAGCCTGGGTGACAGAGCAAGATTCTGTTTCTCCCATATGGAAAGAAAGGTCATCCATATGGGAGAAGATGAAATTAAATCAGTGACCTGCCGGGCGCAGTGGCTCGTGCCTATAATCCCAGCACTTTGGGAGGCCGAGGCAGTTGGATCACGAGGTCAGGAGTTCGAGACCAGCCTGGCCAAGATGGTGAAACACTGTCTCTACTAAAAATACAAAAATTAGCAAGGCACAGTGGTGGGCGCCTGTAATCCCAGCTACTTGGGAGGCTGAGGCAGAAGAATTGCTTGAACCTGGGAGGCAGAGGTTTCAGTGAGCCGAGATCATGCCACTGCACTCTAGCCTGGGCAACAGAGCAAGACTCTGTCTCCAAAAAAAAAAAAAAAATCAGTGAAAAAATCAGTGACCCACACTATATTCAAAAGTCAACTCAATATATAAGGACTTAATTATCAAAAGCAAAACTAAAACTTTAAGGAGAAAAGTAAGGGAATTTCTTTCTGAAGTTGGGAGTAATGAAAACTCAAACAACACAAAAGGTTAACTATAAAAGAAAATAGTAATGAATGAAACTATACTAAAATGAATGAAATTATAAGCTACAAACTTGAAGAAGATATGTGTAAACACATATAGCCATTCAAAAATATATACTGAGATAACCTAAAGGCCTTGTAAAAATCAGTAAAGCCAGCCAGGCATGGTGGCTCAAGCCTGTAATCCCAGCACTTTGGGAGGCCAAGGTGGGTGGATCACGAGGTCAGGAGATCGAGACCATACTGGCTAACATGGTGAAACCCCGTCTCTACTAAAAATACAAAAAAAATTAGCCAGGCATGGTGGCGGGCACCTGTAGTCTCAGCTACTCGGGAGGCTGAGGCAGGAGAATGGTGTGAACCCAGGAGGAGGAGCTTGGAGTGAGCCAAGATCGCGCCACTGTACTCCAGCCTGGGCAACTGAGCAAGACTCCGTCTCAAAAAAAAAAAAAAAAAAGAAAAAGAAAAAGAAAAAATCAGTAAAGCCAGCCTGTGCAACATAGTAAGACTGTCTCTACTGAAAAAAAAATTAGTCGGGTATGGTGGTGTGCAACTGTAGTCTCAGCTACTCAGGAGGCTGAGGAGGGAGGATCACTTTAGCACAGGAGTTCGAGGCTTCAGTGAACTATGTCATGCCACTGTACTCTAGCCTGGGCAACAGAGCGAAACCCTGTCTTGAAAAAATCAATAAATGACAATAAGCTAGTAGAAAAATGGACACAAGACTTGAACATGCATTTCAACAAGAACGAAACATGGCTAAAAAGCTTATGAAGAGATGCTCACCATCATTAGTGATCAAGGAAATATAGATTGAGATCATAATGAGATACTATTTTATACCCAGTATATGGCAAAAATTAAGAAGTCAGATAACACCAAGTATTGAACAACAGATCTTCTATACATTGCTGGAGGGAATCTGTATCTGTACAGCCATTTTGAAGAAGATTATCTTTTTTTTTTTTTTGAGACAGAGTCTTGCTCTGTTGCCCAAGCTGGAGTACAATGGTACGATTTCGGCTCACTGCAGCCTCTGCCTCAGCCTCCCAAGTAGCTGGGGACTAAAGGTGCATGCCACCACACCCGGCTAACTTTTGTATTTTCTGGTGGAGATGGGATTTCACCATGTTGCCCAGGCTAGTCTTGAACTCTTGGCCTCAAGTGATCCACCTACCTCGGCCTCCCAAATGCTGGGATTACGGGCCTGAGCCACCGCGCCCAGCCAAAAATTATCATTATCTTGTCAAATTGAACATTTACATACCTTAAAACCCAGCAGTTCCATTTTTGGGCAAATATCCAGGAGTAAGTCTTGCTCAAGTGTTCCAGGAGACATGTACATGAATATTCATAACTGCAGTCAACATATGATAGAAACACTCATAAAGAAACCAAAATGCCCTTCAACAGGAGAACAGATAAATACATTGGGGTACCTTGACAAAATAAAATATTATAAAAGAGTGAAATTTCGGCTGGGCGCGGTGGCTCACGCCTGTAATCCCAGCACTTTGGGAGGCCGAGGCGGGTGGATCACGAGGTCAGGAGATCGAGACCATCCTGGCTAACATGGTGAAACCCCGTCTTCACTAAAAATACAAAAAGTTCTCCGGGCGTGGTGGTGGGCGCCTGTAGTCCCAGCTACTCGGGAGGCTGAGGCAGGAGAATGACGTGAGCCCAGGAGGCAGAGCTTGCAGTGAGCGGAGATCGCGCCACTGCACTATAGCCTGGGCGACAGAGCAACACTCCATCTCAAAAAAAAAAAAAAAAAAAAAAGTGAAATTTCAATGAACCACAGCCACACATAAAAGTATGAATGATTTTTGTCAATACAATATCGAGTGTAAAAAAGAAACAGCTTGCCAGGCGCGGTGGCTCACGCCTGTAATCCCAGCATTTTGGGAGGCCGAGGTGGGCGGATCATGAGATCAGGAGATTGAGACCATCCTGGCTAACACAGTGAAACCCCGCCTCTACTAAAAATACAAAAAATTATCCGGGCGTGGTGGCGGGTGCCTGTAGTCCCAGCTACTCGGGAGGCTGAGGCAGGAGAATGGCGTGAACCCAGGAGGCGGAGCTTGCAGTGAGCCGAGATTGCGCCACTGCACTCCAGCCTGGGCAACAGAGCGAGACTCCGTCTCAAAAAGAAAGAAAGAAACAGCTCTAGAGGATTACATACACCATTATACTCTTTTATTATTACTTTTTAAATTTTATTTACTTATTTATTTACTTTGAGACGGAGTCTTGCGTTGTCGCCCAGGCAGGAATGCAGTGGCGCGATCCCGCCTCACTGCAACCTCCACCTCCCAGGTTCAAGTGATTCTCCCACCTCAGCCTCCAGAGTAGCTAGGCATACAGGAGCGCACCATCATGCCTGGCTAATTTTTTGGTATTTTTAGTACACAACGGAGTTTCACTATGTTGGCCAGGATGGTCTCGAACTCCTGACCTCAGGTGATCTGCCCGCCTCAGCCTCCCAAAGTGCTGGGATTACAGGCGTGAGCCACTGTGCCTGGCTCATCGTCCTTTCTTTCTAAAGCTTGCACATACGCCATTTACGGTTACAGCACAATTGAATCAAACAATCCCTAACTACTGCAGTTTTTTCTTTTTGTTTTTGTTTGAGACAGAGTCTCGCTCTGTCGCCCAGGTTAGAGTGCAGTGGCACCATCTCAGCTCACTGCAACCTCCACCTCCCGGGTTCAAGCGATTCTCCTGCCTCAGCCTCCTGAGTAGCTGGGATTACAGGCATGCGCCACCATCCCTGGCCAATTTTGTATTTTTAGTAGAGACAGGGTTACTCCATGTTGGTCAGGCTGGTCTCGAACTTCTGACCTCAGGTGATCTACCTGTCTCAGGCCTCCCAAAGTGCTGGGATTACAGGTGTGAGCCACCGTGCCTGGAAAGTTTACTTTTTAAGTTCTTTTTTTGTCTTTTCTTCCCTTTCTACCTATAATCCTGTTAAAAAAAAAAAAAGCTTTTAATTAAAAATACATTCCCCGGCTGGGCACAATGGCTCACGCCTATAATCCCAGCACTTTGGGAGGCCCAGGCAGGCAGATGACCTGAGATCAGGAGTTCGAGACCAGCCTGGGCAAAATAGCAAAACCCCGTCTCTACTAAAAATATAAAAATTAGCTGGGCGTGGTGGCCCACGCCTGTAATCCCAGCTACTCCGGAGGCTGAGGCAGTAGAATCACTTGAACCCAGGATGCGGCGGTTGCAGTGAGCCAAGATCATGCCACTGCACTCCAGCCTGGGCGATAAGAGCAAAACTCCGTCACACACACATACACGCACCCACCCAATGGAAAAAATTGAAAAATATAACACACCAGCAGAGTGTATAAAACACATGCATTCTTAAAAAAAGTAACTAGATGGCCGGGCGCAGTGGCCCACACCTGTAATCCTAGCATTTTGGGAGGCCAAGGCGGGTGGATCACCTGAGGTCGGGAGTTCGAGACCAGCCTGGCCAACATGGTGAAACCCCGTCCCTACTAAAAATACAAAAAATTAGCCGGGCATTCATTGTGGTGGGTGCATGTAATCCCAGCTACTCGAAAGGGTGAGGCAGGAGAATTGCTTGAACCCAGGAGGCGGATATTGCAGTGAGCCGAGATCTTGCCATTGCACTCCAGCCTGGCAACAATAGTGAAACTCCTTCTCAAAAAAAAACAAAAAAAAAAACAAAAAAAACCCAAAAAAATCCAAAGTAACTATAAGCCGGGTGCTGTAGCTCACGCCTGTAATGCCAGCACTTTGGGAGGCCTCCGAGGCAGGCGGATCACCTGAGGACAACATGGTGAAACTGTCTCTACTAAAAATACAGAAAACTTAGCTGGGCATGGTGGCTCATGCCTGTAATCCCAGCTACTCAGGAAGCTGAGGCAGGAGAATCGTTTGAACCCAGGAGGAGGAGGTTGCAGTGAGCCGAGGTCAGGCCCACTGCACTCCAGCCTGGGGGACAGAGGGAGATTCTGTCTCAAAAATAAATAAATAGTAACGATAAAGCAAACATTTGTTTTACCTCTACCTTAAAAACATTTTCAGTAGTTGTTGTTTTGTAAAGACAGGGTCTGACTATGTTTCACCTGCTGGTCTGGAACTCCTGGACTCAAGCAATCCTCTTTCCTCAGCCTCCCAAAGTGTTGAGATTACAGGCGTGAGCCACTGCTCCCGGCCAGTTGTTTTTAAGTTTAAAAAATAAGTATAACAAACACCTGTGGCCTGCGCCTGTAATCCCAGCTACTCAGGAGGCTGAGGCAGGAGAATCGCTTGAACCCAGGAGACAGAGGTTGCAGTGAGCTGAGATCGCGCCACTACACTCCAGCCTGGCAACGAGTAACACTCTGTCTCAAACAACAACAACAAAAACACACCAAAAAAACACCTGTGTACCACTCTCCAGGAATTAACAAACACATTCTGCTATTTTTTTGTTTTGTTTCCTTTTTTTTTTCTAACAAGACCACAAAACAGAAGGTACTTATTCTACACACCTTTTTTTTTTTTTTTTTTTTTTAGAATGCAGTACTTAATGGTCACTCTTTTGTGAGTCACTTAATGGATCAAGGCTTTTCTTATTTATTGTATGTCATGTGACCTCAGCCAATATTCTCCTTTTGTTGTTGTTGTTTTGTGTTTGTTTGTTTTGAGGTGGAGTCTCACTGTTGCCCAAGGATGGAGTGTAGTGGCGTAATCTCGGCTCACTGAAAACTCAGCTTCCTGGGTTCAAGAATTTTTTTTAATTTTTTTTGAGATGGACTCTCGCTCTGTTGCCCAGACTGGAGTGCAGTGACGTGATCTCGGCTCACTGCAACCTCTGCCTCCCGGGTTCAAGCAATTCTCTGCCTCAGCCTCCCAAGTACCTGGGATTACAGGCGCCTGCCAAGATTACCCACTAATTTTTTTGTGTTTTTAATAGAGACGGGGTTTCGCTATCTTGGCCAGGCTGGTCTTGAACTCCTGACCTCATGATCCACCCGCCTCGGCCTCCCAAAGTGCTGGGATTAGGCATGAGCCACCGTGCCCGGCCGAATAATTTTTTAATTCAAATAAAAAAGTTTGGGCATGCTTACAGTCCCTCCGACAGCAGTGTGTGCACCTAGCTGCCCATACCCTTCCTAGAACTGGGTGTCATAATTACAGTTTCCTTCTCATAAGGTTGGGATGTTTTGGATTCGTGTGTTTGCTTAAGATGTGCTGGGTTCAACCCACGAAGGCTCTGTGCTTGGCTGTGTTCTGAGAAGTTTTCAGTCCTTGTGGAGAGGAGAGGTATTCTAGCACCCTCTCCTAGCCTCCTGGGACCTCAGCCACCCACAACTGCCTTCCAGAGTTTCCTCGCAGAGGTTCCCCAGAAGAGTTATTTGCTAAATCTGTCAACCTTACCACCACATTCCCTTTCTGCTTAAAGATTTCAATCTCCATCACCTTTTACCTAGACTACAGCAGTCACTTAGACTCTTATCCCAACAGTCCGTTGTCAGCACGTTGTATCTGGCCTCTGCTCAAAGCCCTCCTGCTACACTTCACATTCCATCTAAGCTCCTTAGCTTGGTCTTCAAAGCCCTGCCAGATGCAGGCCTGATCCTCTTCTAAGACCGCATCTCCCACTGTTCCCCTTCCCCTGCAGTCTCCTGGTGGGTTCCTGGCAGGATAAGCTGGGTCTAGCCTCAGGGACTTTGTACTTATTATTATTATTATTTTATGAGACAGAGTTTTGCTCTTGTCACCCAGGCTGGAGTACAATGGAATGATCTTGGCTCACTGCAACCTCCACTTCCTGGGTTCAAGCGATTCTCCTACCTCAGCCTCCCAAGTAGCTGGGAGTACAGGTGCTCGCCACCAGGCCCAGCAAATTTTTGTAGTAGAGATGGGTTTTCACCATGTTGGCCAGGCTGGTCTCGAACTCCTGATCTCAGGTGATACACCTGCTTCAGCCTTCCAAAGTGCTGAGATTATAGGCGTGAGCCACCGCGCCCGGCCCCTTTGTACTTATTTACCTCTGCTTAGGATGCTCTTCCCCCAGAGCGTCTCTGTTCAAATGTCACCACACTAGAGAGGCCCTCCCAGACAATCTTGTCTAAAATAATGCCTCTTCTGCCCCTCACCCGAGCTCATCCACCCCACTTCATTTTTTCATAACACGTATCAGCCATTATTATATTTTATTTTATTCATTTATTGAGATAGAGTCTCGCTGTGTCGCCCAGGCTGGAGTGCAGTGGCACAGTCTGGGCTCACTGCAACCTCTACCCCCCAGGTTCAAGTAATTCTCCTGCCTCAGCCTCCCCAGTAGCTGGGACTACAGGCAGGGGCCACCACGCCTGGCTAATTTTTTTTTTTTTTTTTTTTTGAGACAGAGTCTCGCTCTGTCGCCCAGGCTATAGTGCAGTGACGGTGGCACGATCTTGGCTCACTGCAACCTCCGCCTCCCGGGTTCAAGTGATTCTTCTGCCTCAGCCTCCCGAGTAGCTGGGAGTACAAGTGCCTGCCACCACGCCTGGCTAATTTTTGTATTTTTAGTAGAGACGGGATTTCATCATATTGGCCAGGCTGATCTCGAACTCCTGACCTTGTGATCTGCCTGCCTCAGCCTCCCCAAGTACTGGGATTACAGGCGTAAGCCACCATGCCCAGCCAACCATCATTATTTTATATTCACACTTATTTATATGTTTGTTATTTGTCTTCTCCCACCAGGAATGTAAGCTTGATAAAAACTGAAACCTTGAGTGTTTTACTTGTTTGTGTTTCCAACATTATCTCCCCAGTGCCTAGAATAATGCCTGGCACATGGTAGATGGACTCAGATGCTAGACCTGGATTTGACAAGGTGTACTGCACAGCAGTTAAGAGCACAAATGTAGCTGGGCACAGTGGCTCATGCCTGTAATCCCTGCACTTCGAGAGGCTGAGGCAGGAGGATTGCTTGAAACCAGGAGTTGAAGGCCAGCCTGGGCAACAAAGCAGGACCTCATCTCTCTCTTTTTTTTATTTTTATTTATTTATTTTTTTTGAGATGGAGTTTTGCTTGTCACCCAGGCTGGAGTGCAATGGCGCAATCTTGGCTCACTGCAACCTCTGCCTCCTGGGTTCAAGTGATTCTCCTGCCTCAGACTCCCAAGAAGCTGGGATTACAGGCACGAACCACCAAGTCGGCCATTTTTTTGTATTTTTAGTAGAGGCGGGGTTTCACCTTGTTGGCCAGGCTGGTCTCCAACTCCTGACCTCAGGTGATTCCATCTGCCTCCGTCTCCCAAAGTGCTGGGATTATAGGCATGAGCCACTGCGCATGGCAAGACCTCATCTCTTAAGAAAAGTCAGCCAGCCATGGTGGCTGGCACCTATGGTCTTAGCTACTCAGGAGGCTGAGGCAGGAGGATCACTTGAGCCCATGAATTTGAAGCTAAAGTGAGCTATGATGCCCACCACTGCCCTCCAGCTCCAGTCTCGGCAAAGAGTGAGACCATCTCTTGGGGAAAAAAAAAAAAAGCACAAAAATGAGTCAAGTCCCTCTGGGTTGACAGCAGTCCCTGTGTTGTTCTTTTTCAGCTCCGTAACTTGCGACGTTACTTAACCATCCTTTTCACCATCTATAAAAGAAGGATGGTAATCTATTTTTTTTTTTTTTGAAGCAGAGTTTCACTCTCGTTGCCCAGGCTGGAGTGCAATGGTGCGATGTCGGCTCACCACAACATCTGCCTCCCAGGTTCAAGCAATTCTCTTGCCTCAGCCTCCTGAGTAGCTGGGATTACAGGCATGTGCCACAACGCCCAGCTAATTTTGTATTATCAATAGAGACGGGGTTTCTCCATGTTGGTCAGGCTGGTCTCGACCTCCCGACCTCAGGTGATCCACCCATCTCGGCCTCCCAAAGTGCTGGAATTACAGGCGTGAGCCACCACGCCTGGCCGACAATCTATGTAACATAATTGTGAGAATTAAGTGAGTTAATTCATGTAAATACACAGGTTGGTGCTTAGTGCTTGTCATTATTATACTTCTTGAGTGAATTTAACACATAGTATCCAGGTGCAGTGGCTCACGCCTGTAATACCAGCACTTTGGGAGGCCGAGGCGGGTGGATCACCTGAGCGGGAGTTTGAGACCAGCCTGACTAAGATGGCGAAACCCTGTGTCTACTAAAAATACAAACAAACAAACAAACAAAAATATTGGCCGGACATGGTGGTGTGTGCCTGTAATCCCAGCTACCCTGGAGGCTGAGGCAGGGGAATTGCTTAAACCTGGGAGGTGGAGGTTGTAGTGAGCCGAGATTGCACCACTGCACTCCAGCCTGGGCAAGGGAGCGAGACTCCGCCTTAAAAAAAAAAAATTAGCACATATGAGCTATTGCCGTCATGCAACAAGCAGGCATCAACCAAGCCCAAGGTGTGGATATTTATGATGTGCGTGGCACTCCCCCAGACAGTGGACATAGATGGGCATGCATTAAAGTGAACGAGACAGAGGTAAACCCAAGGAATTATTCGTAGAGTGCAGATAAGCAAAAAAAGCAGACTGTTACAGGAGATATAGCGTAGTCTGAGGGCAGGAAAGGCTTCTGGAAGCAGTGACTTTGTCCTAGGACTAAGGATGTGTAGGTTGTAACTGCATGGAAGGAAAGAGAGAAGCAAGTGTGAGAAAGCTCAGAACAGAGAAAAGAACCTGCAGAGAGACAGCAGTGGCTGGAGTGCAGGGCACTGGGAGAGATGAGGCTAGATAATCTGCCAAGGGCTTATCACGCAGGGCCCAGGGGCCTCGGAAAGGGTTTTCACAGGAGCCATGAAAGGACCTGAAGGAGAGTGACTCTGTCCGATCTGCAGTGAGACAAGTTTCCCCTGGCTGCTGTGTGGAGACATCTTCTTCAGGTCTCCATCCAACTTTCACTTCACCAGAGTCCCCCTGGTTTAAAAGGGCCCCTCCCCTGCCCCTCTCTACCTGCTTTATAATGTAATTGCCCTCGCCATTCCCTAACATTATGTCACGCTCTCAATTGCTGGTTCCGATTCCCCCACTGCAATGGATACCACACGGGAACTGGGTTTTGGTGGGGCAGGAGAGACTGGCCACACAAAGATCAATTAGGAGGGTGGTACAGCCTGCTTCGGATCCAGATTTTTGACTTGCCAGGGGGGTTAGGAGCAGCTGTTGGGATGGAAGAGAGCAGGAGGCAGGACTCAGTTCACCTGGAAACTTCATTTGCATAGCACTTTACATAAGACTGAGAAACATCAACTGTCCATATCAAAGAATGGGACGGGGAAGCTATTGGAAACCATGGTGGTGGCGCTAAAGTTTCTAACCAGCCAGTTCTTGGGGTTATAAATCATCAAGGGCTTAAGTATCTCCCATAGGAGTGAAGAGAAACAGATAGAATGGAGAAGTGTTTAAAATGTAACGCACAAGACTTGGCGTCTGGATGTGGGGCATGAGGAAAAGGGAAAGTGATGCCTACATTTCTAGCTTGAGCAATTGAGTGGATGGTGCCATCTCCTCAGAGCAGAGGGAGGAGGAGCAAGTTTTGTGGTTCAGATGGTGAGTTCACTTTTTTTTTTTTTTTTTT